>NC_000003.12:155523755-155826786 GCF_000001405.40 Homo sapiens
GCAAATAAAGTAATTTTCAATGAATATCCTTTCTACACCACAGCCACCATAATTGTGAGGCCTCCAACACAGTAGCAACTTGGAACTCCATTTTAATACAGCATATCAAGGATAAAAAATATGGTCATGCCTGCAACTTACATAATGGAGCTTGAATTTGCACTCGTCTTCAATTTCATCTGCACTGTCCTCATCAGAAACTTCCCCTTCCTCTGCATCATCCCCAAGGTGATAAGGCAACTTCTTACCCTGAAATGGAACAAAACATCCCATTTAAAAATGAGAATAAATTCACAATAGCCAAAAGGTGGAAGTAACCCAAGCATCCATTGATGGATGAGAGGATAAACAAAACGTGTATGTACATACAATGGAATCTTAGCCTTTAAGAAGAAGGAAATTCTGATACATATTACAAAATGAAGGAACCTTGAAGGTATTATGCTGATTGAAATAAGCTAGACATAAAAGAAAGTGTATTGTATGATTCCATTTATATCAAATTCATAGAGACAGAAAGTAAAATGGTGATGGCAAAGGGCTGAAGGTAGGAGGGTATCGGGAGTTGTTGCTGAATGGGTATAGAGTTTCAGTTTTACAAGATGAAGAGTTTTGGAGATTGGCTGCACACAATGGGAATGTATTTAATACTACTGAACACACTTTAAAAAGGGTTTATTGTATACATTTAAAAATAGTTAAGATGTTAGGTAGATTTTAGGTCACATGTATTTTACTACAATTAAAAATCATTTTTGAAAAGTAAAAACTGAAAATAAAATGTTGTATCATTAAGCTAATCATTACTTCAGACTGACTAGAAAGCAGACAGTCTGAATTAGGGGCAAAATAAGGGGGAGTGGAGACTTTCAAAAAAGGGAAGTCTTATTACTTTCAATTAAGTAGAATTAATTAGAGATACTATAGTTTGAAAAATCAAACCAGGCTTCTATTCAAAAATAGATGACTTGGAACCTGGAGCCAGGCCCAGTGGCTCACACCTGTAATCCCAGCACTTTGGGAGGCTGAGATGGGAAGATCACTTGACCCTAGGATTTCAAGACCAGCCTAGGCAAAAAAATAAGCCTCTGTCTCTACAAAAAATAAAAAAATTTGCTAGGCATGGTAGCATGTGCCTATGATCCCAGCTACACAGGAGGTTGAGGCAGGAGGATGACTTGAGTCCAGGAGGTTGAGGCTGCAGTGAATCATGTTTGTACCACTGCACTCCAGCCTGGGTGACAAAGTGAGAATCCCCCTCCACCAAAAAACAAGATGACTTGGCTGGGCACAAAAGCTCATCCCTGTAATCCCAACACTCCAGGAGGCCAAGGCAGGAGGATTGCTTGAGGCTAAGAGTTTGAGAACAGCCTGGGCAACATAGTAAGACCCCATTTCTATTTTTATTAAAAAGTGAAAGAATAGATGACTCTTCACAACAAACTACCATTCCATCCCATTATGTACAACTGCTATGGTGTGAATGCTGGTGTCCCCCAAAATCCATGTATTAGAACCTAATACCTCACCCATATGATAGTATTAAGAGGTGAGGCATTTGGGAAGTGATTAAGTCATGAGGGCTCCAACGAGCTCCCTTGCCCCTTCTGTCACGTGAGGACAAATAGTAGGTACTATCTATGAGAAACAGGCCCTCACCAGACGCCAAATCTGCCATCACCTTAATCTTGGACTTCCCAGCATCTAGATCCACGAGCAATGAATTCTGTTGTTTACAAGTTGCCCAGTCCAAGGTGGTTTTGTTATAGCAGCTCAAAGGAACTAAGACAACAACAAGCATGCTAATATCCCTCAGAGCAGCTTATTCACCTAAGCAGGTTACATGTGTCCTTAACACTTATGCCTCACTTTGCATTTCACAAGCCCCTCTTTCACAGACAATGCAGCGAGACTCCTGCCCAGCTTGAGCACCTCCCCCAGGACCAGGCCACTCTTGACTTACCTAACAACACACTTTAAAAATGAGGGGCTTTTTGACAGGGAACATTCTTATAAGATATTAAGACAGTTAAGTTATAGAATTATATATATAATATTATCTCAGTGATTAAAAAACAGCAAAAAAGTCTAAAAATAAATATGGTCAATTGTTAAGGGTAATTATCTCTTTATAACAGTACTATGAGGGAAATTTACATTCTCCTTTCCTGCATTTCCCAAATTATATTCAAAAACAGTAAATGTAAACTAAAAAGGACAGCAGGGGGTAAGGCCCAGGGGTCTGAGAAAGGCTTCGAGGGCAGCTATCTGTATTAGCAAGGCTTTTTACTACAGGCAGAAAGGAATATTTATTACCAAAATATTGAATTGCTTCCAGAATCAGAGGGTGGGAGGTGGAACAAAACCAGGCTCTGAGGCTAAGAGGCCAAGGCGACTGCAGTAGGCAGCCTCTAAATAATAGTACCAATGTCTCCTGTCTCAGTATTCACACCCTTCTGCAATCCCCTCCCTTTGAGCGTGGCCTGGACCTAGTGCCCGACATCTAATGAACTGAGTACAGCAAAAGTGATGGGAGGTTACTTATCAGATCAGGTTATAGAAACACTATACCTTCTTGCTTGCTTGCTTCTCCAAACTTCTCTCCTTTCCTGGAGCTCTCTCTCTCTCTCTCTCTTCTTTCTCTCTCTCTCTTTCTCTCTCTCTCTTCTGTCTCTCTCTCTCTCTCTTTTTCTCTCTCTCTTCTCTCTTTCTCTCTTCTTTCTCTCTCTCTCATACACACACACACACACACACACACACACACACACACACACACTGGTGTCGTGAGCTGTGCTATGGAGAGACCCACATGGCAGGGAGGTGAGAGAGGCCTCAGTAGCCAACAGCCTGAAAGGAACTGAAATGTGCCAACAACAACCACTAAAGGAATCTCGGAAGCAGAGCTTCCCTCAGTTCAGCTGTGAGATGACTGCAGCCCCAGAGGACACCTTAATTACAGCCTCAAGAGAGACCCTGAGCAGAGGACCCAGCTAAGCCACACCCAGGTTCCTGACCTACAGGGACTGTGGAATATTCAATGTTTGTTTTAAGCTGTCAAATGTTGGGGTAATTTGCTATGCAGCAATAGATACCTAACGTAAGCACCAACCAAAATCATGGGGCAGAACAAATCCACTGAAGATACCATTTCCAACACAACTAAGCACAGAGATAGTGGCTTTCACTCCATCATCCACGCAATGGACATCAGGAACTACTGCCAGAAGTGCTGTCATGGGCCCTAAAGGTAGCTGCCAGCATGTCCACCCTACTCCCTCCACCCACCAGGATGGGTTCAACTTGGTCCCACTTTCCTACTGTAGTTTCTGCTTCAATGTCTGGGACAGGTTCACTTGATTGGTGGCTTCTAGATGGGGGGCCCATATCCCAGTTCTAAGAAAGGCTGCAAAAGCAAACTTTGAGCTCCTCTAAGGGGATCTCTTAAAACATAGGGATGGAGACTTCCTTAAACATGGAAGGATGTTCACATGCCTGACAGCCAAAATAATGATAAATTTCTAAATATCATCCCAGGCTGATCTCTAAACTCAAGCTTCAATGACTTTAAGTATTCCTGCTCTGCACAGCACTATTACCCCTTTCAGAATTCTGGATCCCCCCTTACCCGCTTCCTCCCTCCATAGGGCTACCAGCTTAGTCATATTTTCGGAGAAATGTCTTTCTCAGTTTTCCTACACCTTCCTTGATACCCAAAGCTCTTGACCTTGAGTCCTTATCACTAGTGACAATTTCAAAGCTGGGTAAATCATTTATATAATGAAAGCATAATCTACATTAAGAATCTAAACAATTGGGATTTAGGCAAATATTTTCTTCAACTTACAGAAGGGAATTTGTAAGATTAAAAAGTTGGGGCCAGCTGGGCATGGTGGCTCACACCTGTAACCCCAGCCCTTTGGGAGGCCGAGGGAGATTGGTGGATCACCTGAGGTCACGAGTTCAAGGCCAGCCTGGGCAACATGGTGAAACCCCGTCTCTACTAAAAATACAAAAATTAGCCAGGCGTGGTGGTAAGCACTTGTAATCCCAGCTACTCGGGAGGCTGAGGCAGGAGAATCGCTTGAACCTGGGAGGCAGAAGTTGCAGTGAGCCAAGATCGTCCCACTGCACTCCAGCCTGGGTGACAGAGTGACACTCCGTTTCAAAAAAAAAAAAAAAATGTTGGGGCCAGGCACAGTGGCTCCTGCCTGTAATCCCAGAACTTTGGGAGGCCAAGGAGGACAGATCACCTGACATCAGGAGTTCAAGACCAGTCTGGGCAACATGGTGAAACCTCATCTGTACTAAAAATACAAAAATTAGCCAGGCATGGTGGCAGGCACCTGTAATCCCAGCTATTCAGGAGGCTGAGGCAGGAGAATTGCTTGAACCCAGGAGGCGGAGGTTGCAGTGAGTTGAGGTTGCACCATTGTACTCCAGCCTGGGCGACAGAGCGAGACTCCGTCTCCCCACCAAAAAAAAAAAAAAAAAAAAGTTGGGATCTAATTTGTGTATCATTAATAACAAGGCAGCTCAGAATCAAAGCATTTATTTCTGTATATTATTTTAGGTCCTATTGATATAGAAAGCTCCTAAAAATCAGTTTTTCTATTTTTCTTTATTTTAGGAACATTTGTAGAGTAGTTATAATATGGCAGCACCAGAAATAAGGTACTCAATTAAGAGGTGATCAGACATACTCAGAAACAAGCTATCAAGATATCAACTTTCTTCACTTATTCAGAATCTGCTTTGTTTTAGGTACCATGGCAGACAGCAAGATGAAACTGTACACAAGACATTTAAAATGTAGTGATAGCAATTCCCTCTTTTGAAACAGCATAAAATAGAATAAAAACCAACATATGTTTTTAAATGTTCTACAGAATAGAAATAAATATGAAAAATAACATCACCAAGAAAAGAATAATAATAATCCTCAACTGATATGCATCACTGATACCACTGACTAGAAAGGAAAGTGTAACTGTGATGAGCAGGTGGTGCTGAGCAGGTAAGGACACAGAACTAAGCTTCAATTCCCCTTCATCTGAGGGTGGCATGAGGTGAGGGAACAAAAAGAAGAAGCTGCCTCTCAGAGTATTCATAAGACAGGTTAATTTTCAGTCCTTTAAAAATCTAATTAAAAGACCTGGCATTATCAGAGCCCTATTTTTGGTCAGCTTTTTCCAGGCTGGCAAATATTTTATACAGGCAGATAGGGAGAAAAACAATGCAAATGAACACTGTTTTTCAAGGCCTCTTTTCAATGGTGTTACTCCAAAGGAAAATTATAAAATAAATTTAGATAGCACTTTATATGGCTAACTAATTTAACTGTGGTCCAATGTTGATGTAAATGAAGAATGATCCAGGTGTCTTCCAGAGGTCCCTTTCTGATCTACATATATTTCATGCAGAAGTTACACTCTAGAATTAATTTGTCTATGGTATATGGAAATATTGCTAGAGACTGGACTGGAAGCATGGTCACTTCTCAGCTTCAAGATATCTGGCTGCACAGCCCCAGGAGAATGCAAACAACTCCGCGATTCACATCTGTAAAAGCAGGAACCTTGAACCACACAGCTAAAGTTATTTCAGCAAAAAGAGTCTATCGAAAATTACTATTTGTTTTTTTTTTTCATAAGCAACGTTTTATTTACAGGCATACCTTAGAATTATTATGAGTGTGGTTTCAGATCACTGCAATAAAATGAATATCACAATAAAGAGAGGCACACGGATTTTTTGGTCTCCCAGTGAATATAAAAGTTACAATTGTGCTATACTGTAGCCTATTAAGTGTGCAATAGTATTACGTCTAAAAAAAGTACATACGTTAATTTAAAATATTTAATGCTATAAAAAGCTAATGATCATCTGAACCTTTGGCAAATTGTAATCATTTTGCTGGCGGAGGGTCTTGTTTCGATGTGGATAGCTGCTGACTGATCAGGGTGGTGGTTGCTGAAGGTTAGGTGACTGTGGCAATTTGCTTCTTTTTTGTTTTGTTTTGTTTTGTTTTGAGATGCAGTTTTGCTCTTGTTGCCCAGGCTGGAGTGCAATGGCACGACCTCGGCTCACTGCAACCTCCGCCCCCCGGGTTCAAGCGATTCTCCTGCCTCAGCCTCCCAAGTAGCTGGGATTACAGGCATGC
Source organism: Homo sapiens (assembly GCF_000001405.40). NCBI lineage: Eukaryota > Metazoa > Chordata > Mammalia > Primates > Hominidae > Homo > Homo sapiens. The sequence goes on from NC_000003.12 coordinate 155,529,916, forward strand.
ACCACCATGCCCAGCTAATTTTGTATTTTTTAGTAGAGATGGGGTTTTACCATGTTGGTCAGGCTGGTCTTGAACTCCTGACCTCAAGTGATCCACCCGCCTTGGCCTCCCAAGGCATTAGCCACCACACCTGGCCAGCAATTTCTTAAATAGGACAAAAACTAAGTTTGCTCCATTGATTGACTCTTCCTTTCACAAAAGATTTCTCTGCAGCATGTGATGCTGTTTAACAGCATTTTACCTACAGTAGAACTTCTGGCAAAATTGGAGTAAATGCTCTCAATCCTTCCTAATGCTTTATCAACTAAGGTTTTGTACACCTCAAGAACCCACTTGCTTTGCTTATTCATATAAGTAATTCCTCATCTATTTAAGTTTAATCATGAGATTGCAGCAATCTTCAGGCTCCACTTCTTTTTTTTTTTTTTGAGATGGAGTCTCGCTCTGTCGCCCAGGCTGGAGTGCAGTGGTGCGATCTGCAAGCTCCGCCTCCCGGGTTCACACCATTCTCCTGCCTCAGCCTCCTGAGTAGCTGGGACTACAGGTGCCTGCCACCACACCTGGCTAATTTTTTTGTATTTTTAGTAGAGACGGGGTTTCACTGTGTTAGCCAGGCTGGTCTCCATCTCCTGACCTCATGATCTGCCCACCTCGGTCTCCCACAGGCTCCACTTCTAGTTCTCTTGTTATTTCTAACACATCTACAGTGACTTTCTCCACTGAAGTCTTGAACCCCTCAACGTCATCCATCAGGATTGGAATCATCTTCTTCTAAACTCCTGCTAATAATCTGTTGACCTCCTCAAAAAAAATCGCAAATGTTCTTAATGGCATTTAGAATGGTGAATCCTTTCTAGAAGGTTTTCAATTTAGTTTACCCAGACTTATCAAAGGAATCACTATTTATGGCAGTTATAGGCTTACAAAGTATATTTCTTAAATAATAAGACTTGAAAGTCAAAATTATACATAGAACAACGAGCTACAGAATAGATGTTGTGTAGCAGGCATGAAAACAACATTAATCTACTTATACATCTCATTAGAGTTCTTGGGTGACCAGGTGCATTGTCAATGAGCAGTAATATTTTGAAAGGAATCTTTTTTCCTGAGCAGTAGGTCTCAATAGTGGGCTTAAAATATTCAGTAAACCATGCTGTAAAAATATGTGCTGTCATCAGGCTTTGTTATTCCATTTACACAGTGCAGGCAGAGTAGATTTAGCATAATTCTTAAGAGCCTAGGGGATGAAAAATGAGCACTGGCTTCAACTTAAAGTCATTAGCTGCATTAGTCTCTAACAAGAGACTCAGCCTGTTCTTGACGCTTTGAAGGCAGGCAATGACTCCTCTGCAGCTATTAAAGTCCCAGATGGCATCATCTCCCAATATAAGGCTGTTTTGTTTACATTGAAAATCTGTTGTTTAGGCTGGGCACAGTGGCTCACGCCTGTAATCCCAGCACTTTGGGAGGCCAAGGCAGGCAAATCACCTGAGGCCAGGAGTTCGAGACCAGCCTGGCCAACATGATGAAACCCCATGTCTACTAAAAATACAAAAATTAGCTGGGCGTGGTGGCACGTGCCTGTAATCCCAGCTACTTGGGAAGCTGAGGCAGGAGAATCACTTGAACCCAGGAGGTAGAAGTTGTAGTGACCCAAGATGGCGCCACTGCACTCCAACCTGGGTGACAGAGTGATACTCCATCTCCAAAACCAAAAAGAAATCTGTTGTTTAGTGTAGCCACCTTCATCAATTATCTTAGCTAAACCTTCTAGATCCCTTGCTGCAGCTTCTCCACCAACACTTGCTGCTTCACCTTGCACTTTTATGTTATGGAGATGGATTCTTGCCTTAAACTTCATATACCAAACTCTGCTAGCTCCAGACTTTTCTTCTGCAGCTTCCTCACCTCTCTCAGCCTTCACAAAATTTAAGAGAGTTGCTCTGGATTGGGCTTTGGCTTAACGGAATGTTGTAGCTGGTTTGATCATTTATCCAGACCACTCAAACTTTCTCTCTATCAGCAATAAGTTAAGGCTATTTTGCTTTCCTATCATTGTGTGTTTACTGAAGTAGCACTTTTAATTTTCTTCAAGAATTTTTCTTTTGCATTCACAAAATGGCTAACTCTTGGGCACAAGAGGCCCAGCTTTCAGCCTGTCTTGTCTTTTAACACATCTTCCTCACTAAGCTTAATCATTTGTAGTTTTTGATTGAAAGTGAGAGAAATGTGGAGATGCCAGAGGAAAATGGCATCCAGGAGGCAGGACTAACTTGCAGCTCCCACTCGGACAATGGAAGAGCATGTGAAGACTCGCATCGTGAACTTGTGCTACAAGAACTACTGCAGGAACATACCAGGAAAACCAAAAGAATTCACAGACCCTTTGAAGGAAGCAGACTGCTGTTCCAAGCTCTGTGAGACAGCTGAAAAACTGTGAGTGGCCAAAGTGTGAGGAGGGAAGATCCACCCTCGAAAACACATCCTCACTGGGGAATCTGAAATTCTAGATCACAGGTGATATGGTTTGGCTGTGTCCCCACCCAAATCTCATCTTGAACTGTAATCCCCATAATACCCACGTGACTAGGGAGAAATCTGGGGGGAGGTGATTGGACTATGGGGGCAGATACCCCATGCTGTTTTTGTGATAGTGAATGAGTTCTCACAGGATCTGATGACTTTATAAAGGGCTCTTCCCACTTCACACTCACTCTTCTCTCTCCTGCCATCTTCTGAAGAAGGTGACTGTTTCCTCTTCACCTTCTGCCATGATTGTAAGTTTCATGAAGCCTCCTAGCCATGCTTCCTGCTAAGCCTGAGAAACTGTGAGTCAATTAAACCTCTTTCCTCTATAATTACCCAGTCTCAGGTATTTCTTTATAGCAGTGTGAAAACTGACTAATACAGTAGATTGGTACTGCAGAGAGTCGGGTACTGCTATACAGATACTTGAAACTGTGGAATTGACTTTGGAACTAGGTAACAGACAGAGGTTGGAACAGTTTGGAGGGCTCAGAAGAAGATAGGAAGATATGGGAAGGTTTGGGGCTTCCTAGAACTTGTTGAATGGTTTTGACCAAAATGCTGATGGTGATGTGAACAAAGAAGTCCAGGTTGAGGTGGTCTCAGATGGAGATGAGGAACTTTTTGGGAACTGGAGCAAAGATCAGTCTTGCTATGCTTTAGCAAAGAGACTGGTGGCATTTTGCCCCTGCCCTAGAGATCTGTGCAACTTTCAACTTGAGAGAGATGATCTGAAATTGGAACTTATGTTTAAAAGGGAAGCAGAGCATAAAAGTTTGGAAAATTTGCAGCCTGATGATGTGATAGAAAAGAAAAATCCAGCTGGGCATGGTGGCTCATGCCTGTAATCCCAGCACTTTGGGAGGCCAAGGCAGGTGGGTCACCTGGGGTCAGGAGTTTGAGACCAGCCTGACCAACATGGTGAAACCCCGTTTCTACTAAAAGTACAAAATTAGCCAGGCATGGTGGCACATGCCTGTAATCCCAGCTACTTGGGAGGCTGAGGCAGGAGAATTGCTTGAACTCAGGAGGCGGAGGTTGCAGTAAGCTGAGATCATGCCACTGCATTCCAGCCTGGGCAACAAGAGTGAAACTCCATCTCAAAATAAAAAAGAAAGAAAAGAAAAACCCATTTTCTGGGGAGAAATTCAAGCTAGCTGCAGAAATTTGCATAAGTAAAATGGAGCTGAATGTTAGTCACCAAGACAATGGGGAAAATGTCTACAGGACATGTCAGTAACCTTCATGGCAGCCCCTCCCATCACAGACCCAGAGGCCTAGGTAGAAAAAATGCTTTCATGGGCCAAGCCCAGGGCCCTGCTACTGCTCTGTGCAGCCTTGGGACTTGGTACTCTACAACCTAGCCATGGCTAAAAGGGGCCAACATTCAGCTCAGGCCATTGCTTCAGAGGGTGTAAGCTCCAAGCCTTGGAAGTTTCCACATGGTGTTGAGCCTGCAGGTGCACAGAAGTCAAGAACTGAGGTTTGGGAACCTCTGCCTAGATTTCAAAGGATGTATGGAAACACCTGGATGCCTAGGCAGAAGTATGCTACAGGGGTGGAGCCCTCAAGGCAGTATGGAAGAGAAATGTGGAGTTGGAGGCCCCATACAAAATCCCCACTGGACCACTGTGTAGTAAAGCTGTGAAAAGAGGGCCACCGTCCTCCAGACCCCAGAATGATAGATCCACTGACAGCTTGCACTGTGTGCCTGGAAAGGATGAAGACACTCAATGCCAGCCTGTGAAAGCAGCTGGGAGGGGTGTTGTACCCTGCAAAGCCACAGGAGTGGAGCCACCCAAGACCATAGGAGCTCACCTCTTGCATCAGCATGACCTGGATCTGAGACATAGAATCAAAGGAGATTATATTGGAGCTTTAAGATTTAATGAGTGCCCTGTTGGATTTTGGACTTGCATGGAGCCTGTATCTCCTTTGTTTTGGCCGATGTCTCCTTTTTGGAATGGGAGCATTTATCCAATGCCTGTACCCCCATTGGATCTTTGAAGTAACGAACTTGCTTTTGATTTTACAGGCTCCTAGGCAGAAGGGACTTCCCTCGTCTCAGATGAGACTTTGGACTTGGACTTTTGGGTTAAGCCTGGAAAGAGTTAAGACTTTGGGGGACTGTTGGAAAGACATGACTGTGTTTTGAAATGTGAGGACATGAGATGTGGGAGCAGCCAGGAGCAGAATGATATGGTTTGGCTGTGTTCCCACCCAAATATCATCTTGAATCATAATCCTCATAATACCCACATTTCTTGGGAGAGACCTGGTGGGAGGTAATTGGATCATGGGGGCAGTTTCCCCATGCTGTTCTCATGATAGTGAGTTCTTATGAGATCTGATGGTTTTATAACAGGCTCTTCTCCCTTCACTGTTCACCCTTCTCTCTCCTGCCACCTTGTGAAGAAGGTGCCTGCTTCCTTTTTGCCCTCTGCCATGATTGTAAGTTTCATGAGGCTTCCTAGACATGCTTCCTGTTAAGCCTGTGAAACTGTGAGTCAATTAAACCTCTTTTTATAATTTCTCTGTGTCAGGTATTTCTTTATAGCAGTATGACAACAGACTAATAAAATGAGAGAAGGATTTGGCCTTACCAAGAGCTGAAACAAATTTAGAGAGCTGAGCAAAATATAAAGGTAGAAGAAACAGCAGGAAGAGCCCTGTGGGCACACCCAGTACCCAGGGAAACCACTTCTGACTGTCTCACAGGGGCCTTTGGGGAGGCTACCAGTAGAACTGGGGAAAGAATACAGGGAGAAGGAAACTTTGAGATGAACTTTGTAATAATTACAACCAAGCGTAAACATTTATGGGCAGAATCTGGGGGCAGTGACGGGAGCAAACAGGAAGTGCAGATAGGAGCACAGAGGCCATGGCAGGTGGGGAGAGGTGGGGCCTGAAAGGCCAGCTTGCTTTCTCAGTGGGGAGGCTTGTAGCCTGGGGCAAGATCTCAGCCCTACTCATGAGCTGCCTGGATATAAACTCGGTGCTGGTGGTGGGAATGAGACTGGCCTTGCTGGCTGAGTGGGAACTAGGTGAGGCCTGTCACTGCCAGCTTTCCCCACTTCCCTGGTGACCTGTATGATGCAGCAGAGGCAGCCATAATCCCCCTGGGAACATAACTCCATTGGACTGAGAACCACACTCCCAGCCCCTACAGCAGCGACAGCAAACCCTGCTCAAGAAGAGTCTGAGCTTAGACACGCCTGACCCTGCATCCAACTGATGGTCTTTCTCTACCCACCGTGGTAGCTGAAGACAAAAGACATAATCTCTTGGGAGCTCTATGGCCCTGCCCATTGGCTGAGAAACCCAAATATGTATCCAGGTGACCTTAGGGCAAGCTTGTATCAGCTGATGATCTCTTAAAAGTGCTACCTTCTGGCTGGAGGATAACCAACAACTAGCACAACCAGCATTCGAGAAAACCAGCACACTAAACAAAACAACCAAGGACCCTCACAGAGTCTACTTCACTCCCCTGCTACCTCCACCAGAACAGGTCTCCATGGCTGAGAGACCTGAAGACAGATCACTTAACAGGACTCTTTGCAGATATTCCTGAGTACCAGGCTGGAGCCTGGTAGCCCCACTGGGTGGCTAGACCCAGACAAGCAATAACAATCACTACAGTCCAGCTATCAGGAAGTCCCATGCCTAGAGGAAGTGGGAGGGCACCACATAAGAAGACCACCCTGTGGGACAAAAGAATCTGAACAGCAGCCTTTGAATACCAGATCTTCCCTCTGACGTAGTCTACCCAAATGAAAAGGAACCAGAAAAACAATTCTGGCAATATGAAAAAGCAAGTTTCTTTAACACCCTCAAAAGATCACAATATCTCACCAAGAAAGGATCCAAACCAAGAAGAAATCCCTGACTTGCCAGCAAAAGCATTCAGAAGGTTGATAATTAAGCTACTCAAGGATGCACCAGAGACAGGTGGAAAACAATTTAAAGAAATTCAAAAGTAATGCAGACTATGGATGAAAAAATATCCAGAGAAATAGACGGCATCAATACAAAACAATCACAACTTCTAAAAATAAAAGATACTCTTAGAGAAATGCAAAATACACTGGAAAGTTTCAACAAAAGAATCAAACAAGTAGAAGAAAGAACTTCAGAGCTTGAAGACAAGGCTTTTGAATTAACCCAATCTGACAAAGACAAAGAAAAAAGAATTAAAAAAAGAACAAAGCCTGGAAGAAGTTTGGGATTATGTTAAATGAACAAACCTAAGAATACTTGGTGTTCCCCAGGAAGAAGAGAAATCTCACAGTGTGGAAAACCTATTTGAGGGAATAATTGAGGAAAATTTCCCTGGCTTTGCTGGAGATCTATACATCCAAATACAAGAAGCTCAAAGAACACCTAGAAAATTCATCACAAAAAGATCATCACCTAGACACATAGTCATCAGGTTATCTAAAGTCAAGATGAAGGAAAGAATCTTAACAGCTGTGAGGCAAAAGCATTAGGTAGTCTATAAAGAAAAACCTATAAGATTAAAAGCAGATTTCTCAGCCAAAATCCTACAAGCTAGAAAGGAATGGGGTCCTATCTTCAGCCTCCTTAAAATAATTATCAGCCAAGAAATCTTGTGTCCAGCAAAACTAGGCTTGATAAATAAGGGAAAGATAAAGTCCTTTTCAGACACACGCAATAATCCAATTTCAGATCATAGGCAACAAAAATGCTGAGAGAATTCGCCACTACCAAGCTAGCACTACAAAAAAAAAAAAAACCAAAAAAAAAAAAAAAAAAAAAAAAAAAAAAACCTAAAAGGAGTGCTAAATCTTGAAAGAAAACCTCAAAATACACCGAAATAAAACCTCCATAAAGCATAAGTCCCACAGGGCCTATAAAACAATACAATGAAGAAAAAAAAAAGTATTCAGGCAAAAAAAACTAGCAAAATGAATCTAATAGTACCTTATCTCTCAAAACAAATTTTGAATGTAGATGGTCTAAATGCTCCACTTAAAAGGCACAGAATGGCAGAATGAATAAGAATTCACCAACCAAATATCTGCTGTCTTCAAAAAACTCACATAAGATATAAGGACTCATAAACTTAAAGTAAAGGGGTAGAAGAAGATATTTCATGCAAATGGACAAAAAAAGTGGGCAGGAGCAGCTATCCTTATATCAGACAAAACAAACTTTAAAGCAACAGCAGTTAAAAAAAACAAAGAGGGACACTATACCATGATAAAAGAACTAGTCCAGCAGGAAAATATCACAATCCTAAATATATATTCACCTAACACTGGAGCTCCCAAATTTATAAAACAGTTACTACTAGACCTAAGAAATAATGTAGACAGCAACACAATAATAGTGAGAGAATTCAATACTCCACTAACAGCACTAGACAGGTCATCAAGACAGAAAGTCAACAAAGAAACAATGGACTTAAACTATACCCTAGAACAAATAGACTTAGCAGATATTTACAGAATATTCTACCCAACAACTGCAGAATATATATTCTATTAATTAGGACAGGAAACATTCTCCAAGACAGACCATATGACAGGCCACAAAACAAGTCTCAACGAATTTAAGAAAATCATAATTATAGCAAGTACTCTCTAGGATCACGGTGGAATAAAATTGGAAATGGACTCCAAAAGGAACCCCACAAAACGTGCAAATACATATAAATTAAATAATCTGCTCCTGAATAATTGTTGCGTCAACAATGAAATCAAGACGGAAACTTAAAAATTCCTTGAACTGAACGATAATAGTGACACAACCTTTCAAAATCTCTGGGATACAGCAAAGTGATGCTAAGAGGAAAGTTCATAGCATTAAATGCCTATGTCAAAAGTCTGAAAGAGGACAAACAGATAATCTTAGGTCACACCTCAAGGAACTAGAGAAACAAAAACAAGCCAACCCCAAATTCAGCAGAAGAAAAGAAATAACAAAGATCAGAGCAGAACTAAATGAAATTGAAACAACAACAAAAAATACAAAAGATAAATGAAACAAAAACCTGGTTCTTTGAAAAGATAAACAAAATTGATAGACCATTTGCAAGATTAACCAACAAAAGAAGAGAGAAGATCCAAATAAGCTCAATTAGAAACAAAATGAGAGATATTACAACCGATATCACAGAAATACAAAAGTTCATTCAAGGATACTATGAACACCTTTACATGCACAAACTAGAAAACCTAGAGGAGATGGGTAAGTTCCTGGAAATATACAATCCTCGGAGGTTAAACCAGGAAGAAACAGAAACTCTGAACAAACCAACAACAAGCAGTCCGACTGAAATGCTAATAAAAAAAATTGCCAACAACAACAAAAAATGTCCAGGACCAGATGGATTCACGGCTTAATTCTATCAGACATGCAAAGAACTGGTACCAAATCTATTGAAACTATTCCAAAAGATGAGAAAGAAAGAATCCCCCCTAAATCATGCTATGAAGCCAGTATCACCCTAACACCAAAACCAGAAAAGGACATAACAAAAAAAAAAGAAAATTACAGACCAATATCGCTAATGAACATAGACGCAAAAATCCTCAACCAAATACTAGCTAATTGAATCCAACAGCATATCAAAAAGATAATCCACCGTGATCGAGTGGGTTTCATACCAAGGATGCAGGGATGGTTTCACATGTACAAGTCAATAAATGTGATATACCACATAAACAGAATCAAAAACAAAAATCACATGATCATCTCAATAGATGCAGAAAAAGCATTTAACAAAATCCAGCATCTCTTTATGATTAAAACCCTCAGCAAAATCGGCATAGAAGGGACATACCTTAAGGTAATAAAAGCCATCTATGACAAACCCACAGCCAACATTATACTGAACAGGGAAAAGCTGAAAGCATTCCCCCTGAGAACTAGAACAAGACAAGGATGCCCACTTTCACCACTTCTGTTCAACATAGTACTGGAAATCCTAGCCAAGGCAATCAGACAAGCGAAAGAAATAAAGGGCTTCCAAATGTGTAAAGAGGAAGTCAAATTGTTGCTGTTCGCTGATGATATGGTTGTATACCTAGAAAACCCTAAAGGCTCATCCAAAAAGCTCCTAGATCTGATAAATGAATTCAGTAAAGTTTCAGGATACAAGATCAACATACACAAATCAATAGCACTGCTATATACCAACAACAACCAAGCTCAACCCCTTTTACAATAGCTGCAAAAAATAAAACAAAATACTTAGGAAGATACCTAAACAAAGAGGTGAAAGATATCTACAAGGAAAACTACAAAACACTGCTGAAAGAAATCATAGATGACACAAACAAATGGAAACACATTCCATGCTCAAGGATGGGTAGAATCAATATTGTGAAAATAACCATACTGCCAAAAGCAATCTATAAATTCTATGTAATCCCTATCAAAATACCATCATCATTCCTCACAAAACTGGAAAAAAAATCCTAAAATTCATATGGAACTAAAAGAGGGCCCGCATACCCAAGGCAAGACTAAGCAAAAAGAACAAATTTGGACGCATAACATTACCTGACTTCAAAGTATAATATAAGACCATAGTCACCAAAACAGCATGGTACTGGTATATAAAAATAGGCACATAGACCAATGGAACAGAATAGAGAACCCAGAAAGAAAGCCAAATACTTACAGTGAACTGATCTTTGACAAAGCAAACAAAAACATAAAGTGGAGAAAGGACACCATATTCAACAAATAGTACTGGAATATTGGCAAAGCACATGTAGAAGAATGAAACTGGATCCTCATCTCTCACCTTCTACAAAAATCAACTCAAGATGGATCTGAGACTTAAATATAACACCTGAAACCATATACATTCTAAAAGTTAACACTGGAAAAACCCCTTCTAGACATTGGCTGAGGCAAAGACTTCATGACTAAGAACCCAAGAGTGAATGTAACAAAAACAAAGATAAAGAGATGGGACTTAATTAAACTAAAAAGCTTCTGCATAGCAAAAGAAATAATCAGTGGAGTAAACAGACAACTCACAGAGTGGGAGAGAATCTTCACAAACTATGTATCTGACAAAGGACTAATATCTACAATCTACAAGGAACTCAAACAAATCAGGAAGAAAAAGACAAATAATACCATCAAAAAGTAGGCTAAGGACATGAATAGACAATTCTCAAAAAAAGATATACAAATGGTCAACAAACATATGAAAAAATGCTCAACATCACTAATAATCAGGGAAATGCAAATCAAAACCACAATGCAATACCAACTTACTCCTGCAAGAATGGCCATAATCAAAAAATCAAAAAATAACAGATGTTGGCATAGATGTGGTGAAAACAGAACACTTTTACACTGCTGGAGGGAATGGAAACTAGTACAACCATTATGGAAAACAGTGGAGATTCCTTAAAGAACTAAAAGTAAATATTTTCCTCTTGGTAGATACCACTCCTGCATCTCTACCAAGAGGCAAAGAAGTCATTATATGAGAAAGACACTTGTACACATATTTTTAGCAGCACAAGTCACAATTGCAAAGATATGGAAACAGCCCAAATGCCCATCAATCAACGAGTGGATAAAGAAAATGTGGTATACATATATACACCGTGGAATACTACTCAGCCATAAAAAGAATGAAATATGGCATTTGCAGCAACCTAGATGGAACTGGAGACCATTATTCTAAGTGAAGTAACTCAGGAATGGAAAACAAAACATATGTTCTCACTTATAAGTGGGAGCTAAGCTATGAGGGCACAAAGGCACAAGAATGATATAATAGACTTTGGGGACTCGGGTGAAAGAGTGGGAGGGGGCAAGGGATAAAAGACTGCTCACTGGGTACAGTGTACATTGCTGAGGTGACAGGTGCACCAAAATCTCAGAAATCACCACTAAAAAACTTATCCATGTAACCAAACACTACCTGTTCCCACAAAACCTACTGAAATTAATAAATATTTTTTAAAAAGTAAGAGACATGTGAGTTGCCTTTCACTTGGACACTTGGAGGCCATTGTAGGGTTATCAACTGGCTTAATTTCCATACTGTTATGTCTTAGGAAACAGGGAGAACTGAGGAGTGGGAGAGAGATGGGGAATCAGGTGGTTCATGGAGCAGTTAGTACACACACAACACTTATCAATTAAGTTTGCCATCTTATATAGGCAGGGATTATGCCTCCCAAGAACAATTGCAATAGTAGCATTAAAGATCACCGATCACAGATCACCACAACAGATACAATAATAATGAAAAAGTTTTAAATAGAGCAAGAATTACCAAAATGTGACACAGAGACACAAAGTGAGCCCATACTTTTGGAAAAACAGTGCCGAAAGACTTGCTTGACATAGAGTTGCCACAAACCTTCAATTTGTTACACACACACACACTCACACAAAATGCAGTGTCTGTGAAATGCAATAAAGTAAAATACAATAAAATGAACTTTGCTGGTGGGGGAGCCAAGATGGCCGAATAGGAACAGCTCCGGGTCTACAGCTCCCAGCATGAGCAACGCAGAAGACCGGTGATTTCTGCACTTCCATCTGAGGTACCGGGTTCATCTCACTAGGGAGTGCCAGACAGTGGGCGCAGGACAGTGGGTGCAGTGCACCATGCGCGAGCCGAAGCAGGGCAAGGCATTGCCTCAATCGGGAAGCGCAAGGGGTCAGGGAGTTCCCTTTCCCAGTCAAAGAAAGGGGTGACAGACGGCACCTGGAAAATCGGGTCACTCCCACCCCAATACTGCGCTTTTCCGACGGGCTTAAAAAACGGCGCACCAGGAGATTATATCCCGCACCTGGCTCGGAGGGTCCTACGCCCATGGAGTCTCGCCGATTGCTAGCACAGCAGTCTGAGATCAAACTGCAAGGCAGCAGCGAGGCTGGGGGAGGGGAGCCCGCCATTGCCCAGGCTTGCTTAGGTAAACAAAGCAGCCTGGAAGCTCGAACTGGGTGGAGCCCACCACAGCTTAAGAAGGCCTGCCTGCCTCTGTAGGCTCCACCTCTGGGGGCAGGGCACAGACAAACAAAAAGACAGCAGTAACTTCTGCAGACTTAAATGTCCCCGTCTGACAGCTTTGAAGAGAGCAGTGGTTCTCCCAGCACGCAGCTGGAGATCTGAGAACAGGCAGACTGTCTCCTCAAGTGGGTCCCTGACCCCTGACCCCCAAGCAGCCTAACTGGGAGGCACCCCCCAGTAGGGGCAGACTGACACCTCACACAGCCGGGTACTCCTCTGAGACAAAACTTCCAGAGAAACAACCAGACAGCAGCATTTGCGGTTCACGAAAATCTGCTGTTCTGCAGCCACTGCTGCTGGTACCCAGGCAAACAGGGTCTGGAGTGGACCTCTAGCAAACTCCAACAGACCTGCAGCTGAGGGTCCTGTCTGTTAGAAGGAAAACTAACAAACAGAAAGGACATCCACACCAAAAACCCATCTGTACATCACCATCATCAAAGACCAAAAGTAGATAAAACCACAAAGATGGGGAAAAAACAGAGCAGAAAAACTGGAAACTCTAAAAAGCAGAGCACCTTTCCTCCTCCAAAGGAACGCAGCTCCTCACCAGCAACGGAACAAAGCTGGATGGACAATGACTTTGCCGAGTTGAGAGAACAAGGCTTCAGATGATCAAACTACTCCAAGCTACAGGAGGAAATTCAAACCAAAGGCAAAGAAGTTGAAAACTTTGAAAAAAATTTAGACGAATGTATAACTAGAAGAACCAATACAGAGAAGTACTTAAAGGAGCCGATGGAGCTGAAAGCCAAGGCTCAAGAACTACATGAAGAATGCAGAAGCCTCAGGAGCCGATGCAATCAATTTGAAGAAAGGGTATCAGTGACAGAAGATGAAATGAATGAAATGAAGCGAGAAGGGAAGTTTAGAGGAAAAAGAATAAAAAGAAATGAACAAAGCCTCCAAGAAATATGGGACTATGTGAAAAGACCAAATCTACGTCTGATTGGTGTACCTGAAAGTGACGGGGAGAATGGAACCAAGTTGGAAAACACTCTGCAGGATATTATCCAGGAGAACTTCCCCAGTCTAGCAAGGCAGGCCAACATTCAGATTCAGGAAATACAGAGAACGCCATAAAGATACTCCTCGAGAAAAGCAACTACAAGACACATAATTGTCAGATTCACCAAAGTTGAAATGACGGAAAAAATGTTAAGGGCAGCCAGAGAGAAAGGTCGGGTTACCCACAAAGGGAAGCCCATCAGACTAACAGCGGATCTCTCGGCAGAAACTCTACAAGCCAGAAGAGAGTGGGGGCCAATATTCAACATTCTTAAAGAAAAGAATTTTCAACCCAGAATTTCATATCCAGCCAAACTAAGCTTCATAAGTGAAGGAGAAATAAAATACTTTACAGACAAGCAAATGCTGAGAGATTTTGTCACCACCAGGCCTGCCCTAAAAGAGCTCCTGAAGGAAGCGCTAAACATGGAAAGGAACAACCAGTACCAGCCACTGCAAAATCATGCCAAATTGTAAAGACCATCGAGGCTAGGAAGAAACTGCATCAACTAACGAGCAAATAACCAGCTAACATCATAATGACAGGATCAAATTCACACATAACAATATTAACTTTAAATTAAATGGACTAAATGCTCCAATTAAAAGACACAGACTGGCAAATTGGATAAACAGTCAAGACCCATCAGTGTGCTGTATTCAGGAAACCCATCTCACGTGCAGACACACACATAGGCTCAAAATAAAAGGTTGGAGGAAGATCTACCAAGCAAATGGAAAACAAAAAAAGGCAGAGGTTGCAATCCTAGTCTCTGATAAAACAGATTTTAAACCAACAAAGATCAAAAGAGACAAAGAAGGCCATTACATAATGGTAAAGGGACCAATTCAACAAGAAGAGCTAACTATCCTAAATATATATGCACCCAATACAGGAGCACCCAGATTCATAAAGCAAGTCCTGAGTGACCTACAAAGAGACTTAGACTCCCACACATTAACATTGGGAGACTTTAACACCCCACTGTCAACATTAGACAGATCAACGAGACAGAAAGTTAACAAGGATATCCAGGAATTGAAGTCAGCTCTGCACCAAGCGGACCTAATAGACATCTACAGAACTCTCCACCTCAAATCAACAGAATATAAATTTTTTTCAGCACCACACCACACCTATTCCAAAATTGACCACATACTTGGAAGTAAAGCTCTCCTCAGCAAATGTAAAAGATCAGAAATTATAACAAACTGTCTCTCAGACCACAGTGCAATCAAACTAGAACTCAGGATTAAGAAACTCACTCAAAACCACTCAACTACATGGAAACTGAACAACCTGCTCCTGAATGACTACTGGGTACATAACGAAATGAAGGCAGAAATAAAGATGTTCTTTGAAACCAACGAGAATAAAGACACAACATACCAGAATCTCTGGGACACATTCAAAGCAGTGTGTAGAGGGAAATTTATAGCACTAAATGCCCATAAGAGAAAGCAGGAAAGATCCAAAATTGACACCCTAACATCACAATTAAAAGAACTAGAAAAGCAAGAGCAAACACATTCAAAAGCTAGCAGAAGGCAAGAAATAACTAAAATCAGAGCAGAACTGAAGGAAATAGAGACACAAAAAACCCTTCAAAAAATTAATGAATCCAGGAGCTGGTTTTTTGAAAAGATCAACAAAATTGATAGACCGCTAGCAAGACTAATAAAGAAGAAAAGAGAGAAGAATCAAATAGACGCAATAAAAAATGATAAAGGGGATATCACCACTGATCCCACAGAAATACAAACTACCATCAGAGAATACTACAAACACCTCTACGCAAATAAACTAGAAAATCTAGAAGAAATGGATAAATTCCTCGACACATACACCCTCCCAAGACTAAACCAGGAAGAAGTTGACTCTCTGAATAGACCAATAACAGGCTCTGAAATTGTGTCAATAATCAATAGCTTACCAACCAAAAAGAGTCCAGGACCAGATGGATTCAAAGCCGAATTCTACCAGAGGTACAAGGAGGAACTGGTACCATTCCTTCTGAAACTATTCCAATCAATAGAAAAAGAGGGAATCCTCCCTAACTCATTTTATGAGGCCAGCATCATCCTGATACCAAAGCCGGGCAGAGACAAAACCAAAAAAGAGAATTTTAGACCAATATCCTTGATGAACATCAATGCAAAAATTCTCAATAAAATACTGGCAAACCGAATCCAGCAGCACATCAAAAAGCTTATCCACCATGATCAAGTGGGCTTCATCCCTGGGATGCAAGGCTGGTTCAATATATGCAAATCAATAAATGTAATCCAGCATATAAACAGAACCAAAGACAAAAACCACATGATTATCTCAATAGATGCAGAAAAGGCCTTTGACAAAATTCAACAAGCTTCATGCTAAAAACTCTCAATAAAGTAGGTATTGATGGGACATATCTCAAAATAATAACAGCTATCTATGACAAACCCACAGCCAATATCATACTGAATGGGCAAAAACTGGAAGCATTCCCTTTGAAAACTGGCACAAGACAGGGATGCCCTCTCTCACCACTCCTATTCAACATAGTGTTGGAAGTTCTGGCCAGGGCAATTAGGCAGAAGAAGGAAATAAAGGGTATTCAATTAGGAAAAGAGGAAGTCAAATGGTCCCTGTTTGCAGATGACATGTTTGTATATCTAGAAAACCCCATTGTCTCAGCCCAAAATCTCCTTAAGCTGATAAGCAACTTCAGCAAAGTCTCAGGATACAAAATCAATGTACAAAAATCACAAGCATTCCTATACACCAATAACAGACAAACAGAGAGCCAAATCATGAGTGACCTCCCATTCACAATTGCTTCAAAGAGAATAAAATACCTAGGAATCCAACTTACAAGGGACATGAAAGACCTCTTCAAGAAGAACTACAAACCACTGCTCAAGGAAATTAAAGAGGATACAAACAAATGGAAGAACATTCCATGCTCATGGGTAGGAAGAATCAATATCATAAAAATGGCCATACTGCCCAAGGTAATTTATAGATTCAATGCCATCCCCATCAAGCTACCAATGACTTTCTTCACAGAATTGGAAAAAACTACTTTAAAGTTCATATGGAACCAAAAAAGAGCCTGCAACGCCAAGTCAATCCTAAGCCAAAAGAACAAGGCTGGAGGCATCACGCTGCCTGACTTCAAACTATACTACAAGGCTACAGTAACCAAAACAGCATGGTACTGGTACCAAAACAGAGATATAGATCAATGGAACAGAACAGAGCCCTCAGAAATAACGCCCCATGTCTACAACTATCTGATCTTTGACAAACCTGAGAAAAACAAGCAATGGGGAAAGGATTCCCTATTTAATAAATGGTGCTGGGAAAACTGGCTAGCCATATGAAGAAAGCTGAAACTGGATCCCTTCCTTACACCTTATACAAAAATCAATTCAAGATGGATTAAAGACTTAAACGTTAGACCTAAAACCATAAAAACCCTAGAAGAAAACCTAGGCATTACCATTCAGGACATAGGCATGGGCAAGGACTTCATGTCTAAAACACCAAAAGCAGTGGCAACAAAAGCCAAAATTGACAAATGGGATCTAATTAAACTAAAGAGCTTCTGCACAGCAAAAGAAACTACCATCAGAGTGAACAGGCAACCTACAAAATGGGAGAAAAGTTTTGCAACCTACTCATCTGACAAAGGGCTAATATCCAGAATCTACAATGAACTCAAACAAATTTACAAGAAAAAAACAAACAACCCCATCAAAAAGTGGGTGAAGGACATGAACAGACACTTCTCAAAAGAAGACATTTATGCAGCCAAAAAACACATGAAAAAATGCTCACCATCACTAGCCATCAGAGAAATGCAAATCAAAACCACAGTGAGATACCATCTCACACCAGTTAGAATGGCAATCATTAAAAAGTCAGGAAACAACAGGTGCTGGAGAGGATGTGGAGAAATAGGAACACTTTTACACTGTTGGTGGGACTGTAAACTAGTTCAACCATTGTGGAAGTCAGTGTGGCGATTCCTCAGGGATCTATAACTAGAAATACCATTTGACCCACCAATCCCATTACTGGGTATATACCCAAACGACTATAAATCATGCTGCTATAAAGACACATGCACATGTATGTTTACTGTGGCATTATTCACAATAGCAAAGGCTTGGAACCAACTCAAATGTCCAAGAATGATAGACTGGATTAAGAAAATGTGGCACATATACAACATAGAATACTATGCAGCCATAAAAAATGATGAGTTCATGTCCTTTGTAGGGACATGGATGAAATTGGAAATCATCATTCTCAGTAAACTATCGCAAGAACAAAAAACCAAACACCGCATATTCTCACTCATAGGTGGGAATTGAACAACGAGAACACATGGACACAGGAAGGGGACATCACACTCTGGGGACTGTTGTGGGGTGGGGGGAGGGGGGAGGGATAGCTTTAGGAGATATACCTAATGCTAAATGACGAGTTAATGGGTGCAGCACACCAGCATGGCACATGTATACATATGTAACTAACCTGCACATTGTGGACATATACCCTAAAACTTAAAGTATAATAATAATAAAATAAAAATAAATTTAAAAAATGAACTTTGCCTGTATTTTATCAGAAAATTTACACATATATAAATGTGTATGCATGCATGATTGGAACATATGTGTGTAACAGTTGTAATAATAAACAACTTGTCAATCTCCAAAGTGGTAA
Source organism: Homo sapiens (assembly GCF_000001405.40). Classification (NCBI taxonomy): domain Eukaryota; kingdom Metazoa; phylum Chordata; class Mammalia; order Primates; family Hominidae; genus Homo; species Homo sapiens. Next base: position 155,548,191 of record NC_000003.12, read on the forward strand.
GTAGTCATAGACATCCTGCCTTTTCAATCAGAGATTGCTCTGATAGTAAAGGAACACAATAAATCAGTTGCCTTGTTTTTGCTTTAAATGGGGTTGCGCTGGTCCGCAGATCCAGGCAGCTCCTTAATGTCTAAACAACATTACTACTAGCAAATGGATCTCAGATGCTCTTGAAATACTTGCAGTTCACATTGTTGCCACCCTTTCCCATGAGTGCCTCAGACTTTCTGCCTCTGATTCATCCTGATGCCATAAGCCCTGGGATATTCTGTGTCAAATAACTCAAAGCCCAGTTATGCAAAGGAGACTCAATTAGTCCACATTAAATATCCACTGTGAGTTCCACTGTCCAAAGGAGAAAGATTTCAATCAAATGAATTTATTCTGCATTTAACATCCTGACTGCTGACTAAAGAATATTTAGGAAGTAGAAACATTTACAAGGTTATAAAGATGACATTTCATTTTCTAACCCACAAATCAATTTTTACTATAAAAGTTTGCTTTAGCAAGACTTGGGCAAATTGGCCTTCATGTTATCTCTTGCATTATGTGGAGCTTTTATTCAAAATACCTTTATGCATATAAATGCCTAGCAACACCTTTTTGATGTATTCAGAATCTATAATTTTATTTAATTGGTAGAAAACAGGTTTTGACCAATTCTAAGAATGAATATGTTCCATCTTTTCCATGTGCTGCTCTCCCTTAAAGCCCCAGTTGAAGTCCTGCCATGAAATTACATTGCCTCCTTGACTTTCCTGCTCCTCCTATATATTTGTTTTTTCATACACACCTCTTTTAAGTAAAATATAACCCAGTTTGAATTTTAATACCCTATTGCTTTCCTTTACATTTTTAATCACAAAATGATGTGGCCACCCAAGGTGGTTTTAGTACAAACACACAAAATTCACTGGAAATAAGTAAAACCACAAAGTCAGTGATCTGAAAACTGAAAGAACTGTCTTTCTGGCTATTCTTTGCATGAATAATATTTATTGTAGTAAGCTTCCTCTCTCAGAAAATCTGTTTATGAAATGTCATTCTGTTCACCTACTGCTCTTTCACACGTACATGAGTCCTGTGGGGCATTATTATGTCTGTGCCTGTGTTCCTCTTTGAAGTGAGCTCTTCTCACTTGCATAACCAAGACTGATCAACCATGAAGCTTTTTGTTTTTTTTGGTTTTTTTGACAGACAGTTATTGGAGCTTGAAATGGGAGAAAAAGTCTGAAAGAACTGCTTTCAGATATGGATACAAGGAGCCTTCTCCTTTCCTGAACCTCACGCTCCTACACACACATTTCTCTCTAGTGTGAACTATTACAGACTAAAATATCAAACATTTGGCTTACAGTATTGATGTTTCCACTTCATAAGTACAAATCTCAGAATATGTGCTCACTCAACAATAAGCTTCTTCTGAAGACACGACTATAAAAAAATTGGAATAAGGCGCATACATAGATCTAGACAATCCTTCATATATTGATTCTAATTATTATTCTCCCTTGAAACCCATTTTTATTCTTTAAGGGAGGGCAGGCTTAGCTGATAATGAATGTCTTTTATTGCATTACTTGAAGTAATTACCTTCACTAGAATTTTGCCTTTCAAACTTTGAGGGCTTGGAAGCTGCTTGCACTCCCCTGTATCAACAGATGACAGGTCCAGTTTGTCTCCGAATATTCCTTTCAGGTACTGAGCAATCTTCCTTTGCTGCTGGATACTGCAGTGATTCTCGATAGACAATATAACAGGAAACCTGAGAAAAGAGCAACACAGTCCAGAGGCGTCAGGTGCAGGCAACTCACAGGGACTTTTGAAAATGATTCAGTATTCACTGTGTTGTTACAATCCTAGTGACAGTATTTGCGATACTGATGATGGTTAAAATGCTTCTAAAATGAGAAAGATTAGAAATGCATTTAAAAAATTCCTCTGAGCAAATATACTTTGCTAAGCATAATGGATGAACAAAATACCAATCCACATGGGATGGCTTTTCTAATATTTTGCATCAGGAAACAATGGTAGATATATTATGTTTCTTTTAAAAGAAGAGAAAATTTTAAAAGAGATGAGAAGTCTAAAGAAAGTAAACTCATATAATGTAATTTTGTCTTATTTATTCAAAAGTCTAACAGCTTCTAAGAGACCACTGAATGTCATTAAATGAAGCTATTGACTCTAAAATATATAATTAACCCCCACCTTGAAAATTATGATTGAGGATAAAATAACATAAGGGAATTCTGTGTTTTATAGCATCCTACGTCGCACATTTCAAAATCACTTTGATAGAATTATATACTAGTCTTTGTCAAAAAATAAAAATAAAAACCAGCCAAGCATTCATTCTACACCAGCACTCAGGTTTCTGCACAGAAAACATGAGATCCATGTAAATAATTACCTAAAGGAGTTGGTGGCTAAGGCAGAAAGGAGATCAGGGCTGATTACATGATTTTACTCCTCTCTCAACCTTATTTTTTCCTCAGAATAAGAAATTATTTCAAATTCAGGTTCATTGACTTTTTTCTAGTTTTCCGTTACATGTCTTCAGACATAATAGGCAATATATTTAAATCACCTAATATATCAACATATACCAATATTTAAATCACCTAATATATCAATGTGCAGAAAAACTTTTTCCAGGCTTTCATGACAAGCACAAGTTCCACAATACGGGCTATGACCGCCAGACCTACCTTCTCTCCTCATTAGTAAAACCTGATGCTGTGGGCCATCTTACAGATGAGCCTTTGTGGCTGAGGTAGGTTTCCTTACTCGACTACAATCTGTTTGCTATTCATTTCTTCACATAGGTTTTACCCTAAAGTGCTAGAAGAGGGAAAAGCAACAGCAACAACAAACTGACAACCCTGAGTTGTCCTGCAGTCACATCAGGGAGTTTTAACAAGGAATTTTCACATTGTCAATTCATTTACAAAAAATCTATTAGTGGCAGGGAGTGGTGGCTCATGCCTGTAATCCCAGCACTTTGGGAGGCCGAAGCAGGCAGATCACTTGAGGCCAGGAGTTCGAGACCAGCCTGGGCAATATAGTGAAACACTGTCTCTACTAAAAATACAAAAATTAGCCAGGCATTGTGGCACGTGCCGGTAATCCCAGATACTCAGGAGGCTGAGGCAAGAGAATCGCTTGAACCCAGGAGGCGGAGGTTGCAGTGAGCTGAGATCATGCCACTGCACTCCAGCATGGGCGACAGAGCAAGGCTGCCTCAGAAAAAAAAAAAAAAAAAAAAAAAAAAAAAAAAAAAAGCCTAATTAGTGCTTGATGATGTTTAGTGTAAAGCTGTGCTTCTCAACAGGGAACGAGGCAATTATTCCCCCCAGTACAGGAGACGCTTGTCAATATCTGAAGACATTTTTGGTGGTCACACTTCAGGGGTGCTATTGGCACATAATGAATAGAAGCTGAGGATGTTGCTTTCCACCCTACGCTGCACAGGACAGCTCTCTACCAAAAAAAAAAAAAAAAAAAAAAAATTATCAGTACACAATGTCATTAGTGCCAAGGTTGAGAAACCCTGATATAAAGATGCAACCAAAGTTAAGAAAGGAGAGGAAAAGGCTGAACTTTTAAAATGTACTAAACAAGTTTATTAACTCTTTTAATTTGAAGTGCTTTTCTTCTAAGAGTTCCCAAACTTGAAGTAAATTGTCAAATCACCAGAGGATCTTCCAAGATACATAGGTGGCAGGCCTTCTCAACACCCTACTTCATACATTGGGAAATAAAGGCAAAATTACTTCACCCATTTGGCTAGGACCTGTAGAAATCAGGGTTGTAAAGACCCATTAGAATGCAGTGTTCAAGATTCTTCCACGTGGGAGGCATCATAAACTAAATCTGCTATACAGCAAGTGTGTCTTATTAGAAAAGCATTTTTAACCTCATGTTTAATTAATGAGAAGACCAAATATTGGAAATTTTAAAGGCTACTAACTTCTAAAAAATTAATTTTACACAATTGTAATTTTAATTTGTTTCCTTTAATTCAAAAATCCTTTCTTGAATAGCTGGTATACTGAAGGTACCTGCTAGGCAACAAAAATGAATACAAAATAATAAGAGATTGCTCATATTTTCAGTGAGTTCACAGTCTTACAGATGTAAAAGAAGGCAAGTAACCAACCAATTGCAAGAGGGTGCTATATGATATGACAGAAATATGTGCAGGGTGCTAAATACAGAGAAAATATGGAGAAAAAGAAGATTTAAATCAGCTGGTGGTATTAGTAACTTGTTGGAGGGACAATACTTAAACGGCCTTGTAGAATAAGCAACAATTAATCAGATAGACTAACGGGGAAGGTTGTTCCAGGCAGAGAGAACAGCATACGTAAGAGTGGGGAGTTGAGAAAGAGCCAGGCTCAATAGGGAAGCTGAAAGACAGTCATTGAAGGCAGAATCCTAAATCTCTGTGGAATAATGGTGGAAGATGATAGTGGAAGACAAGGGAGATGCCAGACCTTAAGGGATATGAAGACATGCCTGTGTATTGAGAGAGCTTCTGACAGGCTTTAAGACAAGAATTGAATCACCATGCTCATATTTCAGAAAGAAAATTATAGCACCAGTGTTGAGGATGAACCAAAGGGGAAATAAAAATGAACAGGAGGCAATGGAGTCAAAAGATAACTTGGGAAGTAGAATTGCCAAGAATTGGTTGAGTCTAGAATGACTCCCAGTTTCTGGCTGAGGCCAGTGCTGCCCCTAACTATTAATAAGAGGAAATGGAGCGAGAATCAAGAGGAAGTTTGGCAGAATGAGATGCTGAGTTCCCCTTGGGGAGTAAGCTCCTTAATGGCAGGAGTCTTATCTTCTGCTCACTGTTGTGGCTCCCCACACCTATGGGATACTCAGATGAATATTCACTGAGGATTTTTATTTTTATTTTTATTTTTCTGAGATGGAGTCTCACTCTGTCACCCAGGCTGGAGTGCAGTGGTGCAATCTCAGCTCACTACAACCTCCACCTTCTGGGTTCAAGCAAATCTCATGCCTCAGCCTCCCAAGTAGCTGGGATTACAGATGTGTACCACTACATCCACCTAATACTTGTATTTTTTTAGTAGAGACAGGGCTTCGCCATGTTGACCAGGCTGGTCTCAAACTCCTGGCCTCACGTGATCCACCCTCCTCAGCCTCCCAAAGTGCTACAGGAGCCACCGTGCCCGGCCTCACTGAGTATGTTTCAACATGGGCCTAGAACTTGAGGGGAAAGTTCTGGACATAGAATTTGATAAATATCCAGAAAGTGATCTAGGGCAAAACCTTAGAAAACAGTTAACCATTAGAGGAATGAGGAAATAGATTAACAGAAGACTGCAGTACAAAAAAAAGAGATTGAGAAGCAACGAGAGCAATGGAGGGGAGAATGATATAATGGAAACCAAAAAAGGCAAGTAGTGGGGAGGAAATATTCAACACTGTCAAATGACAAGGAGAGGGTCAAGTAACATAAGGACTCCAGACACCTCAGTGTATAGATAAGACATCCATCATGATCAGAACCCACTAATTATGTACACAGTAACCTATGTTTCCAGATTTTATGGACACTCTACACCCTGGATTTAGAAATTTAGAGGTCACTATTTGCAAGAATGTCTTTAAGGAGGCATATTGAGAAAGAATGGGACAAGGAATAAATGCAGCATGAGAAAGTACAAACGGGAAGGCCACATTATTTGTTCACAATGTTTTGCTGAGAAGGAGGGAGAAAACTAGTCTAGCAAAGAGGGCAGTGTAGAGTCCAAGGAAGAGGATGTGGTTTTGTAGCTACGTTACATCAGGCAATGCTCCATGCGGGAGGCTACCGCTTAGCTCACAGGTGCTGCTTTACTTACTCATTCTTCACAAAGGCATGCTTGTTGATGGTCTCCACAACATCTCTGAAGAGAATTTTTGAAGTGAGAGTGTAACCATGATGTACTACTGGCTCTCCATCTGGGCCATCCCAACAGTCAACTGCCAAAAACAGAACTTTATATCAACAACCCAAAGTCTCTGGTGTTTATTAATATTTCTGGAAATACCAGACACATATTAAGTCCATTATCTGAAATTATACCCATTTCAATCCTGACAAAGACGTGACACAGACACAGAAATCGGTGTTCTGGCATATTTATCAGAACAAGGAATTAAAGAATTGCTTTTCCTCAAGACACAATGATTTGGTTTTGAGTGTGGTTAAAAAGATGTCATATTCTTAAACAGCTCAGAATTCACCAAAAACTCATTAGAACTTATCTAAATCCAGTCAAGTGTGCCCAAGGATAGGGAGATTTCTTGAAAGGTCATTTACCCAATTTCACTTCTTCTTCTTCTTCTTCTTCAGGTTATGAAGGTCTTTTAGAAAGTCACAGTGTCCTTCCCAAATCAATAATATAGTTTTCATTATTGTTCACTTAGGCTCACAATGTTTTCATTAGATTGATTTTCATTTCATTAATACTACAGTAGTTATAAAATAACATCAACTTCCTAAGTTCAAATCCTCGAGCGCTGCCAAGATTTATGTGAATTTGGGCAAATAACTTAATCATTTGAAGACTTGTTTTCCCCATCTAGAAAAGGAGAGTAATAGCACTTACATCATAAATTTGAGTGACAGTTAAATATATGTAAAGTAGCTTGTAACACTGCATGGCATATAGTAACTATGATTGTTATTGATACTATTAATATTGCTCTCTACCCACACAATCTCATTAGCTCTCAGCTGGAGAAAGACAGTAGGTTTTTCACCATGCCCCTCTGACTAAGAATTTGCTTTCTCTTGTTTTTATATTTTGCCCCCAGGCTAATTCCTCAAAACACTACTTTCACCTCATTGCTCCTTTGCTCAAAAGCCTACTTGGTGCATAGCACAGCATCCAACACAGAGAAGTAAGTAGTCTGTAAATATATGCTAAATGGATTAATAAATATCTTACCTCATACAATAGCTCTTGCGTGCTTACCTCCAACGCCCCTGTCTCTTGTGCTAGAGCCTGGCTAATCATTCACTAACCCTGTTTCTTCTTTTATCGAGGGAACACAGCTGGACTCTATTTCCTAGCCTTCCTTTGCAGGAGGATGTGGCCAGTGAAATGTGGGCAGAAAGTATGTGCACCACTTCCAGGTATGGTTGACAGAAACCTGCTGCCTTACATAATCATTCGTCTTCTTTCCTCTTCTGCTGTGACTTTAGAAGTGGTGAAGATGGCACAGCCACAAGATGGAAAAAGACAAAACTGCTTGAGAGATTCACCCACTAGGAACACCTATTTTGAACTTGACATAATCAAGAAATAAACTTCAGTTGTTTTAAGGCACAGGAAATTTGAAGTTTTATTGTTAAAAGGACAATGTTGCCTTAATTACCATGCTAGCTCCTGTCTGACAATTCAATCTTACTTTCTCCTACACCCAAGCTCACAGGCTTGTTCTTCTGGTTAGGCAAATTTTCTCACACACATTCCCACCTCCATGTGTCTTTTCTTCTTTCTTTAAAGTCAACTGACATATCCCCTTCTCATTTTGCTTACCTAAATCCTAATCAAGGCAAAACTAGGATCCCCCACAGAACCTCGCTAGCCCACAGGATCTCTCTTTTCCTTATGGCAAGAGGTCATCATCTCAAACACCACCAAAAGCCTAGCAGTTAATATAAATAAGTGCAGCGGCTCAATGGGAAATGTGTGCCTGAATGAGATAACTACTTACTGTTAATCATTACTAAGTAGGAATGAGAACCTTGGTTGCCAGAACTTCTGAGGAAACTAAAATGTCTAGATTTTATTGCTGTGAATTTTCCCAATTTTTAAATACTGGCAATTAATCCATTTTTAAAACTACAATATGGGTCAAACATAAACATTTCTGCAAGCTGAATTTGCATAATGGAATGCTGATTGAAAGTCTGCCTTTAGAGTTCGAGACCGGCCTGGCCAACATGGTGAAACCCCTTCTCCGCTAAAAATACAAAAATTAGCTGTGTGTGGTGGCGGATGCCTGTAATCCCAGCTACTCAGGAGGCTGAGGCAGGAGAATCGCTTGAACCCGGGAGGTGGAGGATGCAGTGAGTCGAGCTCGTGACATTGCAACTCCAGCCTGGGCAACAAGAGTGAAACTCCGTCTCAAAATAAAAGAAACTCTGCCTTTAATTAGGACCACACAGTTGTGAACCACATATGTTCTCTATTTTAGTAGCACCTTCCCCTATATGTGTGTTTTGTGTATTACCCCAGGAGATATCTCTGTTTTTCTTTTAAAATATTCAAAATGCTCACCATAATTACAATGTGATTGTAATGGTTAATTTTTCATGTCAATGAGGCTTGGCTATGATGTTCAGTTATTTGGTCAAACACCAGTCTATATGTTCTGTGAAGATATTTTAAAAATAGGATTAACATTTAAATCAGTAGGCTTTGGGTAAAGCCGATTATGCTCCACAATGTGAGTGGGCCTCGCCCAGTCAGCTGAGAGCCTTAAGAGCAAAGACTGAGGTTACCCTTCAAGGATAAATTCTCAACACTGCAACACAGAAACTGCCTGAATTCCAGCCTGCTGGCCAGCTCTACAGATTTCAGATTTGCCAACACCCACAAGCATGAGAGTCAATTCCTTAAAAATCAGACAACGAATCTCAATCTCTTGCTTTCTCTACATATCTTATTGGTTCTGTTTCTCTGCAGAACCCCGACTAATACAGCTATCTATATTAATCCACTAAACACTGGCTGTTCAAATATCCCTATGGGAAAAAAATAGAAAAAATAAAAGAAGAAAAAACATTCACAGTTGATACCACAGGAATGCTAAAAACAATGTTTAAGGATAAAATGCTGTTAAGAAAACCAAAGGTTCTGAGATACTATCAGAGAGTGTCTACTATTCCTTGGGGCCTGCAAATGAGGTCATATGTATCAACAACATCTTCTCACAAGAGAAGCGTCATCCATATTTTTCCATGTACTTGACAGTCTTTAATTTGTCTCTGGAAATAATTATGGAAAAAACTTAACAGGTGTTTCAAATAATATATAATTTTAACAATTTTTACCCTGTTTTGTGGTCCCTTCTTGGAGAAGAAAGAGCATAACAGGATTCTTCATAAAGGAACTAATAGCTTTTCCAAAAGAATGCAAAGGCGACAAAGCAATACCTTGCCCGACTTGCTTATGGTGTCTACATCAAAAATTAAAACTACACGAGTCATGAAAGAAGGCACTCTTTGGCTAGTATTTACAACATAGGCAGAATATTCATAACTGAGGATAGGAGGTTCTCCTAATGTTCAATTTTTATATCTAATTCCATCACTTGTCTGTGAGATGAAGATAACAACATTCCCAAATGGTACTGGCATCTTAATATGTGGCATTCGTGGCCAGGTTCAAATGGCAGTGAAGTTTCCTGTAAGTGCTAATGCTGTAAATGGGAATGTTGGCAAGGTAGAAATCCTCTGTCCAATTCCCCTGCTCATAAAAGAGCCGGGGCCCATTTTTCAATCAGGTTACACACTATGGAACCCCAAAAGCAAAGCAACTCCAACAAAGATTTAGCCATTCTGAAGGCCAAATAGCTAACATGACAGCTTTTCATAATGGAGCTTAAAGACGTTCCACCCTGATAGCACTCCCAGAGATAACTGGAGAAGTCATAAACCGATTACAACAGCAATGCAACATCAGTCCCATAATGAGAATGAAAATCCCCTGGACAGAACATCCATATTTATTAAGCAACTCAGGCTGAAAATCAAGCGAATAAAAGGCCATGTAAAAATGTTATCCATTTGATTTGCTGACAAGCCCACCTCACCAAAAAGACTTATTGCTCTTCCTCAAGACACTGTGTACATATCCTGACTAAGGACATTATTGCAGCTGAACTAATGGAGATGGAAAACATAACATTACCAAAATAGAAGCTTGAAAGTAGAGAGAACCTCCAGGTCACAATAGTGTGAAAATACTGTAGAATCATTCTTCTCCATCTCTCAAGTGCTACACTTAGCAAAAGCTGCTTCAGAAAACAGCTGTGGGACCTGAAATTTTCAACCCATGACCGGCTACATTCTATAAATTGTGTTCTTTAAATTCTAACTGCAGCTGTTTAAGAATAAAAATACCTTCATCTGGCCACATGGCAGATAAAATGCCACTAGGTATACAGCAGTACCCCTTTATCCTCGGGAGATAAATTCTAAGGCTCCCGGTAGATGCCTGAAACTGCAAAGTACTGAACCTTATACATACACCCTTGTTTTTTTCCTACATATACATACCTATAATAAAGTTTAGTTTATAGATTAGGTCAGTAAGATATTCACAATAACTAATAGTAAAACAGAACAATTATACTGCAATAAAAGTTATGTGAATGTGGTTTCTCTCTCAAGATATTTTACTGTATCACCTTTCCTCTTGTGGTGAAGAAGGGACAGAGTAGGACGGTGTGAGATTTCATCACACTACTTAGAATGGTACACAACTTAAAACTTATATGTTGTTTCTCTCTGGAATTTCTATTTAATATTTTCGGGGTGCAGCTGACCATGGCTAACTGAAACCATGGAAAATGAAACCGCAGATAAGAGGAGACTACTATACACACACTGGTGTCTCTGTGCCCAAGCTTCAAATGTGGACTAAGGTCTTCAAATCACAGGACTGACAGATATTGTTAGGAGGACCACAGAGATCATGTCACCAAATGCTAAGCCTTCAGGAACATCTAAATATTTAGGTGGTAGGCCTAATCACAAATGAAGCAAATTCCTCCTTTTAATGCCAACCTCTCCTCTATGTTGTGCTCCTCACTTTCTCTGGCCATCCTTATATGACATGACAGCCTCATTCAATTCCTTAGGGCTGGTCATGTCATTCAATGCTTGCTCCTCCAAAAACACACAGACTTTCTGGAGAACAGTGCAATTCAAGAGTCAGACCAACCTGAGTTCAAATCCCAGCTTCCAAGCTTCCTAACCTCGGGAACTTAAGCCATTTATTTAACTATGAGTTGAATCTCTTAAGAAGAGATTATTCCCTCTTTCTTGGTGGTGTTATAAGAATTAAATGAGAATGCACGGAAAACACTTAGCCAGGACCTGGTCCACTAAAGTTGCTAAAATCATAGTAGGTCCTCTTTTCCTTCCTACAATACATTCAAATCCAAGGTGACAACCACTATTTCCAATAAGAAATAGGTCAAACACACAAAAACAAAATGAACAAACAAATACAAAGAAATAGGTCAAATGCAAAGCTGGCCAAGTCTCTGAGATAAATATAATTATTCTCCTCAAGAAAAACATTCCAGAAATAGTAGTTCAACTTCTATTGTCCAGTTATAGATTATTCTAATAATAAGAACTTTAAGCCAAATACTAGGGAAAGAATTTACTGATGCAAGCTGGTGAGGAAGATATTTGGGAGCATATAAAAAATTACATATCCTTCAAAATTATACCATAGCTGTGCATAGCCTCGTTTGTACAAGTATCTGGAGAAGGTAACCTTTTGGACATACAGAGCCAAGTAGCTTCTTTATATTACAGCAGCGACTGGAAAACAGGAAGTAAGAAGGTACAAGAGAAGGCTCTTGTTCAATGTCATCTACTGCACACAATTTCCAAAAGCTCCCATTTTAGAATTAAAAGACTACTGGAAAAGCAACAACTAAAAATCATGTGTACTTTATCATGAATTATCTTAATCAGATAACTTTCCTTCTTAATACCCCAAACAAAGCTGGAGGTTTAGAAGTTTTGAGTCGGTATAAGGAATTAATGACAGAAACATGGTTAGGCTTGGGTAGGATACTGATTTTGGACAGGTAAACCAAAAAGAGAAGCCTAGGTATCTGAAAGAACTGAAAAGCAAAAGAAATAGAGCAGAAGAGACAGAATTAACAAAGTTGTAAAATTGTCTAGAGTTGACTGTCACTTCATGGAGTCACTAAAAGTCATTTTCTGTACTTGAACCTCCAAGAAAATGTCACTATTTACAATGATAGGCAACCATCAGTGTGAATCCAATGAGGCTGTGTGCTCAGGGCATCTCTATGCATGCCAGACATGAAAACTTGTTGAGTGCTAAGCAAACAAAGGGCTGAATAATGGCTGAGAGCAGAATGTCACCTTGAGACATCTTACTGCTTGAAAGGATTTTCTTCCTCTTAATATTTTATAGCATCTTCATTATTCAGTTGTTTAAGCTACTCAATTGTTAATCACTATTGCTGGTATGTACTCTCTGCAACTATTGCAAAAATACTATTGAACGACTAAATTTACAGAGCATTCAATTTGTAGTCATCCTAATGTTTCTGTATGCAGGTAGTTTTTAATACCTGCCCATTTTTTAAGCATGTTGATTTACCTTAATAACATTACTGTCACTTTTGTAGCAGAAAATTCAAGCTAGAAACTATCTGACAAAGAAAGGCCCTTCCAGTTAAGCAGTCTTATCTCATTGTCCTACTGCTTTATTCATTGCCCTGCACTTTCCACCATGCCTAGGAAAACCAGTCATCCCACTGCTGACTCCCAGCACATTCCCCACCAAAATCAAAAGACAATTCCCTGTGACTCATGGCATCTCCATTCAATCATAAACCAACTCCCTTTTATCTTCAGACTCCCTTTGGAATTCTCCTCAACCTCCTTACCCTGGCTAAGCACCAGCTTACCTTCGAGGGCACTACTTCCTTTCTCCAAGGATGCTCTTTTGTATAAATCACAGAAGATTTAGATATAAACCAAAAGGCATTATCTATGCCTTTACTGCTACTTTTAAATGATTGTTCTTCTACACTCATTAAAAAATCTCTCCTCTTTTGAAGCTTATTCTATCCAGCTATACCTTTCTGGCATCTTCTAATCACCTTTTCTTTTTTTTTTAATTATTATTTCTTATTATTATTATACTTTAAGTTTTAGGGTACATGTGCACATTGTGCAGGTTAGTTACATATGTATACATGTGCCATGCTGGTGCGCTGCACCCACTAACTCATCATCTAGCATTAGGTATATCTCCCAGTGCTATCCCTCCCCCCCTCCCCCCACCCCACAACAGTCCCCAGAGTGTGATGTTCCCCTTCCTGTGTCCATGTGCTCTCATTGTTCAATTCCCACCTATGAGTGAGAATATGCGGAGTTTGGTTTTTTGTTCTTGCGATAGTTTCCTGAGAATGATGATTTCCAATTTCATCCATGTCCCTACAAAGGACATGAACTCATCATTTTTTATGGCTGCATAGTATTCCATGGTGTATATGTGCCACATTTTCTTAATCCAGTCTATCATTGTTGGACATTTGGGTTGGTTCCAAGCCTTTGCTATTGTGAATAATGCCGCAATAAACATACGTGTGCATGTGTCTTTATAGCAGCATGATTTATAGTCCTTTGGGCATATACCCAGTAATGGGATGGCTGGGTCAAATGGTATTTCTAGTTCTAGATCCCTGAGGAATCGCCACACTGACTTCCACAATGGTTGAACTAGTTTACAGTCCCACCAACAGTGTAAAAGTGTTCCTATTTCTCCACATCCTCTCCAGTACTTTTTTTTTGATGGAATCTCATTCTGTTGCCCAGGCTGGAGTGCAAAGGCATGATCTCGGCTCACTGCAACCTCTGCCTCCTGGGTTCAAGTGATTCTCCTGCCTCAGCCTCCTGAGCAGCTGGGACTACAGGTGCATGCCACCATGCCCGGATAATTCTTGCAGTTTTAGTAGAGATGCGGTTTCACCATGTTGGCCAGGCTGGTCTCAAACTCCTGACCTCAAGCCTCAGCCTGTCTCAGCCTCCTAAAGTGCTGGGATTACAGGCATGAGCCACTGCGCCTGGCCACATTGTTTTTATACTTAAGTGTCTGGTTTATAGTTTTAATCTCCAATCTGCTCCTGTCTGCATACTTTGTAAATTAAAACACCATGTAGCCATCTATTTAATCCCTTAGCACTGACCTCCTCCAGGCCAATAATCCCTTGCTTCACTCTGTTTCCATGATGCTCACCCATGACACAATCTGGAAATTGTCACCTGTGACTAAATCCCATTGCAATGACAGCTCTGTTCTCATTTTCTTAAAGTGTGATGACAACTTTCCACATTTTTCTATTTATTTGAGTCTTCTAGTCTCTTAATCTTATTTTATGGCCCCCTATCCACTTCGCTTCCTTTCCTAGAACCATGGAGCCCCTGTCAGTTACTTATAAGAGCTCTCACCAATACCTTGAAGATATTTAATATGATCTAGAAATCCCGAGACTTGGATCAATTCCATAATCTGTCTTCACTACTTCTCTAAGCAGATGAGTACTGCTGGGGATGGGATCAAAGGGAGTCTAAGCATCCAGATTTTGAATCAGTAAAGACTGTTTTTGAAATCAGCTTGGGCTTCCCTGACTTACCTTGTCAATTCCTTTCCCATTCTCTGATGACTTCTTTAACAATTTGCTGATTTTAAGCCCTGTGGCCAATCTCCACTCACTTTATACTGAGTGGATGATGTTCTCTCCTACTTCTCTGAGAAAACAGGCATGCGCCCTTTCAAAAATCTCTTGTCCCCTTTATTCCACCTGAAAACAAACCTATATTATTTCCCCCACTTCCAAGTCTCAAAGTTGCCCCCCAGCCTATATCATCAAACATTTGGATGCAGAAAAATGCCCAGTCACCAATCGACAGCAGGTAACCAACTGCCCACTAACATATCACCAACCTACATAGCAAAGGCCACCAACAATTCCCTGCTGTCAAATACAACTAAATTGGATACTTAGTTTTATTTTATTTTTCTGTTCCCTGTGGCATTTCTGGCTATTCCTTTCTAACCCTTTCATCCTTTAGATCCAAGTACTCCTGTTCTCTGCACTGGCCTTGCTGGCTCCCCTTGTGCTCCCTACTCCTAATCGTTGTATTGCTGAAGTCCTCAGGCCTCTTCCTCTTTTCCCCTTCTCTCTGTAAGTGATCTTGTACACTTCCATGATTTTAACTACCACATACCAAGTTCAGCATTTTGGAATCCTTATCTTGCCCAGACTCTTCATTAAGTTCAGACATTGTTATCCAAATGACTGATAAAGATGTCCACATACATGTTACAAAATCAATCTAAATTCAGCAGATGGAAAACTGGACTCATTTAGACTCTTGTTCTCAGATTCCCTATAGTATGGAGTGGCACCATCCACCTTCTAGCTCTCCCCTTCGTTCCTTTTATTCTTTTCTCTCACCAGTTTCCACTAAGTTTACCTCTTCAATACTGCATCCTTAACATCATCTCTTTCTCACTTAGTCCAAGATTTTGGAATCCTCCCTTGGATTCACTGTGATAGCCTTCCCACCAACTTCCTGCTTCCAGTTTCACCTCCCTTCTCCCTCCACAAACACACATGTCAAAAAAAAAAAAAAACTTTTAAAATTATCCTTTCACACTGTTGCCCAAATAATCTTTCTCAACTGCAAATCTGATCATATCACTATAGATATTAAAACCTTTCACTGGCCCCTCATTACCAAAAACTAAAATGAAATTCCTCACCATAGCACTCAAAACCCTTTACAGCTGACCCTCAGCTCCCTTCCTAGCCTAACTGATTTCTCATCACATTTTACCTCGCACTTCATTCTCTATACCACCACTTCTATACCATTGTATATCAACCAACCGGTGAAATTTTCACATTGTTTCTCTCTCTCTGTCTCTCTCTCTCTCTCACAGGTGGGGTCTCACTGTGTTGCTCAGACTGGAATGCAATAGCTATTCACAGGCACAATCACAGCACACTGCAGCTTTGAACTCCTGGTCCCAAGCAATCCTCCCACCTCAGCCTCCCAGGTAGCTAAAACTATAGGTGTACAATACCATGCCTGGTTTATATTATTTTATAAAAAAAATGTTCATCCCTTCTACTAGACTGTGAACTCCCTGAAGACAGAATTCATATTTTACTTACTCCTGTATACTCACCACCTGGAACCCACTAGAAGTTTAATAAATGTTGGCTAATTGATAGACCATGAAGTATCCTAAAAACAAAGAGCTTGGCCAGGCGCGGGGGCTCACACCTGTAATCCCAGCACTTCGGGAGGCTGAGGTGGGTGGATCATGAGGTCAGAGATCGAGGCCATCCTGGCCAACATGGTGAAACCCCGTCTCTACTAAAAATACAAAAAAAATTAGTTGGGTGTGGTGGTGTGCACCTGTAATCCCAGCTACTTGGGAGGCTGAGGAAGGAGAATCGCTTGAACCTGGGAGGTGGAGATTGCACTGAGCCTAGATCGTGCCACTACACTCCATCCTGGTGACAGAGCGAGACTCCATCTCAAAAAAAATAAAAAATTAAAAAATTAAAAAATAAAAACAAAGAGCTCTCCTGAACTATTTTTGCAATTGTATAATTAAAAATATCTTTCTAGGAAGACTTTAATTTTCATCATAATTTCTCAGCAACTAACGGTATGCTTCACAACTGCTAACACAGATCTCTTTCTCCCAATTGAACAATAAGGAGCCAGAGAGAATTATGAGTTAAGATTGACTTTACAATGAGCAGAAAAGTAGTACTAATTAGTGTGAGAGTGTGTTTTAGGTCTCCATTCTTTATACTAGACTCGACAGACTGATTAAAGGACAGGGTCACCCATACACACCGGAGCTCAGAAAAAGTGCACGTACCTTCCACACAGCGACAGCCCTCTTGCAGCACCCGTGCATACATATCCACTTTGGACTGAGAAAGGAGCTGGTCTCCAGTCAGGTATGTATTGTGAGAGGAAGCAATGTAGTAGTTGCAGAGGGGCTGATCCATGTCTTGGTACACTTCATGGTGCAATGGGTTAAATATGTCACAGGCAGGACTACGCATGAAGTTCGTGAAGCCTTTGGAAGAAAGAGAGTGACTTACTACAGCTTTCAAAGCATATATACTTAATGGCTCTAAGAGGGGCAAAAGGGGTCAAAAAATGTTCATAATGATTATCTTATTTACCCTCAGGATGGCATTTGTGGGGAAAACTGGAGCAATGAGAGATTTGCTTGAGGTCAATAGTATGGTTTAGATATTTGTTCCACCCAAATCTCATGTTGAAATATAATCCCCTATGTTGGAGGTGGGCCCTGGTGGGAGGTGTATGGATCATGGGGGTGGACCCCTCAAGGCTTGGTGCTGTCTTTGCAGTAGCGCATGAGTTCTCCTGAGATCTGTTTGTTTAAAAGTATATGGCTCTCTCCACTCCACTCTCTCTCCTGCTCCAGCTCAAGCCACGTGACCTGTTTCCTCCCACTTCACCTTCTACCATGAGTAAAAGCTCCCTCCAGCCTCCCCAGAGAAGCCAAGCAGATGCTGGCACCATGCTTCTGGTACAACCTGTAGAATGTGAGCCAATTAAAACTCTTCTTTATAAATTACCTAGCCTCGGGTATTTCTTTCTTTCTTTCCTTCTTTATTTTATTTTATTTATTTATTTTTTTTTTTGAGATGGAGTCTTGCTTTGTCGCCCAGGCTGGAGTGCAATGGCACGATCTTGGCTCACTGCAACCTCCGCCTCCCAGGTTCAAGAGATTCTCCAGCCTCAGCCTTCTGAGTAGCTGGGACTACAGGCATGCGCCACTGCGTGTAGCTAATTTTTTTGCATTTTTAGTAGAGATGGGGTTTCACCATGTTGGCCAGGCTGGTCTTGAATTCCTGACCTCATGTGATCTGCCCGCCTCGGCTTCCCAAAGTGCTGAGATTACAGGCGTGAGCCACTGTGCCCGGCCAGGTATTTCCTAATGGCAACACAAGAACAGCCTAATACAGTCAAATAGACAGTGTCAAAAAATGAAATGTGACTTTTAGGAATAGCCTTTTAAATATAACCTAATATATATATACATATATATATGTATATATACATATATATGTATATATACATATATACACATACATATATACACATATATACACATATATATACACATACATATATACACATATATACGTATATATACACATATATATACATATATATACGTATATATACACATATATATACATATATACATATATATACGTATATATACACATATATATACATATATACATATATATACGTATATATACACATATATATACATATATATACACACATATATATATGTGTGTATATATATGTTGACTTTTTAAGAATTTTGACTAGGTAGAGGAGGGGCCAAGCTGTTTAGTGATGACTGAACTCAAGCTATGCTTATGCAGTGTGACTGATGCCATGTTAAAACCATAGTGATACCAAGAGGTACCCTGAACAACCAGCAATTGATAGGTTATTACGTTCATCTGAAAAACAGTAAAGTCAGTGCCATAGTTAAGGTAGTAAGCCAAAAGTTAAACACTGTCTAAATTCAGGGTGTGATTGACAACCAAATTGGTTTGAAAAAATGCTGCTAATGGCTGGCACATTTTATAACTTTGAAATAGTCCTTTAAGATTATTTAGAAAACCCTATCAGTTTTTTTACAATCTTTCAAAATATAATGCCTGGGTCAAAGAGGTTTTCACTAATATAACAAATAAATACATGGATGACTCACAAGTACCTAAATAGAATAATTATTAGGGTAAATTATTTCAAGTTTTCAAAAATCATTTGGTATAATTATATTTGTAAATATCCTCAGAGACTTAATTTCTTCATGCCAACTTTTATGTCCATAACTTAGGAAACCAGGTTTAATTCCATCTTTTCAGGCCTCACCAAAGAAAAGATTCATTTCTTAGCACAGAAAAGGCCCAAGTTAGTTTATCATCTCTGGTTGTTTTTAAAACAGTTTTTAATGATATAAGATTTTATTTTATTTTATTATTTTATTTTTTGAGACAGAGTCTCACTCTGTCACCCAGGTTGAAATGCAGTGGCACGGTCTCGGCTCACTGCAACCTCCACCTCCCAGGCTCAAGGGACTCTCGTGCCTCAGTTTCCTGAGTAGCTGGGATTACAGGCATGCGCCACCATGCCCAGCTAATTTTTGTATTTTTAGTAGAGATGGGGTTTCACCATGTTGGCCAGGCTGGTCTCAAACTCCTGGCCTCAAGTGATCCCCCTCCCTCAGCCTCCCAAAGTGCTGATTACAGGTGTGAGCCACCACACCCGGCTAATGATCTAAGATTTTAAATTATTCCTCTTCACTTTAATTACCTACCACCACAGGAAGTAAATAGATGGTATTAAACCCCCCTTGTTCACACTGATCTGGGAGCAGAAGAAATGAGGGGGCCAACGGTCAAAATTGGTGAGATAAACCATGGCTTTGCATGCTCTTATAGGCAGCTGGTCTTTCATTAAAGATCATCTGCTCTGCCTGAAAGATCCTCCTCTTGGGTGGCAGCCTACATAGTATTTCTTTACATATTTTAAATACATATACATACATGTAGCTATATTTCTGCCATATTATTTACGTCTAACATTTCAGGAGCTAGATTCTGGGTATATAACTGTGGGCAAATTATTTAACTTATTTGAGCCTCACTTCCTCAACTAAAAAATGAAGTCATTGTATTAATGAGATTTGTGGTTCCAACAGCTTCTGCAAAGCTACCAATTAGGAAATACAGTCAGTTGCTACCATTTTAAAGGAAACATGGCAAGTCACTAGTCTCAGGGATAACTTATTTTAGGACTGAATTTCCCTTCATGAAATTATCAGGCTAATTTCCAAAAATTAGCCAGTTGAGAAAAGCCCAAATATGTCATGGCATCCATCACACGTGGTGGTACCAGGTAGACTTGCTTGAAGTGGAAAATGCTTATGGGCATTGCAAAAGTAAGACAAATAGCAACATCATGGTCTTTGCTTTGCAGGAAAATATATGTGTGTTGTAGATTTTGTTTGAATTATTTATTAATATAATCCCATGGATATGTCCTGATTTCTTTTCCTAAAAACTTTTGCTGGAATTTAACTTAACAGGCTGAATCAAGAAATGAGAAATAAAGAATATTGGTTATTTTACCTTCTATGCCAAGAACATTTTTCACCTTATTTTCTTCTGAAACTTCAAACTTCTTTATGATGTCAAGACAATAGTCCGTTGTCACATTATTCATCTAAGAAAAACAGAATACTAGTAGAGTACCTGCAATTTCATAAACTATGTTCCTCCACAGTAGAAAGACATTTACTGATTTTGCATTCTTCACACCGTACAAAGTACCTAAATGAGCATTGTTTGGGGTTATTAGTGTCACAGCTATTTTATCTTTGGAGAATGACCATGATTCAATCTTCCTATGCATTTTTTAGATTGAATCAGCAAAAATAGCCCTTCAACTATTAGACAAATGTTCTCTGTGAAGAAATGAAATAAAATCAGTTATCAATGTGAATCCATTGCCAAAAATACACTCACTATAAGCTAGCAGCTATCTGCAAAAATTAACGTTTCCTACACAAGCACTAAAGTTTGCTGATCATAAATATATGTAGAAAAAGAATGATTCCCTACCAAAACAGAATGTTTCTAAGTAAATGTACCTCTGTGTGTGTGTGTGTGTGTGTGTGTGTGTTTGTATCCATACAACCATCCACTGAGCAGAGCAGTCTGCCATGGTAATACAGGAACACAAAGGTTAGCAAGAGGAAATAAAAATGAAAAGCTAGGTGAGGTAGCTAGCATAACAACTCTGGAGCTAGACTGCTTGCGTTCAAATCACCTAGTTTATATTATTAATAGTGTGACATTGAAGAGGTTACTTACCTTTTCTGTGGCTACCTGATAGTGGAGTGATAAGGATTAAATGAATTGATATTTGCAAAAACATTGTGTGGCACCAAAAAGGCAGTATATGCTATTTATTAATATTAATATTATTGAGTCAGTCTCAAATTTGCTACATGAACAATATATGCTGAGTGTCACTGGGAAAGGTAAACTCTTCAGAAATAATTTCTTTAATTAAACAGCAACATTAAGAATGTGATATTTTGATCAAAAATCCATTTAGTCCCACAATCTAACATTGACATTTTAAAATATTAATGAATAATTATAGAGGAAGCTAATTTTGTGAGCTAGTATTTCATATTTTAATTATATTTTCTCAAATATTCCATTTTTGTTTAGGTTTAATACTTACATTTTAATAAAATCTAGTTTTTCTAAACAGTCTATTTAAACTGGGGGTGAAGCACTGCTGTATGGCTGTTTTTTGTCAGTTCAAAAGAACACACAATGATTTCTTTCTTTTCAAACTAGCATGGTGGCTGATGCATCCTTTGAGTAAATTTTATAATTCTTATTCTATTTAGGGGCCCATATTACCAGAAACCACCTGAAAGTATTATAAATAAATGAAACTGCAATACCTCCAAGGAACTCTACTGACCCAGGCAGGCTTTGAGCAGCTCATTAATTTGTCTGCTGTGAGCTAGAGAGATTTGGCACATGCAGTCTAAAGATAAATAATTTTTCACAAAATAAAATGAACCAAATTGATAACAATTTTACATGCCGTGTGAAGACTAAGTTCACTTTGCAATTATTTTGTTTATAAGCCCATTTGTTCAGAAATGTAGAGGTCTTAAACTGGACTCAGGTAGACTACCAGAAGCCCATGAATCTTAACAAAAGCAATGAAGAAACAACAAAACAACTAATTCACTGAGATGATGGAGCTAACTGCAGGTGAGCAGAGAATATGTTACTAATTCAGGATACAGTGAAGACTTTTATAACCAAAAACATCATATTTGAAAATATTCATTGAATTAGCAAAAATATTAGTAAGCATTCTGTGAAGTTCACAAATTTCTGGCCACCGTAGAAGAATTAATGGGAAAAAATAATCTACTTTCTACCAAAATTGAGGTATTAAGGATTGACTCTTTGCAAAATACAGTAAAACCCCATAATAATGAGAATTGAAATGTAAGAGTCAATCGACTCCCAACCTTCCCCATCCCCTGATCTCATTTAATTAATCTCCCAACAGCAAAATCCTGCATTTTACGTAATTGAGTTTTTTAAGACTTCATTTAAGTTATAAGTTTATTGTATGACTGAAGGTTCAACATAGGTTAATGCTCTTTACTGTCCTTCTTCACCCTGTTTTGCTTCCTATTTGACAGAGCTGATAGAGAGAAATAGGAATTTCTCCCTACTCTAACCCTGTTTCCTATGGAGTTCACTTGACAGTTTTGTTTGTCATTGAACATCTGAGTCACTTGCTGTCTCCAATACTGAATATTGTTCTTTCTACAGGCAACTGGTGCTAAAAGAAGAACTTAAGATAAAATGTGATTATTTTAATAATGACTCTACATTTATATAATGCTGTCAATGTGCAGTAAAGAGCTTTTACACACACAATCTTAAATAATTCTTACAATAGTCTTGTAAATTTAGTGTTTTTATCCCTGCCTTGTAGATAGAAAAATTAATGTTGAGAGAGGTTAATTAAACATCACCATCAAAGTCACAAAACTGTAAGAGGCAGAACCAAAGATCAAATTTGGACCTTCTTGACTTCAAGTCCAAAGCACTTTCTTGTATAACTATTCTCTGGGCATTTTTCTTTATTTCTATTGAAAAATTAAAATGCTTACTTTTAAAACTGATAGGTGTTTTTAATTTCAATATAACTGAAACTCCTAAATCATTTCTTTACTTCAAATCAATTATTACAATTTAACTTATTTTATTATTCAAGATTAGACTCCATTCTCTTTTCCTTTATTTACTGTAGTTCTTTAGTCTCATCCAGAAGAGAAAAGACTCACTGGTCCTCACATTAAAGGACAACTAATTTCAGATAAACAAGTTGTAGAAACTAGTCATAGATCTATAAAATACCCATATTCTGACACTACCTATTTATCCTCAGACTTCCTGTAAGTTTTTTAGCAAAACTTTCCCTGTGAATGAAAATTTAAAACAAAGTCAGAAGGGGTAAACAATTATATTTCTTATGGCTATGATTCTCAACAACACCAAGTGTAAAATCAATGTATCATTTGCAAAAATTCTAATATTGCTAAACCTTACTAGCTTATTTTTATCAAAGGGTTATATTTGTAACTAAATAAGTCAAAACTAAGATCTTTATAACTAAAACCAGAAGTCCCCCGCCTATACCCAGAATCACTCCCCAAAGTCAATAATGCCAATATTTCTAGATATTTCTTTTGAAATCGGTCTTTATATATATATTTGGAGATGGAGTCTTGCCCTGTCACCCAGGCTGGGGAGCAGGGACCTCACTGCAACCTCTGCTTACCGCGTTCAAGCAATTCTCCTGCCTCAGCCTCCCATGTAGCTGGGATTACTGGCACACGCCACCATGCCCTGCTCATTTTGTATTTTAGTAGAAACAGGGTTTCACCATGTTGGCCAGGTTGGTCTCGAACTCCTGACCTCAGGTGATCTGCCCACCTCGGCCTCCCAAAGTACTGGGATTACAGGTGTGAGCCACCGCACCCGGCCATCTTTCTATTCCTAATTATTGTATTTATAATGCTATATTGTACACTTTAAAAATTATTGACTTCTTACTGTGTTAGATATTAAGTTAGATCTTTAACATAATAATAAGATCTTCTGGATCTGCAGATCTGCCTCTCTGCCTGTCCTCTCAGCATAATTATATCATCCAGTTTTTATGAAATATATGGTGTTTAAATTATTCCAAGTATGCGAATGTTGAACAATGCTGAATCCGTTGTACACTGTGATTGTGTTTCCTTTCTCACAGAACATTTTTTATGATTACTTGCTGACATTCCTACTCATTTGGTTAACTTTTAATGTACCTATCACAAATTCTTCCCAATGACTCTAATGGTCTCTCAAGTTCCACATAATCAAAGGCAACAGATAATCCATGAATTGTGCTTTTTTTCTCCCTACAAAAGTTCTCCTTCTTTCCTTCTGGTTGGGTTCTGGAACTGTATTCAGCTTTTGCTCTGACTTTACTCTGTCACTCTTGTGAAAGAGCTCTCAGGAAGTAAATTATTTATTTCCCTCATGTGTTTTTGTGTGTGCTCTGGTGTATTTGTCTTTTATTCCACACACACATTTGTTTGACAGTTTTTGGCAGAAAATTCTAGGTTGAATCATTGCTCTCACGATTTTTGGCTTCCAGAACTGCTGTTGAGAAATCTGATGCCATTCTGATTCCAGTCCTTTTCACAGGACCAGTTGTTGTTTGCTAATTAGTTTAGTTTAGTTTTCTCTTTTTACAAGCACTCAGGGTTCCACTTTATCCTTGGCACTGTGAAATTTCACTCTGATTTGCCTCTTTGTGGATCTTTATACTGAGGTTGGCCCTCGTTTGGGTTTGTCAGTCTAGAGAATCTTACCTTTCCATGCTAATAAATTTTTTGTATTATTTATTTGATAAGTTTCTCCCTTCTATTTTCTCTTATTTTTTTCTATTTCTTTTTTGTTTGTTCTTCTCATGCTTTTAATTTCCAAGAGATTTTTTTTTTCTCTGAATCTTCTTTTCTCGTGGCATCCTTTTATTTCTTAAGAGACAGGTCCTCATTCTGTCACCCAGACTGGAGTGCAGTGGCACAGTCATGGCGCACTGCAGCCTCCAAATCCTGGAATCAAGTGATCCTCCTTCCTCAGCATCCCATGTAGTGGGGACTACAGCCACACACCACTGCACCTGGCTGATTTTTTTATTTTTATTTTTATTCTTATTTTTATTTTGTAGAGACAGGGTGTAGCTATGTTGCCCAGGCTGGTCTCGAACTCCTGGCCTCAAGCAATCTTCCCACCTTGGCCTCCCAATGTGCTGGAATTTTAAGCAAGAGCCACTGTGCCCAATCTGTCATAGCATCTTGCTCTTGCTTTATGGCAACAATATTTGAATCATTCTGATAACATTAACAATAATTTTTAAAGTTTCCTCCTCCTTGCATTACCTCTGTTTCCTCCAAGTTTATTGTCTCTATTTATTTGCTTTAGTAGTCTCTGTTCTTTATAGCAGAGGATTTCCTCAAACATTGGTAAGCCTTGGTTATTTAAAACCAATAACCTGGGAACTGAGTATTGGAAGAGGGCTATGGTTTTCACATCTCAATGCATAGATGGTCACTAACCCTTGCATTCATTCTCTACTTCTGTGAAACAAACCACCCCATAACCTAGAAACTTAAAACAACGACTGTTTATTTGATAACAATTGTGTAGGGTGGCAAGTCAGACTGGGTTCAGTTGGATGGTTATTCTGCTGTTCTCATTTAGAGTTCTTCATGTGACTACAGGCATCTGGTTACTTGCCAGATGGTACAAGATGGCCTCACCCACATGTCTGTGGTTGGTGCTGGCTGTTGGCTGGGCCTCTTTCTCTATGTAGTCTCTCATCCCCAAGGAAACTCACCTGGTTTCCTCACATGATAGTCCCACAGTTCCAACAGGGTGAGGATGAAATCTTCAAGACTCCCTGAGGCCTAGGCTCCAGAACCTGTACATCAGTCCTACCACAATTTATTAATCAAAGCAAGTCATTAAACTGGCACAGATTGAAGAAGCAGGAAAATAGAATTCAATTCTTGGTGGAAGGAGTGGCAAAGGTGCATTGCAAAGACACATATGTACAGGAATATGGCAGTTATTATAGCCATCTTCATAATCCCCATGTTTTCCATATAGTACCCACACTCAGCCGTGTGTGGCATCACTTAGTCAAATCCTCTTACCTCTTTTTTTTTAGATAGAGTCTCACTCTGTTGCCCAGGCTGGAGTGCAGTGGCACAATCTCAGCCAAATGCAACCTCCACCTCCAGGGTTCAAGCGATTCTCCTGCCTCAGCCTCCCGAGTAGCTGGGACTACAAGCATGCATCACCACGCCCAGATAATTTTTTGCATTTTTAGTGGAGACGGGGTTTCACCATATTGGCCAGGCTGGTCTCAAACTCCTGACCTCAAGTGATCTGCCTGCCTCGGCCTCCCAAAGTACTGGGATTACAGGAGTAAGCCACCATACCCAGCCCCCCTTACCTCTTACATACAGTTTTATGCCAGGGTAGAGAAGGGACAGTTGCCCTGCTACAAGGGTTGGAGGAGAAAATCTGAAGCCCTAACCATATCTTAAACAGACTTTCAACCAATGCTTGTTTTCAACCCCTCTTTTCCTCTTTTCAGGAATATCATGTAACTAACATCAATTTTTGAGCTTATCAGGGGCTTCCCCTGGGCAAATGGAGTTGCTTCGAGGCTTCTCACTCTATGAGATTGAATTTCAGTGCTCTGGGGTCTCCTTTAAATCAGACAAGTTTTAAAATTTTGTTGCTCCTCTCCTGTTCTCTTTGTATCTGTGGTTTTACAGAGGGGGATTGTCTTTACTGT
This sequence comes from Homo sapiens, assembly GCF_000001405.40. Taxonomy (NCBI): domain Eukaryota; kingdom Metazoa; phylum Chordata; class Mammalia; order Primates; family Hominidae; genus Homo; species Homo sapiens. The sequence goes on from NC_000003.12 coordinate 155,574,571, forward strand.
ATTTTGGGGTAATTTCAAGAGGGAGTGAAGAAACACCTCTAAATGAATGGTCAGTTCATATTCAACTGAATAAGACAACCACGGTAACTATTAACCTCCTCAAACTAGCTACCTCTAATTCATCCTAAAACGAAACCACACATTTCACAGCATTTGAATAGACGATTTCACAGAAAATGTTATCTGGGAAATATAGCCAATGCAGCAAAAATATTGCAAGATATAATTACTCTGAGTGATCTCTCAACTGCTTTAATTGTGAATAATTAAGAAAAATCAGCCAGGCATGGTGGCTCATGCCTGTATTCCCAGCACTTTGGGAGGCCAAGGTGGGCGGATCACTTGAGGTCAGGAGTTCGAGGCCAGCCTTGCCAACGTGGTGAAACCCCATCTCTACTAAAAACACAAAAATCAGCCAGGTATGGTGGCGGGCACCTACAATCCCAGCTTCTTGGGAGACTGAGGCAGGAGAATCGCTTGAACCCAGCAGTCAGAGGTTGCAGTGAGCCGAGACAGCACCACTGCACTCCAGCCTGTGTGACAGAGCAAGACCCCATCTAAAAAAAAAATAAATAAATAAAAAGAAAAATGATACAGAAATTCAGGAAAACACCTCAAAGGAATGCTTTTATATGAGGAAGGTGCAAAAAAGATAAAGATACATTATCACCAGAATGGGATAGTTACAAGCAAAAGAGACTATAATTATTTCTCATGAGAGAGAAGATTAGAATGATTAGAATGACCATAACTCTTACCAAACCATTCTGGATTCAATGAAGGGTAAGGAAGGGAGAGGGCACATATGATTCCTATAATTGGATCAGAATGATCAAAGAAACATTTTACCAGAAAGAATAAAGGGGCTAAAGGTGCAATTTTCAGAGCTACTACACGGGTAATGTATAGATCTATATCAGATTACAATAAGGAGATGGCCCTGTAGCAGGGAAACAGGAAATCTCTGAAAATCCTCTTGGAATTAACTATCCACATGCATATTTCAGATGAAACATTTATATAAACAGAAACCTACTTTTGACTTACAATAAAGGTAGCCTTTGCTCTTAGATAACAGCTAGCAGAAAATTTTAAATTTTTTAAGTTATTTCATTTTAGAGACAGAGTCTTGCTCTGTGGCCCAGGCACAATCATAGCTCACTGCAGCCTGGAACTCCCAGGCTCAAGCAGTCCTCCCACCTCCACCCCGCAAGTAGCTGGGACTAAGGGCAAGCACCACCACACCCAACTAATTTTTGTTTAAGAGAAGGGGTCTCACTATATTGTTCAGACTGATCTTGAACTCCAGGGCTCAAGTGATCCTCCTGCCTGCCCCCGTAGCTGGGATTACAGGGGCAAACCACTGGGCCTGGCTAGGAGGATTTTCCAACTATATAAAGGCGCTTCAATGTTCCTGCCTTCTCTTCCTTCTTCCTCAATCCATAAGAAACAAAAAAATATAAAGAACATAGGGGCTTGCTAAGAAAGGTTGCCAAGGGGATGGGAAAATGAAATCAAATTGTCACTCCAGAACCAAAACACTAAAAAGGATGGAACAAAAAAAACACTCAGCTCCAGTGCCAAGAAATGGATAGGAACTCTGGAGGAGATGTAGGTGGTTGTTTGGCAAATATGAGGTTGGGGTGGGTGGGGAATGAAACAAAGCAAAACAAAACAAAACAAAACAAAAACTCTCAATCAACTCTAGTAAATACTTCGGAACCACAGATTAGTGGATATCTGTGATCCTTTATCTGTAGATGAAAGGAAGAGAAGAAAGAGAAATCTCAGCCAGGTAATTTCTGGCTATACTGGCACTTCCTCATGGTTATAAAAGATAGTGAGAATTCCCTTGGCACAGCCGTGTTTTAAGAATGAAAGTCCTAATCAAACAGCAATTGGACCTGTCAAAGGCATAAATTCAATCTTCTGAGAGCTTCAGTAAAATAAAAATCTGACCCACAGGCCAATATTTGATTTCATAAAACCCTTGACAGCATATGTGGCCAGCAGTGATATTTCATTTCACAACTGAGTAAACCTATAAAAGTTGAATATCCTGGTGTCTGCACCAATCTTATGTTATCAGAAGCTAATGAATTACTGTGACACACATCATCAAATTGCCTCAAATTTGTGCCATTGTGAAAATCCAGTTTTGAAACTCAAAACCCCACGAAACTCTTGACTAACGACTCTTTCTACACAGTTAGATTGTGTCCAATCTAATAAAATAAATCTTAACACTATTTTAAAGAATGTTGAAATGCACAACTTTACAACAATTTTTAAATACAGAGCTATTTTCTTAGGATGAATTATTAAAGTAAAATGGTTTGGCCAAAGTTTTATCAATTATATTAAATGTTATAGATTGTAAAACTACTCCAGTATCATTCTATAATTTCACCAGAAATAGAAGAGATGGACACTACGTTTGGTGGCATATTTTTTAATCTTTACTAATACGATGGGAAAGAAATTGTCTCCTAGCCTAGATAGCATGGTGAGACCCTGTCTCTAAAACAGATTATTAAAAATTAGCTGGGTGTGATGATACACACCTGTAGTCCCAACTACTCAGGAGGCTGAGGCAGGAAGATTGCTTGAGCTCAGGAGTTGGAGTTTATACGATCCATGATCGCACCCACTGCACTCCAGCCTGGGTGACAGAGACCCTGTCTCTAAAAAATAAATAACTTGGTTTTATTTCAGATTTTTGAATTACTAATAAAGGGTGAACATTTTCATAGGTTTATTGACTTTGTATGATTTTGTAAAGGTTTCAAGTGTTTTACTCATTTTTCCATTGTTTTTTTTTTCCTCAATGGTCTAGGAAAGTACTTGCCACATTAAGGAAATTCACTATTTCTCTCTTTTGTATGTTACAAATATTTTCCTACTCTGCCCTTTAATTTTGTGGTGCTTAATAAAGTGGACCACATATAAACAAAGTTTCAGTACATTAAAATTTTCCTTTGTGATTTTTACCTCTTGATGTATGATCACTTTTTTTATAATTTTATAGATTTCTTTTGAGTCATGCTCATATGTAAGTAGCTTCAAGCTAATTTAGAAAATTAAACTATATACAGTTAATCATCTGCCAGGAACAAATGTCACAGAATTCTGGCTTCTGTTTTCCCTAACTAAAATTTACTGGCAGAATGTCAACAAAACTAAAATGAGAGAAGAAACACATGCCCCTTAGCAAGTGACATCCAGTATTGCTATTCAAATGAACTGGGGTAATTCCACTAGCCTGAATGAATTTGAAGTCAGTAGTTTATACCTTTTAACTTTAATTCCTCACATTGCCACACTTCTGAATATCTTGGGCAAAGGACTTTCCTGTTCATCATTGCAATGTTCAATTTGACACTGTGAGATAGGAAAGGCAGGTATCATCTCCCTTTGCATGGATCAGGAAACCAAGGCTCAGAAACAATCATGATTGATTCTCCAACCACTAAAGCTTGCAGTGTGTGGAATGCAGGTGTTTTGGACTCCTGGTCTAATGTTCTTTCCAGTACACTATGAGAGTTCTGCAAGTAAGGATGGAGAAGTAGTTATATAACAGACTCCACAGAGGAGTAAAGATGTAGAAAGGATGTATCCTCTAAGGGAAAATATAGACATTTCTATTACCCAATTCCCTTTTTCTACCTGTCTTACGGCTAACATTGTTAATAAAGAATCTCTGCCTTTGCCAAACTATCAAACTACTTAAAATAACTAATTTTGACAAAGCATTTTGCTAATAACACTATCTGTTTAATTCTTAAGAAAGCAACAACAAAATTCATAAAAGTGAATCTGTTATTTCTAAAACATATGTGATTATGATACTAAGGTAAAGTAAAATATTAAGTAGGTATTAGAAAGTTATCTAATCACATGGTTGGTTGCTGGCTACCAGCCCCTATCCTGAAACTATCCAGGGGCCCAACAATAGTTACCTCATTAGCATGAACTCAGATATGATGAAAAGGGGTTCATTATAAATAATCAAAGATACTTCTCAGGAAATTCTAAGAGTTTAGGAGCTCTGTGCCAGGAACTGGAACAAAGACCAAATGTATGTTTTATTATATCACACTATGACAGACTTGGAGTGGGAGGGTATAAGAGAAGTAATTTGGAAGAAAATTCTAACCATGTACAGATTTGATGCAGTTTAGTACACGGTATCCTAAAATATTGCACCCTAGCATTTGTGGAAAACAGCAGAAAAGGAAAGGTATCTCCGGCCTTCCCCCCAGCCCTTCCACCCATAAAACCTAGGAAGAATTTTCTGAGCTTCCCCTGAAGCAGACCATACGACCCTCATTAAAGTGACCATCAGCACCTTCCCAATACCCAGAGGAAAGGAGCAAAAGACACAGAGGTGCCAAGAAAAGTGTGAACAAACACGCCTTACTAAATTCCCCATTTACTGCCATTAGATCATAACCTTGTCCTCTAAACATATTTCTCCATGACTGTCCACTCTTCATCAAACTAGCATAAGAAATACACAGGTTTGCCTAACTCTCTGGGTCTTCAGTGCCTTATAAAGTCTCCTCTGTGTTATTAAAAACTTATTAGATAAATTTGTATGTTTTTCTCTTGTTAATCGGTCTTTTGTTATAAGTGCCTCTGCCATGCCCTAGCGATGGGTGTGGAAAAGACACTTCCCCTCACCTATGGAATTTTACAGTCAAGTATATGTGCGGATACTTGCCCACTAGGAATCTCACATTGCTCCTTGGAAATGGCTAGATCTGTGCAGCTAATAAACCAGGCAATGCACTAGGAAGTTACATCCACATCTCATTTAATTCTCACTCTACTCTTGCAAGGGCAATATTACTATCAAAACCATTTTATAAGTCACAAAGTCAAGGATGAAAAGTTAATGTGATCAAGTTGCAAGGTAAGCAAGGTTGTGTATCCAGTCCTGCTCACTCCTATTCCACCACACAGTCTAGTAATTTTTAAAACTTCCATGCCAAATGAAGTGTTAATCTGCTTGAAAAGAGGTGATTAGCATTACTGATGAAGACGATAAGAGAAACACATTATCAGAAAACATGTTTAATGCATTTAACTTTGGGAGTTTGAAAGAGACATCAAGAAAGGCATTAAAACTGGTTCCTACTTGGGTATTGCCTGCTACCTCTCAAATAAAAGCTAATAGTGTGGTGCTAGTGGTTGGTTCTTTAGTGGCATTTAAATAGAATAGATATCCACCTGGAATTACTGAGGGAAAACCAGTCTGTCTGCCTGTCAGTCTCTGTCTCTGTCTGTCTGTCTGTGTCTGTCTCTGTCTGTCTGTCTCTCTTTCTCTCTCTCTCTCTCTCACACACACACAGACACATACACACACATGCAGAGGCAATAAACAACAGAAAAACAGGACAGAATTCATACAGATTTTTCTGTATTTTAAAGAGCATTTCAAAGTTCAAAAAATACAATTCAAAAACAAACATGGAAAAACATTCATCCCTGCTATCAAAAAATGTTAATCAAACCAACATTAACTTATCATTCTATAGCTACCATATTAGCACTAAAAGTGATCCATTTAATAACTAATCATTTGTTCACTGTTTTGTTAATTATAAACTGAAACAAATCTTTTATATAGCATTATGGAGATATGTTTCAAAAGCCATGAAAATATTTTATCCAATGGCTCAATAATAAGTAAATAATTCAGAAAAAACATATACATGGATTTTGTTCACCAAATACTTTGTACTTTTTTCATTCTTGCTAAAGCAAAACATTGAAGACTCTGATCACCAAATTAATCTCACATTTAAAAAATTCAAATATGGCATTTAAATGCTATAAAATGTTAATATAAATAAGGGTAGATTTTGAATCAGTGAGACTTTTTGCCATTTATGAATCTATAAGCAGCATTTACTAGCTCAAATTATGAATGTCAAATAGTTTTTAGACTACACCAAGAGTAACATAATTTTCCAGGTTATGTAGGAGAAAATTAAAGAAAGTTAAAAGAATTGACTCTCAAATGAAAATCACTTCACAAATTCAATTTAATTCAAATTAGCACTAAAACTAAGTGAGCATGATTTCATGTATATTAACAATGTATTACTAATTAATATTTTTAGTATCTTTACAAAGGTACTTCTTCTAAAGAAGTAACATTTCCAGAAAAAAAATACGGCACGATAATTGTAATAAATTTTATTCTACCTCAAAAAGGAAAAATCCAGCAAACGTTAAAAAGCATGTTGTTTTACTTCTTCACATTCTCTTTCCTTTTATCATAGACTCTCAAAATCATAAAGTATCAAAAAAAGGTCTTTATTTTGAGCTTTCTGAGGGTAGGTTTTGTCCACTACAAAAACTTAGCACAATACCTAGGAAATATAGTATCTATTCATACAAGGAAATGAATTAATCTGAAATGTTACTAATCCAAGCACCCACCCATATTTCAATCTCATTAATAGCGTCTCAAATCCTTGTTAACACCTTCAAGGAAGAAAACACAATTGTCAAAGTCATCCAGCACATCTTTGGTCAGCTATACTTCTTAAGAGCTAGTGGAAATTTATCTCTCTGATATTCAGATATTAATCCAATGTTTAATTCACTGGGGTTCTGTGGTAGAATTTTATCCTGGTTCACATAAAGTCCTTGCAATATCCAGATCCAGACTGAAAGAAGGGATCAAATTAGGTGACCCAACTTTTCCACTCAGATATATATTCAACAGACTTGACAACGTATGTCCACACAAAAACCTGTACATGAATGTTCACAGCAGCGTTATTCGTAACAGCCCCCAAAAAGCAAATGACCCAAATTTCCATCAACTGATGAATATATAAACAAAATGTGGTATAGTCATACAACGATATATTATTTGGCAATAAGAAGAAATGAAATACTGATAATGCTACAACATGAATGAATCTTGAAAACATTACGCCAAATGAAAGAAGCCAGTCACAAAGGTCACATATATGATTCCCTTTATATGAAATGTCCAGAACAGATAACAGACAAATCAATAGAGACAGAAATATTAGTTGCCACAGCATGCTTGGAAGAGAGAAATGGAGAATAATTGCTAATAGGTTTGGGGTTTCTTCTTGGGGTGCCGAAAATGTTCTGAAATTAGATAGTGGTTATAGTTGCACAACTCTTTTTTCCTTTTTTTTTTTTTTGAGACGGAGTTTCACTTTTGTCACACAGGCTGCAGTGCAATGACGCTATCTCGGCTCACCACAACCTCCGCCTCTTGGGTTCGTTCAAGCATTCTCCCGTCTCAGCCTCCCGAATAGCTGGGATTATAGGCATGTGCCACCACACCTGGCTAATTTTGTATTTTTAGTAGAGACCGGGTTTCTCCATGTTGGTCAGGCTGGTCAGAACTCCCGACCACAGGTGATCTGCCCGCCTCAGTCTCCCAAAGTGCTGGGATTACAGGTGTAAGCCACCGTGCCCAGCCCTTTTTTTTTTTCTTTTTCTTTTCTTTCTTTTTTTTTTTTTTTTTTTTTTTTGAGGTGGAGTCTCGCTCTGCCGCCCAGGCTGGAGTGCAGGGGCTCAATCTCAGCTCACTACAACCTCCACCTCCTGGGTTCAAGCAATTCTCCCTGCCTCAGACTCCCAAGTAGCTGAGATTACAGGGGTTCGCCACCACAGCCAGCTAATTTTTGTATTTTTAGTAGAGACTGGGTTTCGCCATGTTGGCTAGGCTTGTCTCAAACTCCTGACCTCAGGTGATCCACCCGCCTCAGCCTCCCAAAGTGCTGGGATTACAGGCATGAGACACCGTGCCTGGCCAATAGTTGCACAACTCTGTTGATACACTAAAAAACACTTAAATGTATACTTTAAAAATGGTGAATTTTATGGTATGTGAATAATATCTCAATAAAGCCTTTATTAAAAAATTGGAAAGTGTTCAAGCACAAGCTGGCTGATTATTTGTGTGAGTACTGTAGAAAGAATTATTTCTACTGATTATTGTACTATATAGTCCAAATATTTGATGATTTTTTACAATTTCAACAGAGCTAAATGCCGCTGACTTAAAATGAACAAAGGAGTTAAGCAGCTCTTTATATTAAGACGATTGGTCCATTAAGAGAATTAAAAGTAAACCTCATCAACTGCACAAAACCAAAGCCTCCTCTCAAGAAGTCTAATATAAAAGGTTAAAAAATTTGAATAAAACATTCATTTATTCCTCTACTTTAGTGAGAAACAGACTTTGAGGAGATATTTAAAAAGCAGACTGAGAAGTTAGCTTTGCTGACCATAATTCAGCCTATATAATATTAAGATTAAAACACCTTATTTTAAACATACTTAGAGATTCTCTTTGCTAATCAGGACCTAATTTACTTAGCCTTTTCACATGATCAAATGGCAATTTACTATCAGAATTACCAATGACCTACCACAATAGTAGTTAAGAATTATGCCATAGTTAAATATCTAGCTATTTTATTAGTATAAATATAAATTTATATTTAAAATAAATAAATTTGACTAAATTTATACTAATATGAATTTATACTAATATATAGTATAAATTTAAACTAATATTAATACATCATAGTATTAGTATAAAGAAAGTATTACCATTGTATTAAAATATTAACATTCATTTCTTTGTGGGAAAATAGGCATATCTGTACTCAATACATTTAAGATTAAGAATTATATAACCCAGTGTTCAAGTTATCACTTCCTGTCTTAAAAGCTGCTAGAAACTGTTTTAAATGACTCATAGATAAGATTTTTGTGAACTAGTGATATTTACCACCTTTGCAAAATTCAAAGTATACCTATATTTAACCCCAAAAGAAAGACATATCTTTCATGAGTACTTTTAAGTAAACTTTCATTTTAACAGTCTAATGATACCTTTTGCTCCACCTTCAAAAACTGAGCCAGTTCTTCCACAGTTAGGTGATCTTTCTTGTCACTGTAGCTCAAAAGTAACAAATAAAGGTCTCGTCTCAAAGACATCATTTTGTAAAAAACACAGAACTCTTCAAATGTCAAAGTTCCCTGATTCTCATCTGTGTCGGCTTCCTGAAAAGGGCATAGAGAAAATAAAGTAATATGAAAGTTAGAAATAGGAAATTCAGTACTGGGAAATAATATTTACTATAAAAGAGCTAGTACACAAATCCCAAGAGGTGAGCACACATTCTCTTCGAGCACACATTCTCTTCAAGCACACATGGAACATTATAAAGCAACCACATATTTGGCCAGAAAGTTTCAACAAATTATAAGGAATCAACCTCACACAAACCAATTGTTCTGACCACTGTAAATTTATAAATCAACAAAGAAACCTTAAAAAAAAAAAAACCTGTAGAAACAATACAATTCTAGATAGGAAATAAAACATATGGAAGTGAAAAATACACTACATATTAAAACTTATAAAATAACATTAGAAACTTGAAGTCTTAAATTACTAGAGAGCAAAGATTTTAAAAAGAAGTTAATAATTCAACTCAAAAAATGTGAAACAAAATTAAGCGAGGAAAATAAATTATAAACAAAAGCAAAAAGTAATAAAATAGAAAACAAACAGCTGTAACATACACGTGAGAAAGAAAACCAAAGCCCGATTTCTAAAGAACCAATAAAAATGAGAAATCTTGAAAAAGACTAATCAAGAACAAAAGAAAGAAGATATATTTAACACTTGAGAAAAATAACAGTCTCTCATTGGTTTCTGAACTGTAATCCAATCAAATGTAATTTTTACCTATGAGAGAATCTCTCTTAATTCTCCAAAGATAGAGTTGATGCTCTTAAAGCCATGGGCATCCTTGGTAACTCCCTGCTTTCCCTCCGTAGAAAAGTCTAAACAATCCATCTGGATTGATTTCTTGTTAAAATTGTTTCTAGTAATTATTGAGCATGAAGCTTCCATCATATGCCTTACTTACAGGTTGGCTGAATTATTCATAAAACCATAAAACTATTGGGGATAAATAATAAGCAACTGACCCACTTATGTGCTCTTCTTCATTCTAAGTGAACACAATTCTAAGTAAACAAAAACAGACAGGGAATGAACGGCATTTTGAAATGCATAGAATTTGTGAAGTACACTCAACTGTTATATGGTATTAAACAAAGCTTTGAAAGTCAAAGTGGTCATTAAAATCTTTTTAAAATTTTGCTAACTTTGGGTCAATTATGAACAAATGCTTCCAAATTTTACTTTCAATAATTACCCAAGAAATCATGATTTGTATAGGTACAGACTTTGTCCCCCCCCTTTAGGATTGGCCTCTTACATTGAATCAGCAGCTACCTCTTCAATGCTGTGATCAGCTCCTGTGCAAATGAACAGACAGGAGGTGGGGCTCACAGCAGGGCAAAAGTGAGATGACACGGAATACCAGAAACATGGCAAACCTTCCCATATGTTTAAAGATAATTCATTTGCCCTCCAAAGTCCCTCACTCCATCTCTCAGGTTCCCTATACAGCAAATCTCATTCCTTCCTCCTCTTCCCATTCTCTCATGCTGTTCTCCAGTGCAATGGGACTCAGTTTCCCACAATGCAAACCATCTCCAACCAAGAACAGGGCCACCCTTAAAAGGGTCACAGAACAGAGCCAGCCTCTGTCTTCCATTTATTGTTGCAACACATACCCCATGTTGTCTCTGCTCTTACCACCTCTAAGAACAAGTACAAACATTAAACATCATATTGCCCTCCTATGCTTATTTTTACATGTACAAAGTATCACCTAGAAAATCATTGCAAAACATGGATTATGCACGCAACTTATCTTCAAATAATAGCCTGTTACAAATTAATACTCTAGTAATTTCTAATAGCCTAACATTGTCTTTGCCCTGACTTAAACTTAAGAGAGCTCACTTCGGTACTCAGGTAAGGATTAAATGCAGTCCTAGCTGGATGCCACAGAATAAGTCTGGGCCCAAGAATTTTTCTCAATGACTCATCAACAGGGAAAGAGCCTTTCATCTAACCAACAAGGAGTTGAATGAAATTCTGGAGAGCTCCCTAAATGGCAGGAGTGAATTGCCCTCCTAATCCTCATGGATACTAAATCCTGAACTCCTCAGAAACAAAATACAGAGCTCTTGAGGTTTTAGACAAGGGCTATTTTTTGTCATGTTACTTAGTCTTTATTCTGATCCTCACAAGAGCCCTGCGAAGTAGGCAAATGAGGTATTACTGTCCTCTCAAAGGGACTGGAGCAAGTTTCCTCCATTATTTGTCAGGAAAACAGCAACGATAACAAAAAAGCGTTTTAGGAAGTGAAATTTTGGACGAATGTTAAATTTATAAAGTCTTTTTACTTGAAACAAAATCATTTCTTCATCAAAGAAAAATAAAACAGTACAGAGCACATATATTAGCTTCCAACAAAACAAAATAGCTTTTTAATATACCTAAGTATGTTAATAACCTCTGTGTATTTTATATAAGGCCAGTGAAATTGTGAAAACTTACCTGAAACATTTGTCTGACTTTTCTTCGGGGCAGATTAACATTCAGTTTATGCATCAGCTGATGTATCTCTTCAATATTCAGCAAGCCGTCACCATTCTTATCAGCTTCCTCAAAGGTCTGCTTCACCCATGTGCAGAAAGGTCAAAGAAAACACCTGTGCTCTCATCAAAATTAAAAACTGCTCTCTCACAGAATACTCGCAAAGACATTTATCAGTAACACAGAACTTGAGAAGAAATTATTTTGAGGAGCCCCTGCAATCCATAGGCTCTGATGAGCTACTAATAATGATGACAATAACAATGACAACAACAAACCAGGAATGGAAGGGAAACACATAAAGGGGGTAAGGGGGTTCCCGGCTGGGTGCAGTGGCTCATGCCTATAATCTCAACACTTTGTGAGGCTGAGGCAGGTGGATCACCTGAGGTCAGGAGTTTGAGACCAGCCTGGCCAACATGGTGAAACCCTGTCTCTACTAAAAATACAAAAATTAGCTAGGCATGGTGGCAGGCGCCTGTAATCCCAGCAACTTGTGAGGCTGAGGCAGGAGAACTGCTTGAACCCGGGAGGTGGAGGTTGCAGTGAGCCAAGATTGCTCTCCAGCCTGGGTGACAAGAATGAAACTCTGTCTCAAAAGAAAAAAAAGGGGCGGGGGGTGGTTCCCTCCATTGCGAAATGAGAGTTAAACCAAATTATTTTGAGCATCTTTAATTCAGACATTCTTATTCAATCTTATCCAAATTAAATATCAAATCTATTATTGCAAAACACTATATCACTATCCTAAATGGAAGGAGTGAATTACCCTCCTAATCCTCATGGATACTAAAACCTCATGGATACTAAAAGCTACATTACTGGTTCTAATTTCACTCTAGCAAGAAAATGACACCTTAATTCACACCTCCAATAGCAAACTCCATAAACATAAATATTTCTATATGACTTTAAACGTTATCCCTTTTTGCTTTTCATTTTCTGACCAGTTTTTCTCAGTTATGCTGCCATGTTCATAACACAAATCTTGTGTCCCTATTAGTTCTCATTCACAAGGTTAGAGTTCTTCGTTTATGAGGCATACAGATGGCATGTAGCAGGAATGGCCCAGTATTACATCTCTCTGACACTTTCTGTTTAAGAATCTCTTTATGATGAAACCCCAAATATCATAAATATAGGGCTTATCTTCTCCTATGCCCTTTTACCTACTATCTTTTTACCTTCACAATACCCCATGGTACATGATCTTTTCAATTCTCTTTTCTCTGTCCCACTCAGACATTTAGCAAATTAGACCATCTAGTTCAATCTCATCATTGTTCAGATAAGGACATAAAATGAGAGGAGAGAGAGAAATCTGATAAAAATTAGTATGAGAACCAGGTCTCAACCCAGGTCTTTTGTACCTGATTTAGCACACTCTTCTACACATAAGGTCTGTCTCTACACCACGCTTCTCTTCCTATTACTGGCTTTGATGGTTCTCACTTAATTGGCCCAAATTTCTAAATCACGGGCAGGTAATGTGAAGTACAAACATAATGTGCTAGGAGGTGCCCTCAAAGCTCAGGTATGAGATTAAGTGACTGAGAATTAGAAGCTGAGTTTAGATACAAAAGGTTTACATCATGTGAACTGAAATTTTAAAAGATCCTCAGTGGGAGGAGCCTTGGGTTGCTTTACATAGTGAGAATGCAGATGAAATGGTAACACAGGAATTGAAAATTCCCAGTTAACTTTTAGCAAAGGATTTTTTCAAATGGATGATTCATAGTTGTTGAGGGGTAGGTTACAAAAGGCAAGTACTGCGTGCATATTTAGAAAACCAATTAAACTTCAATATTGAAGGGTAATGGAGAGGAAAAGAATAAGGTGATAGATAGAAAGAAACCAGAGAATCAAAGTAAGCTAAAGGTATAGTTTTAAAAACCAAGAAATGGGAGAATGAATGTATATCAGAGGAGAGGGTACAGCATATTTCCATTTCTATGCGATTCAAATTATGACTGTAGAAGATTATACCTCAGAAAGTAAAAACAACTAGAAAGGTAAGGTATTATGTCTTCTAAAATTAAGTAGAGGATATTTTCAGATCGCCTTACTTCATATTTTGTAAATACCTTATTTCATATTTTTTCCCTTTAAAACTTTTAAAATAACTAGCCCAGCTCTTTCTAGTTCAATTTTTCCTTATAGACTTGTCAGGACCTCATTTTATATGACCCCTGGAAGTTAAGGGAGGTCCAGATCTGGGGGGAAAGTAACCGAAGAACCAAAAGGGTGAAACATTTGGCCCAATCACTAATAAGTGCCTGAGTCTCATTTTCTTCTGTTTTCAAGGCACGCAGCACCCACTTCGGGCTTTCAACTATGGACACTACTCTATGCCCCACAAAGTACATGGCTGGAGTTCAAAGAAGTGACAAAAGGAGTCTGACGGCAGTAATATTTTTATCCTTTTACTCTATAATTCTTTATCAAATATAATTCTTTATCGAAGCCTCTCAAAGTCTTCTCCAGAGAAGAGGCAGGGACAGCCAAACCCTAAGCATGTGTGTATTCTGCAGATACAAACATTTAGGATAAGCCTGTGTCTGTCTGCAAAGCCTTTAGCACCAACACGGAAATCGGCCTTGATTATTGGTTTAGGGAACTGGTAAAGTAAAAACAGAGGCAGAATCAAACCAAGAAATGTACAGTAGTCCTAATTCTACTGCTTACTTGGCCTTGTGACAGTGGGTTACTCATATCACCTCCTGGAGCCTCCATTTCTTCACCTACAATATCAAGGAGCACAACTTTTAACCTTGAAATCCCTTCCAACTCTAAGATTCCATAAATGAAAAAACCATTCTTTCCAGTAACGGTCCACATAGTATACAACTCCAGGTAAAAATGTCCTGATATCTTAAAGATGTTCTTCATAATTAAGATATGAGTGTCCAATAAAGCCCTGAATTAATAATTTATAGCCACACCATAATAATTTTAAAAAGAGAAACAGTCATTCCTCAGAGAAAATCTGGGTGAGACTGAATGTGAAGTAATGATCTAGGATTTTCTATCAAGAGACTGTAGGAGCATGCAAAGCATTGAATGATCCTATCTAGCACAGGGGAGGGCAAACTTTTCTGTAAAGGGCCTGATAGTGAATATTTTAAGTTTTGCAGGACATTTGCTCTCAGCTGCAACTATTCCACTCTGTCACTGTTATGAGAAAGCAGCCATACAGATATAAATGAATGAACACGGTTGTGTTCCAATAAACCTTTATTGGAATTTCAGAAATTCCAATAAAACCTTTATTAAAATTTCAGAACCCTGAAATTCTAATTTCAAGTAATTTTCACAGGTCACAAAATGTTTTTCTTTTGATTTTTTTTAACCATTTAAAACCCATTCTTAGCTCAGGAGTCCACGCAAAAATCCTCCTGGATTGGGAGTGGGCCAGATTTGCCCAGCAGTTTGACGGGGGAAGAATAAGGTCTGGATTTATAACATACATAACAGGTGGCCTAAAGCCTTCTGGAAGTAATAATTTCCCTCATGGGGTCAAGAGATAAGGTGGGGAAAACATGAAGGAGAATGGTCTGATAGAGAAAAATGCTGAGCCTAAGTGCCAGAACCATCATCTTTGCATACAGATCTGCTGAGTATTCAGACTTTCATTTATCTGAATAGGAAAGCTAAAGATTTGCCACTCTTTACCTCTTTTTAGCAATGACAGCAGTACCTATTACTTGTAAACTGCTTATTAAGTGCTAGGCAGTGTTCTAAGGACTATATATAATCAACTGATCTTAACACACCTCTATATGGCAGACACTGTCATTATCATCATCACCATGTTGCAGATAAAAGACTTGAAGGCAAAAGAACATAAGTAATTCATCCAAATTTGCATAGCACAGGCAGAGTGGGGGCTGGACCGCAGGCAGTGCAGCACCAGGGTCTGATCCCTAATGACACTGGATTTCTTCTAGTAAGTATGAGTACTGCATCATGGCCATCACTCAGCATGGCCATACTGCAGAAATAAGTTACGCTCTAGACTGGATGGATTTTCTCATGCAGCCATTTAATTTCATTATTCTCATTTTTCATTCACAGTTGAAATTTTCAGTCCTAAGTGAAATCTAATAATGAACATCCCAAATCTGTTCTCTTCATTAATGTAGTTACATGTTTATCAAATTAAGGATGTGATCCCATTATTAAGATACTATCTAGGCCAGGTGCGGTGGCTCACGCCTGTAATCCCAGCACTTTGGGAGGCCGAGGTGGGAGGATCACGAGGTCAGGAGATAGAGACCATCCTAGCTAACACGGTGAAACCCCGTCTCTACTAAAAATACAAAAAATTAGCCGGGCGTGGTGGCGGGCGCCTGTAGTCCCAGCTACTCGGGAGGCTGAGGCAGGAGAATGGCGTAAACAGATGAGGTGGAGCTTGCAGTGAGCCGAGATCCTGCCACTGCACTCCAGCCTGGGCGACAGAGCCAGACTCCATCTCAAAAAAAAAAAAAATACAAAAAATTAGCCTGGCGTGGTGGCGGGCACCTGTAGTCCCAGCTACTCAGGAGCCTGAGGCAGGAGAATGGCGTGAACCCAGGAGGCGGAGCTTGCAGTGAGCCAAGATCACACCACTGCACTCCAGCCTGGGTGACAGAGCGAGACTCCGCCTCAAACAAACAAACAAACAAACAAAATTATCTAAAACCCTATTAAATTCTGACAAATATGTATGAAAATGATTCCCTGACTCAAAATAACCTTTCTCATTTTTCACTTCAGCTTTCTCTTTACTATTCATCAATTTATTATTTCTCTTTTATTCCTTCACTGACACAAAAATCAACTGCTTCTATATTTCTTATAAAATTGTTTCTCTGTGTAGTGCCACAGTACACCTGCTTTCTGGACAGTATATTTTCAGAATACGGATCCCATAGACTATGAAAACTTTCAAGTGCCAGTAAACGTGGACAATCAGGTTCGAAAACTTTTAACCAACAAAGCAAAAAGATGATTTATGCCCATCTCTAACTCATCTCTTTCAAGGATTATGAGAGAGACTTCTATAAGTGACTTGCAGCTATGGAATGCTGTGAACTTGTCCTAGTTAACTGGATGAGGCTAGAAGCTTCTGGATTTGGTTGCTTCCCCATGGCCACTGCTCTTCCTTCTTTGCTACACAACCTTGATTTTGTTCAGGTACCCAAAAGCCATGTACTTTAATGATGAGTGGGAACTGGATGGGGGCGGGGGTGTAAATCTTGGTTTGATGCAACTGTCCTCAAAGTATAGTCCTGGAGGTCCCCATAAACATGAGGTTCCCCCCTTTTCCAACTACATGTCTGTGTGAGGCCAGATTTTCTTCGTGTACTTCAATCAAAACAACGTATCGCAACAGACTGAATGCAGAAGCAGATAAGAGAACCCATGTGTTCTATTGCCAGACATTAAAGAGATTTGTAAAACAGTGAAGCAATACTGTTTTTCTAACGTGTTTTGCTTTGAAAAAATACTTGTTATAAAAATATTAACATGCAACAGAGTTTATTATTATTATAAATAAACACATTTTTATGTCTCACATTTAATCTCTAATATGACAAGTATCAATAAATAGGTCCCACATAAACAAAAGCTCTTTAGAATCTTCAGGGTTTTTTTGTTAGTTTTTTGTTTTTGAGACAGGGTCTTGGTAGCTCACCGCTGCCTCCAACTCCTGGGCTTAGGCAATCTTCCCACCTCAGCCACCTGAGTAGCCGGCACTACAGGCATGTGTCACCACACCTGGCTAATCTTTTTAATTGTTTGTAAAGATGGGGTCTCACTATTTTGCCGAGACTGGTCTCAAACTCCTGGCCTCAAGTGATCCTTCCCCCTCAGCCTCCTAAAGTGCTGTGATTCCAGCCAGGAGCCATGCACCCAGCCTAAGTCTTCAGTTTTTAAGAGTGAAAAAAAGAGAGAGATCAAAGTTTAATTATGTCAGTTAATTTCTCCTGCAAGAGATTGGTTTAGGAATGAGGCAGCAATAGTAATTTTGGGAAATGATGAGAAGTTGTCTTTTGGGGGATTTCTGGGAAGTTTTTCTTTTCTCTTTTAAAAAAAAAAAAAAAAAAAAAGATTCGTGGCCAAGCCTGGTGGCTTACGCCTGTAATCCCAGCACTTTGGGAGGCTGAGGTGAGCAGATCACGAGGTCAGGAGATCAAGACCATCCTGGCTAACAGGGTGAAATGCTGCTCTACTAAAAATACAAAAAAAAAAAAAAAAAATTAGCGGGGCATGGTGGCAGGCACCTGTAATCCCAGCTACTCAGGAGGCTGAGGCAGGAGAATTGCTTGAACCCAGGAGGCAGAGGTTGCAGTGAGCCGAGATTGTGCCACTGCACTCCAGCCTGGACGACAGAGCAAGACTCCATCTCCAAAAAAAAAAAAAAAATTGTGAGAAGAAACTCTACTACCTCTGTTTAGGGCTGTGTTTAGAGATACTGCCTAAAGCTGCAGCAGTTCTCTCTGACCAAAGGGCAGTCGGCTGCAAGACGAAGCCAACACGGTGAGAATGGCAGGACCTGGGTCTCTGATGACATCACTGAACCAGTGAAGTAGCTGCCCCTGGAACTGCCCCATCTCAGGTCTCTTGTTTATGAGAAAATTAATATTCTTTATTGTTTAAGGCACTGTTAGTACGGTTTCTGATACTTGTACCAGAAAACATTCAGTATTTTTGGTTGGTTGTTGTTTACCAAATGTTAAAGAGTTAGAAATCAAACCAACAGATTTAAGCACAGAAAGTTAAATCCTGTTTGTGTTTTGTTCATTTCTAAATCCCAGTTGCCTTTATCTGCATGCTGTGAATATTGATGAAAACCTCATGGCTCATCAACTCAGACTTTTCACACTGTCAAGATCCTTTCATGAGCTGAATTATTTCCATTCTTTTCCAGCAATACTCTGGGTGAAGGATTATAGCCAGAGCAGCACAAATATATCACCAACCCCTGCGAAAAAAATTAGGGCACACATTCTAATGACGGCAAGGGAGTAGCGCTACTCCCTGCAAGGACAGAGACACCTGTATTTTAAGGCCATTCAAAAGGTGAAGAAGGGAATCAAGGGAGTCAACTAGCCTTATACCCTCACTTTACAGATAAGGAAACTGAGGCCAGAAAGGCCTTGCTATATGCCCAGTCAATCCCAGCAAGAAGGATGCCTGCAGACCAACTCCATTAATCATTTATCTTGTCAGCACTGCAGGACCACAAGCATGGGTTTAATCAAGAATGAGACTTAGATTCCAGTTTCTCAAGCAATTAAGAGAGGGTAAATATTAGTAAGTAAAAAATAACTTCCCCTTTGGTATCAATCAGTTCAATTTCCAAACTGTAAGTTAGAAAGAGAAAAAGCAGGAAGGAGCTCAGTGCCCAGTATCTAATCGCAACTCACAAAGTATTTGTTAAACTAAACTGACTTTATAACAAAGTAGGATTTTCTCTAATCCAAATCAGTGTTTTCCCAGTTACAGTTAATGAATATGCCTATGATTTAAAAGAGGCAATGATACTTAATGGGCACTTTCCCTCTCTTAGGAAACTTGAGGCTGTATTTGGAGACCTCTGATTGTGGAGCTAGATTCGGTCTCTTTAAAGAATTTTGCTCCTGAGTTCATACAAGCTTAAGTGTCCATACATTTCATGCGTTCATTTATTTGGAGTGAGAGTCAGGAGGGGAGAAGACGGTGTGAGGGGTAAAGAAAGAGAAAGGAAAATTATGGGAAAAATTAAAACATAGTCTAATCCTTACTTCACAAATGCACACACGCATACACAGAGAGCAAGAGAGAGCTGAAAATAAAGTTCTAGAAAGGATATTGGTCATGGGTCCTCTGCCTTTTGGCAAGGGAGTCTTCATCACTGATGCCAGCCATCAGGTACTTGAGGCCTGTGATCCAGGTGCGGGCCTCCTCGGGGTTGGAGGTGATGAGGTCCAGGGACTCCATGTGGTTGCCATGGTAGATGGTGAAGCAGCAGCTGGGGTCGAAGTTCCCCTCAGCTTGTCTGTGGAATATTTCAGACTGCCGGCCCTCAGTCACTTTGTAAATGGAATCAATAAGTACTGTGAGGAAAATGAGATACACACAGTTATACAGCAGGCAAAGATACTTCTTTACATGCACTAAGAAACAAGAAAAGCAAAATCATTTTAAATATTAAAAATAAGTATGAGGCTGGGTGCTCACGCTTGTAATCCTAGCAGTTTGGGAGGTCGAGGTGGACAGATTGCCTGAGCTCAGGAGTTCGAGACCAGCCTGGGCAACATGGTGAAACCCCGTCTCTGCTAAAATAAAAAAAAAATTGGCCGGGCACGGTGGCGGGTGCCTGTAGTCCTAGCTACTCAGGAGGCTGAGGCAGGAGAATTGCTCGAACCTGGGAGGCGGAGGTTGCAGTGAGCCAAGATCGTGCCACTGCACAACAGCCTGGGTGACAGAGCAAGATTCCATCTCCAAAAAAAAATAAATAAGTAAGTATGAAAAAATTCACTGCCTGCAAGTTGTGGTTTCAGGTTAAATGTGAAACCCAGGCCCTGTTTTTTCCCACTAGAAACCTTCTCTGCATAACACTTGTGCTGCCTGAGCTGTCTTGACAACATTCTCCTAAGGCAATAATTCAGGACGTGTTGAAATTTGTAGTAAAAAAAAAATAGATATGTCAATTGAAGCAAAAAGACTGGTAGAAAAGGTGGCAATGACTATGTCAAATTTGTAGTTTACATATTTGTAGAAAATATGCAAAGACCTAGAGTGGACTTTGGTGTTTTGCAACATGCATAAGAAGATCGTTAGAAAACTGAAAGGAAAAAGAATTTCTGACAATCAAATAGCTGAGCTACATGGAACTGGCATTCCTAGAGAAAATGCCATAGGGCTAAGGTGGTGAAGGCAGAGCAGAGCTTGGAGAAGTGGAGAGGAACAAGCTGACACCTGAGGAGAGGCAGAAACAGATATAGAAAGATAAGGCCCATTCCAGGGATGCTGAGCAGGCCGCTTATGGTGGATTGGAAAGCTCAACAGGGAGAATAATGGGAGATAAAACTGGAAAGGTAGACAATGGCTAGATTGTGGAGTGGCTGGAATCACAGAGATTAGCATTATTTAGTTAGCAGAGCAAATATGAAGGTTTGGATCACTGAAGCACAGGGCAAGAAGGATAATTTCAGACTAATAAATTATTTTTGGTCTGTGTGCTTGTTTATTTTTCAGTAGGAATCAGAAGTTTGTATATCCTATTGATTATTTATATACACCATCTACCCCTCACTTCTGCCTTAATGGCAGGGTCCCAATTTTCTTCTGGTATCAACTCATTTCCCACATGACTCACAGGGAAATGAGCCTATGCTCAGCCCAAGGTTCTGCCACCTTTGTACTCTGGGACTTGCATCAGTGGCCCCCAGGTTCTCAGGCCTTCAACCTTGGACTTGGAATTATACCATCATCTCCCCTGCTTCTCAGGCCTTTGGACTCAAACTGAGCTACACCAACAGCTTCCCTGGTTCTCCAGCTTGCAGATGACCTATCATGTGACTTCTTGGCCTTCATAATCACATGAGCCAATTCTACTAAGTCCTCTCTCATACATCTATGTATCTATCTATCTATCTATCTATCCTATTGATTGTGTTTCTCTAGGGAAAGCTGACTAATATAGTGTGAGGGAAAGAAGCTTTAAGTAGGAGTCACATCAAAATGACTTTACTTGATAAATTTAAATGGTGTTGTTAATTCATTAATCACTTAATAGTGTTCAGAATATGACAATACATTTTAAAGCCCATTAGCTTTATAATGTCCCTCACCTTTTATAGGAATGTAAAACATCTCAGGCTGTAAAACCATATATTCCAACTAAATATATATATATATATATCATGTCTCCAACACAGGGGAAGTATTAGCATTTACAGCATTCATGGACAAGAAAACTTTTATGGATTTAAATTCCCCAAAGATGGTCATTATTCTGCCTCTCAATATCCAAAATCAACTATCTCCAAACTTATAAAAGTATAAAACTTCCACAGATCTGAAGCTTCAAGAGCCCACTCAGTATAACCCGTGTGTTACTATGTCCAGCCAAGCAAAGAATTCAAAGATTTGTTTTACTTTTTGCCTTCTCACTCTTCCTAGAGGGTCGCCATCGGAGGCGTGTCCGGTGCTCATCCAGGTAAAAGAGGCGGACAAGCCCTTTGGTTCCACGTTTCAGCTTGATCATCTGTGTCCCGGACTGCATCACACTCATGCATCTTTCAACTGCAAAAGAAATTAGAGTGTATCCAGCTATCACACAATGCACAGGCATACTGGTGTCCAGGTTTTAGAGTCAAATAAAACCTCTGATTCACCTGCAAAGACTCCAAGGACCAGAACAAATTTGGTAGAGGTAATCTGAAAAGTGAGTTGTTAAGGAATTGATTCAACAGGCTTAAGTCAGTAAAAAGCCTTACTAACAGAAAAAAAAAAAAAAAAATCTACTTCCAGGTAAATAATGCAATACTTCATAGGGCTATCTTCTGTTCTGTTTTTTGGTATGAGACTTAAGACCATTTGATACTTGGATTTATGTTCTTAAAGTAAGTTCTCAGACATGATAAGTCTTGTGAGTTTTTATAGAACCAATTATAAAAGTATCTTATAATAATGCTTTAAATGCAATCAACAGAAACAAGATTGGCAAAATGCTGACTGTTGTTAAAATGGGATAATGATTACATATGAATTCATGTTACATATTTGTGATGTTTGAAAATAGCTAAATAAATTTCTGTAAATGTAATCAGAAAAAAATCAAGTTTTCACAGTTGAACATAAAACACTTGCTGATGCATTAAACTGCTAAGATAACCCTTCTAGAAGAATAACTTGTTGAATGAATCCAGGTAATATCCAAATCACTTATAGTCCAAGTTAAAGTTGTCATTTAAATCCACTCTGCTTTGAGACAAATCTTGCTGGATATAGGAATCTGTTATTTTTGCCTGTTTCCCCTTGTTTGGTAATGGTGCCCCAACTTTTCCTTTAGAAACATCCTCTACCATTTTGTGTGCCTTTGATGGCCTGCCAATCACCCCAGTGAAAGAGTAGACACACCTGACTTAAGCTTGGAGCAAATCTGACTCCCTCCCAAGAACATAAATCCTGAGCATATCATTGCTTGAAAACAGAACTGAACCATTCAACAACTGAGATACTCCTAGTTGGCTACTCTAAGATGTGACAGTTGTCATAATTCTTATTCTTCCTAAGACTGACAAATGATCCCATTTTCCCCTTGATTCTGCAAGTTATCCAGTACCCTTCCAAATATTTTTTTATTATATCAACCAGAAATAGCTTTTATTTCACAAAGATTACCAACTAATATACAGACTTATGTATAAACCATTAGAGCACTCAAAATACCTAGTTCTGAGTACCTACCTTATCAAGCAGTATGCTGTTAGAAACAACAGATAAAAGAAACACAATAAACAAACCTCAGCAACATTAGACTTCTGCTTTTTTGGCTAAATATTTTATCTTAACTAGGAAAGATAATCTCATCCAACACCTTAACATTGTATGCATAGGGTGCCTATTAAAGGTCACTTCAACATAACAAATGTTCACAATTTACTCCATGAAGTCTTTCCTTTCCTCAAAGAAATCAAGGAGGAACTGCAAAAAATTAAGTATAGTTTCAGGATTCAATACTACAAAGAAGATGAAGTATAGGTTGCGTTTACTCATTTTATCTGACATATCAAATTCCCAAATAATAAAATATTACTTAAGAAGGCTGGGCGCGGTGGCTCATGACTGTAATCCCAGCACTTTGGGAGGCCGAGGCGGGTGGATCACCTGAGGTCAGGAGCTCGAGACCAGCCTGGCCAACATGGTGAAACCCCATCTCTACTAAAAATACAAAAATTAGCCAGGCGTGGTGGCAGGCACCTGTAATCTCAGGTATTTGGGAGGTTAAGGCAGGAGAATTGCTTGAACCCGGGAGAAGGAGGTTGCAGTGAGGTGAGATCACGCCATTGCACTCCAGCCTGGGCAACAGGAGCAAAACTTTGCCTCAAAAAAAAAAAATTACTTAAAATAAACACACAAACTTGAAATGCTCACTTTAAAGCACAGAACAAAAGTTGAGATTGAGTTTGATATAAATTAGTATATTCGGCCACCACTGAGCATCACTCTTTTAGGCAATGAAAGCTACATAGTTGAATTCTTGACAGCCACATTAACCATCTCACACGAGGAATTAAAGGTTCAAGACAAAACCACCAAATCAAACCAACCAAGCCAAAATTCCCAGAAAAGCCTATTAGAACTTCACTGACCACTGACAATAGATCATATCAATAAACAGATGTTTATAGACAAACTCCCTGTTCCAGGCACAAGACTATTTCATAAGGTGAAGCAAAGAACAAGGAGACTTTGCCTTTGACCTTAAAGAGTGTAAATTTTAAGAGAACAAAACATCTATACAGGATACTTATTAATGGCAATTCAGAGCTGTGGTGAAGAATACAGTCTGTTTCCAGCTTGGGGTAGAATTCCAGATCTGCCACTTACTAACTGTATGACTACATACAGCTAGTAACTCATTTCCTTATCTATAAAATGGGAATAATTATCTACTTCCTGAATTGAAGTAAGGATTGAATGAGTTAATTCATGTAAAGTACTGAAAACAGTAGCTGGCACATCCGAAACACCAAAAATGGTAGCTATTTGTAACAGACTGAATGTGTATTTACGTCCCCAAAGACCTAACCCTCAGTGTGATAGTATTTGGAGATGGGTCTTTTGAGTGGTAATTAGAAACAGATGAGGTCATGCAAGTGGGGCCCCATGATCTCTCTCTCTCTCTCTCTTTCCCTCTCTTTCTCTCTCCACCCGCCCCCCTCCCCATATGAAGATACAGCAAGAAGGTAGCCATCTACCTTTTTCAAGCCAGGAAAAGAGTCCTCACCAGGAAGTGAATCTGTTGGGACTCTGATCTTAGACTTTTCAGCATCCAGCATTGTGAGTAATAAATGTCTGTTGTTTAAGCTACCCAGTCTATAGTATTTTGTTACAGTAATTCAAGCTAAGACACTGCTATAGTTTTATTGTTATTGAAATAGTTAAAAATAAATGCCCAGTCAGAAGTAAATACAGAAATACTATGGGAGGCCAAAGAAAAAGAGAATAGAGTAGGCTGGAATGGGGAGAAATGTAGTAATAAGACACCATCAATGAAGACTTGGGTATAGGAAAGGGTATGAGTTAAGAATGATCAGAAGAAAAGAGAAAAGATGAGCCTCTATCTTTGGAAGAGTGACTCAAAAGGGAATTGACAGAATGTATGATTCCATGAGCTAGATAAAACCAGGTTGTGGGGGGACTGGGGATGCTGGTTAAGACTTTGATCCACCAGCAATGAGAGGCTCACTAGATATATCTGTTCAAAGGATTGGCTGGCTAAAAAATATAATTTAGGAAGATGTTTCCTTGAGAAGAGAGAATAAAACAAATTGTTTAAGCCAGAGTGGAAAACCGAGTTAACTATATTATCAGAGATCTAACAGCAAGGACTGCCTATGTATCTGACACAGGAAAACAAATTGTTTACGCCAGAGTGGAAAACTGAGTTAACTATACTATCAGAGATCTAACAGCAAGGACTGCCTATGTATCTGACACAGGGTCCTCTGTTTTGTTCACAATCCCTTTCTTTCCTTTCTCAGCTCCTTTTCCTTTCCCTGAAATGGAACTGCCATGGCTATAACAGCTCAACATTTTAACAGGAACGGTATATCTGCACATTGTTTTAGCATAAAATCATATAAATCATATAATATGATTTCTATGAGACCCTGAGTCTGAAACAATAGGCTTCTTAAATTGTTTATGTAGCTGCTTTATGCTTTCTACCTGATTGCTCCCTATCACACAGAAAAGCCATTTGGATAGAGGTAAATTGAAAAATCAAGTCCACTGAAATCTTGAGAGTCATCTAACTTACTTTTCCCTTTCCCAAACAAGATAGTTGACAATGCCTTGTAATTACAAAGCTAACCAGAGATAACTGGTTAGCACCCTCAATAACTCTTTGCAACTCATTCCAGTGGGCAAAAGTCACCAACAATACATACAAAATATTCTTCCAGTCTCATCTAGATCATTTACGTGTCAGCACAAGCCACTTTCTTCCTATTCTGCCTCCAACAGAAATGATTAACAGCAGTTACCACCCCTAAAAATCATTGTCCACCCATGCTCTATTGGTAGATTCCATAAAAGAGAATAAGAATGGCTTTGCCACAGGTAAACAAGGGAAGAGTTCTAGTGGCTTAGAATGATTTAACTTCATCACACACATTTCCAGTATTGAAGGTTCTCTGAGAAAAGTCTGCAAATGCAGGTTACAAATTCTGGCAGCTGCCAATATGTTCACCATCCCTTTAATTCTACATTCTCCTTTATGGTACGCTTAAGATAGCTAAAAAAAAAAAAAAAAAAGTTTATTTGGATACAATGCAGCAACATCTACCAGCCCATCACACAGCACAAATATTGTTTGTATCTGTTATGCTCTAGACCTTCACACTTGTATAAAAATGTGTTGCACTGGTTGAAATTGTGATATTTAAGCCATTTGGCACTCTGCTTCTTTCATTTGTATTATAACAGCTTTCCATGTTTCTACAGAGTCTTAATAATTATCATTTTAATGGCTGCCTAACAGAGTAGCATAAATATTTAAAGAGCAGAACAGATGAGTCGAAGACTATATTCCTAACTTTATTACATAGCTAGAGTTTTAAAACTCTTAATAGAGTCCCATCGATAAAAGAAAAGGCATAATAATGTGGTCTACAAGGTCTTTTTTTTTAGACGGAGTCTCGCTCTGTAGCCCAGGCTGGAGTGCAGTGGCGTGATCTCGGCTCACTGCAAGCTCCGCCTCCCGGGTTCACGCCATTCTCCTGCCTCAGCCTCCCGAGTAGCTGGGACTACAGGCACACGCCACCACGCCCGGCCAATTTTTTTTGTATTTTTTAGTAGAGACAGGGTTTCACCGTGTTAGCCAGTATGGTCTTGACCTCCTGACCTCGTGATCCACCCGCCTTGGCCTCCCAAAGTGCTGGGATTACAGGCGTGAGCCACCGCACCTGGCCTACAGGGTATTAAATAATTCAATTTTTTAAAATAATTAAAGTCAATCCTTTCTGCCACAAGCAGTTTAATATAAGTAAATTTCCTTAGGGGCTATAAGGTCACTAAATCCCTCAAGCAGAAAATGTTGTAAAAAATACATACTTTGGATTTGAAGTAACATATTAATATCATTTATGTTATATATGTGTATATCACTTGGCAATATACATATATAATACATATATACATATATATGATTAGTATATGTCATTTGGATATATATACACATATATGATTACTATATATCATTTGGAGGAAGGTTCCCAAGATTTCAACCAAGTATGTATGACATCTAAGAAGGTTTAATTCTTCCAATTATGTTTGAATCAGAAATAATCACATTCTGTTAGGAATGTCATACATGCCACCTGATGCTGATTTTTTTTTACAGTTTTACTGAGGTGTCATTGATATGCAGTAAAATTCAACTGTTTTAAATGTACAATTCACTGACTTCAGTTTATTTACAGAGTTGTGTGACAGTCTAATCACACAACATTTCCATTATCCCTCATGCCCATTTGCAGTCACTCCCCATTTTCACCACAGTCCTGGACAACCACTGACCTACTTTCTATCTCAATAAATGGGCCCTTCCTGGATAGTTCATGTAAATAAAATCATATAATATGCAGTCTTTTGTGCTTGGCCTTTCACTAAGCATAATGTTTTTGAGTTTTCTATGATGACTATGTTGTTTCTTATCTTTTCCTTCCTCCAGCCCCGCCACATCATGCTAAACTCTTCCACTGGCACTTCGGGTAAAAATTACCCTGAATAGGAGACAGGTTGAGTAAAATAAACAATGGAGTACTATGTAAGTGTAAAAGATAATGAGGAAGATCTCTATGAACTGATATGGAGTAACTTCCAGGAGGTTTCAATAAGACAAAGTATGAATAGGTAAATATAGTATGATATCTTTTGTGTAAGAAAAGAATGGGAAATGTTTTAAATATACAAATACCTGCTTATCATTACAAAAACGAACCCAAGAAGGATAAATCAGATAACAATGGCCCTGTTACCTATAAGAATGACAGAAAATCGAGTAGAAAGGATAAGAAAGGGAATGACACTACTCTTAGTATCCCACATACTTAAATCAGTAAGAGTAGGAAGGGGAACAAAACAGAAAGTAACACAGTCCTGCACCTCTTAAGGGTGAGGATACATTCTGAGAAATGTGTCATTAGGGGAGTTTGTCATTGTGTGAACATCATAGTGTATTCACACAGACCTAGATTGCATAGCCTATTGCACGTCTAGGCTGTATGGTATAACCTACTGCTCCTAGGCTACAAACCTGTACAACATGCTACTGTACTGAATACTATAGGCAATTGTAACATAATGGTAAATATTTGTGTATCTAAACACAGAAAAGGTACAATAAAAATATGGTATTATAATCTCACAGGAACCACTGTCATATATGTGGTCCATTATTTACTGAAATGTCAGTATGTGGCACATGACTATAAATATATAAACAGAAAGCAATCTACACACACACACATATATACATATTTGTGCATGTATATTTGCATGTTTGTGTATATGTGTATGTTTTTATATACCTGCATATATTTCCTTGTTCTAGCCTTTGAAAGGACCAACAGGCAAAATCACTTCTAGCAGTAATATGCACACTTGGTGCTCTGATCACTCTTTGCTACAAAAGAACCTTGAGACAGATTTTCACATACAGAATCATGACCATTCGCCGAGATTAGGGTCATACAAGAATATCACTTGCACTCTTTTGTGAACACATCTATTCTGGGACACTGATCATTGAACTGTGAATTAGCAGGCACAAAAACAACAACAACAAAAAAAAAAGTCCAGGTCCTTTGCAAGACAATCTTTTTAGTAAAAAGGTACATAAAAAATGTGAACTGATTTCCTGCCAGCTTCCACAGATTAGAGTAAATCTGAGTAATTGAAAGAGATTAGCTTCTGAAAACAATTTCATTTCTATGTGGAAAAAGTGCAAAATGATGCAGGTAATGTTTGTCAAAAAGTAAGGAAAGGGAGATTTCCTAAAACCATCAGGGCAGAAGTAAAGGGTATGTTTGTTTAATTCTCAGCACAAACCCAACACCTATTTTGGGACTTGGTACATAGCAGGTGCTGAGAGATCTAGTTTATGGCATGGCAGCTTGATAACAGCATCTGCCCACAGTTTTGTGGGCACAAAGAAGGGAGCAAACAGAGTTCTGGTCTGGGCTCTGTCACTGGCTGTGTGAACTTCAGAAGGTAACTGAATATCCTACTTTCCTCAACCTAAAAAGGCATTTTTCTCTATGTTCTGTGAGTTTATAAAACAGCTGATCTAGCTTCCATAAATGTTATTTTATCTTTCAATGAGAAAAAATTCCAGTTCTTCTGAAAGCTTTTTAGAATAATTTTAAAGAAAGAAACTGATTAACATCTGGGTGTCTTACTACAGACATGATTTTTTTTTAATGATCTCTATATAAAACATAACTGCTTGGCTGTGTGTGGTGGCTGACACCTGTAATCCCAGCACTTTAGAAGGCCAAGGTGAGAGGATCACTTGTGCCCACAAGTTCGAGACCAGCCAGGACCACATAGGGAGACCTGGTCTCTACAAAAAATTTAAAAAATTAACCAGGTCTCGTGGCACAAACCTAGAGTCCCAGCTACTCAGGAGGCTAAGACGAGAGGCTCTCTTGAGCCCAGGAGGTTGAGGCTGCGGTGAGCTGTGATTGCACCATTGCACCCCAGCCTGGGAGATAGAGCAAGACCCTAGACTCAATCAATCAATCAATAAAATATTAAGTGAAGCCATTATCTGTGAAGAGCAGTGTATATAAATAAATATATATATAAACTAATTATTATAGTTTATTCATATAAAACTGCTCTTCACAGCAAATGGCTTCACTTAAAAAGCTATTCCTTGCCAGTAGTAAAGCCTTAAAGTCAAATAATACAAGCTTATGAATAAATGTGCTTACAAACAACCATGGAGTGATTCACTCTTACTAAGTCATGATTCTTCCCAGTAAAGAACAAACAATGTAGAGTTTGTTAATTTTTTTTCATTGCCTAAATCATTCCTGTGGAGAAGACAAGATTATTTAAAAGGCTTTTAAAAACTAATTGGTTAACAGTTTGAAAATTGTTTGCGAACGTTGCATGTACATAGTCAATATGTTTATAAACTTGATAAATACAAATGAGGAGAATTCGGTCAAAGAAAGGGTGAAAGGAATTCATCAGTAGTTTGTTAAATGTCAGACCTTTTTCTATTTGTATTAAACCCTTCCACATAACACTTTCTTTTTTAATGATGTCTATTTTATGTGTAACAATTGTGTCTGTTCCATGTTTTCCATACTCATGGAAAACAAAAGGAAATACTAAAAATTCATAACAATATAGTGGCAAGTAGGGTCACCAGAGCCACTCAGAGAAAGGAGACCCTAAACTCTGGCCAGCGAAAGGTAAGAATTTCCTGCTAGCCGGGCTTCTGGCCATTCTCTGTGCAAACTGGTTAAGAGAATGATAAAAATCACTGTTTGCCTCCTCTGCAAGGTTTTAATTAATGAGAAAAAGGATTAGTGTGACAAGTCTTAGATTGTAGCGAATCTGGTGTACTTTGTGCTCTGAATTTGTCTCTCTTTGCCATTCTGTCATGGACGGCATTCCACTGGATAAAACGCAGGTCTAGGTCTCCCGCCATTCAAGTTGGCCCAGCAGACTGGTCAGTTATAAACTTTGCTTTGGGTCCCTGAAACAAAAACTGAATGAGGTTTCCCTCTTGTTTTATGTCCTGGGGAGCATGACCCTGTGACCCTGTAGAGGTACTCTCTCTTTGTCTCCACCACGTGGAGGGTGGGAATTTTCAGGTTCACATCGGTGACTAGTCTGAAAGGAGTCAACACACTCTTAGTCCAAATGTGTCAAGCCCTTGGGTGAGTTTTGTCTTAAAAGGTCTCATGCTACCATAAGCCCATTTCTGAGAGTAAATTCTTGGGGATCATGGAAATGCCTACTCTACCCCCTCTCTAGAAATATTTCTTGCTTGTATGATTTTAAAAAATAAAAAAATAAAAATCTGAAAAATTACCATTTGACTTTAAAGAACTTTTGGATTGAGTTGCTATTAGAACTAAGTACACTATTAAAACAAAAAGGACTTTAGCAATCTCTTATTCTCAATAATTTTTTAAAGGTTTAAATTAAAAGAAGGATGCATTATAATGTCATCATTAGCCTTAAAAATCATCTTAAGCAGTTAAAATCCTTTTCAAGCCCGAAAATGCCTGCTCTAGGCTCCTTCTGGGAAAAATAATGGCAATTGCCCCATGCTACAGCTCGGTAGCAAAGGCTTTGCCCTTTTGCAATGGCAGCCCGAGTTCAACTGCTGGCTTAGAGAATGAGTTCTTTCTGGTCTGTTGTTTGTGTGACCTTTGCCATTTATTGATTTTTTTTCTCTCCATGAACAACTTCTAACTTCCTGTGTTGAATTTTCCCTTCTCTGAGCTACCTTTGGGGTGATTCTAGATCTTGTAAAAACAACTCGCCCTCCCTTTGGAGACACCTCATGTATCTGTGGCTAAGTCATAACCTAAGTTAAGGCTTACTGGTTTCACTTGGGAAAATATCTTCGTGGGAGGGAAAAAAAAAAGAAGGCTTAAAAGCCAAGGGTGTCAGCTATTTGTCCCAGCTCTAGCTGGTAAAAAGAGATTTTAAAGAATTTTTTTTTAAGAAAAAAGAGCTCTAGAATTAAAAGTCAGCTTAATTAAAAACAGATATCAAAGCTATACGTATATTCAAAAGGGCTTTATGCTTTTTTTTCTTCTTGAATCTTGTTTTTTGAGGAAAAAAAGTTTTCTTCTCAGTCCATTGAATTGTTTCTCCATTTACTTCTTCTTGCTACCCTTGATGCCCACAAGTGAGGACCTAAGGTAATTTCTGACAGCCTGGGACTCCTTAGGAAAAACAGAGGAGGAGACCCCGTTTTAGGAAAAAACTCTGTTTTCCTCATGGAACCCCAAGAACTGTAAATGGACAGATCTGCTCAAAATCTAAGACTTCGCTCTGTTTTGCATTGCATCACTTGATCTTTTTTACTTTGGGGAGCATCAAAAATAACTCCACATTATGAGGAAACTTTCAGCCTTGGTGTGTAATAGCTAGGTAAGAAATATACTTTTAGAGATATAGTTTATGCTTGGTATATAATTAGCTACGTAGGAAATATACTTTTACTATTGCTCTGTAGTAGTAACCATTCACTCTAAGTGGCAGTTGCTTATAGTGAATGGTTATTACCACAGGAAAATACTCCTTTCTTTGCACATTTAGATAAGAAAAACATGCTCTTGGGCATGAAGAAGGTATTGAATGGGGGAATAGGCTGATAATAGAGTCAGCTGATTGCCATTGGGTTGCCCACCAGCCTTGGAAAAATGCCTTTGCAACAAGATACACTGTGGAAGCACTGTAATGCCTCATCCAGTTGAGTTCCCAACTTTTAGAGAACCTAGGATTCAATATATAAATGGGATCTTTAATCCCTGGTGATCTGTTTTACCTTCCAGTTGTGCCTGCTTATTATGCCCTAGAAACTGACTTCTTCCTCACCCTGTTCCTTAAAAGGCTTCACCCTAAAGCCAATAATACAATTTAAAAATTTACATCTTTAAAGAAATCTCCATGTGTAACAGTGTCTGCTTTTCCTGGACAAAATGGTGTGAACTTTAAGTCACACCATTTTTTCTTGGTTTAAATAAAATGTAAATCCTCTATCTTGTTTGATCTAAGAGTTGCCCTCTTAAAAATGCAAATTTAGAGTTGCCCAGCTGACCACTGTTTAGGGCAGGAAGCAAGTAATCAAGAGACTGATGGTCTAAAATGCGAAAGAGAAACTTAAAAACTGGCAAATAAAAAATGTATTACTCTAACAGATCTACTTCTGTTTGTCTGTGTATTTATATGCGTTGCCTGTATGATATTTATATAAAAGAGCCCTAATAAATTGGCTTAAAGAAAAATAAGTACTTAAATAATATATTTTGTCAAAAAAATAAAAAAACATGAATGCATTTTAGTTTTTTTATTATAGTAATCTTTGGTAAATAAATACAATGTTTATTTGTTTTTTTTTCTTTTGAGACAGCTTGTCACCCAGGCTGGAGTGCACTGGTGTGATCACGGCTCACTGCAGCCTCAACCTCCCTGGGCTCAGATGATCCTTCCACCTTAGCCTTCTGAGTGCTGGGAGTAGAGGTGCATGCCACCACACCTGGCTAATTTTTGTATTTTTTCATAAAAACAGGGTTTCACCATGTTGGCCAGGCTGGTCTCAAACTCCTGGGCTCAAGCGATCTGCCTGCCTCAGCCTCCCAGAGTGCTAGGATTACAGGCATAAGCCTCTGTTTTATTTAAAGATTATTAATAAAAATATCTTCAAAATATAGGCATTTGGGAAGAAAAATGGCAGAGAGAAGTCAGGACTAAGATGCAGCTACCATTTGGATGGACAGGACAGAGTATGGAGACTCACACTGTGAAATTCTGCTCCAAGAACCACTGCAGGAATGTGCCAGGAAGAGAAAGAGTTCACAGATCCTGTGGAAGAAACAGCTCACTCTGTAAATTCCACGAGACAGCAAAAAAACTGAGTTCCCAAAGTATAAGAGGAGAAAACCTTCCTTTGAACTTGAAAACTTTCAGGTTCCCCTGGGGAACCTGAAAATCCAGATTATAGGAGAAGGAATTAACCTTACCTAGAGCTGAAATGGATTTAGGGAGCCAAGTGAAATATTAAAGTAGAAGAAGCAGCAGGAACAGCCCTGTAGGCACTCCCAGTCACCAGCTCCAGGCTAGGGAAGCCATTCTTGACTTTATCTAACAGGGGTCCTTGGGGAAGGGATCCCACAGGACTAGGGAGGGGGTCACAAGGTGAAAGAAGCTTCTAGCTGAACTTTATAATAATTTCGACTGAGCATGAACTTTCTTGAGCAGAATCTGGAGGGACAAACAGAAATTGCTGCAGGAGCCATGGCTGACAGTGTGAGCAGGCAGGGAGGGGTGAGGCCTGAAAGCTGTGCTTGCCTTCTCAACAAGGAGGCTTGAAGCCTGGGGCAAGGTCTGAGCCTGGTGCATAGACTGCCTGCATATAAACTGCACGAAGCTGCATGGGAGCTGAGTGAGGCCTGTCACTGCTAGTTTCCCCCCACTTCCCTAGAAACCAGCTCACTAGCTTCATGGAAGCTGTGTGAGGCCCGTCACTGCCAGCTTTCCCCCACTTCTCTGGAAACCTGTATGCGCAGTGAGGCAGCCGTAATTACTCTTGGAACATAATTCCATCGGCCATCCCACACAGCAGCCTCAGCAACTCCCACCCAAGGAGAGTCTGAGCTCAGACCCGCCTGATCCTGCCCCCATCGGATGGTATTTCTGTGCCTGCCCAGGTAGCTGAACACAAAAGACATAAAGTCTTGGAAACTTTATGGCCCTGCCCATCGCCTGAGAAACCAGAATATTTATCCTGGCCAACTTAGAGCAAGCTTATATCCTCTTTCTACTACAGCAGCTCGTGCTCTCTTGAAAGTGCCACCTCCTGACTGGAGGTCAACCAACTCAAGCAATTACAGCAACTCAAGACAGAATAACTCTGCTCCCAGGAAAGGGAAAACAATAGCAAATTCCATCTCATGCAACATACTGGCTAACCAGAGGTCCTGAGTATGTCCACATGACAATTTCACTGCCACCAAAACCAGCATTCAAGAAAATCAGTGCACTAAACAAAACTACAAGCAACAAATCTCACAGAGTCTACTTCATTCCCTTGCCACCTCCACCAAAGCAGGGCTGGTATCCACAGCTAGGAGACATGAAGATGCCTGACATCACAGGACTCTTCGCAGACTTTCCCCAGCACCAGCCCAGAGCCTGATGCCCCACTGGGTGGCTAGACCCAGAAGAGCAATAAGAATCACTGCAGTTCAACTCTCAGGAAGCCCCATCCCTGGAGGAAGCAGGAGAACACCACATCAAGCAATCGCCCCATGGGAAAAAAGAATCTGGACAGCAGCCCTTGAATCGCAGATCTTTCCAATGAAATAGTCTACCCAAAGGAGAAAGAACCAAAAAAGTAATTCTGGTACTATGACAAAAAAAGATTCTATAGTACCCTCAAAAGATCACACTAGTTCCCAGCAATGGATCCAAACCAAGAACAAATCTGTGAATTGCCAGAAAAAAAGAATTCATAAGGTAGGTCTATTATTAAGCTACTCAAGAAGATACCAGAGAAAGGTGAAAAACAAAGAAATTAAGAAAATAATAAAGGATATGAATGAAAAATTTGCCAGACAAATATATATAATAAAGTAAAAACAAACACAACTTCTGGAAATGAAAGACACTTAGAGAAATACAAAATACACCAGAAAGTTTCAACAATAGACTAGAACAAGTAGAAGAAAAAACTTCAGAGCTCAAAGACAAGGGTTTTAAATTAACACAATCTGACAAAGATAAGGAAAAAAGAATTTTAAAAAAGAACAAAGCTTCCAAGTAATTTGGAATTATGTTAAATGACTAACCCTAAGAATAATTGGTATTCCTGAGCAAGAAGATAAATCTAAAAGTTTGAAAAACATATTTGAGGGAACAATCATGGAAAACTTCCCTGGCCTCACTAGAGAGCTAGACATCCAAATATAAGAAGCTCAAAGAACACCCAGGAAATTAACTGCAAAAAGACCATCACCACTGGGTGCGGTGGATCACAGCTATAATCCCAGCACTTTAGAAGGCCAAGGCGGGCGGATCACCTGAGGTCAGGAGATTGAGACCATCCTGGCTAACATGGTGAAACCCCATTTCTAATAAAAATACAAAAAATTGGCCGGGCATGGTTGCACATGCCTATAATCCCAGCTACTCAGGAGACTGAGGCAGGAGAATCGCTTGAACCTGGGAGGCAGAGGTTGCGGTGAGCCAAGATTGTGCCATTGCACTCCAGCCTGGGCAACAAGAGCAAAACTGCGTCTGGAGAAAAAAAAAAAAAAAAAAAAAAAAACCATCACCTAGGCACATTGTCAACAGATTATCTAAAGCAAAGGTGAAGAAAAGAATCTTAAGAGCTGTGAGGAAAAACCGTCAGGTAACGTGCAAAGGAAAACCTATCAGATTAACAGAAGATTTCTCAGCAGAAACCCTATAAGCTAGTAGAAACTGGGACCCTATCTTTGGCCTCCTCAAACAAGATAATTATCAGCCAAGAATATTGTAATCCAGCAAAACTAAGATCCATAAATGAAGGGGAAATAAAGTCTTTTTCAAACAAATGCTGACAGAATTCACCACTACCACACCAGCACTACAAGAACTGCTAAAAGGAGCTCTAAAACTTGAAACAAAACCTCAAAATACACCAAAACAGAAGCTCCTTAAAGCATAACTCTCACAGGGCCTACAAAAAAAACAACACAATTAAAAAAAAACACAAGGAATTCAGAAAACTAGCATGATGAATATAACAGTACATCACTTTCAATACTAATGTTGAATATAAATGGCCTAAATGCTCCACTTGAAAGATACAGGATGGCAGAATGAATAAAAATCCACCAACCAAGTATCTGCTGGTTTTAAGAGACTTACTTAACACATAAGGACACATGTAAACTTAAGGTAGAGGGGTAGAAAAAGGTATTCCATGCAAATGAACACCAAAAGCATGCAGAAGTAGCTATTCTTATATCAGACAAAACAAACTTTAAAGCAAAAACAGTTTAAAAAGACAAAGAGGGCCAGGCACGGCTCACACCTGTAATCCCAGCACTTTGGGAGGCAGATCACCTGAGGTCAGGAGTTCAAGACTAGCCTGGATAACATGGCAAACCCCCTCTCTATTAAAAATACAAAAATTAGCCAGGCATCGTGGTGGAGTCCTGTAATCCCAGCTACTCAGGAGGCTGAGGCAGGGAGAATTGCTTGAACCTGGGAGGCGGAGGTTGCAGTGAGCCGAGATCAGGCCACTGCGCTCCAGCCTGGGTGACAGAGCAAGACTCCGTCTCAAAAAAATAAATAAATACAAATAAAAAAACAAAAAGGAATGTTAAATAATGATAAAAGGATTAGTCCAACAGA
Organism: Homo sapiens; assembly: GCF_000001405.40. Classification (NCBI taxonomy): domain Eukaryota; kingdom Metazoa; phylum Chordata; class Mammalia; order Primates; family Hominidae; genus Homo; species Homo sapiens. The sequence continues at coordinate 155,611,463 of NC_000003.12, forward strand.
AAAATATCACAATCCTAAATATATATCTTCCTAAAACTGTAGCTCTCAAATTTATTAAACAATTACTACTAGACTTAAGAAACTGATGAACAACAACACAATAATACTGTGGGACTTCAATCCTCCACTGACAGCACTAGACAGGTCATCAAGACAGAAAGTCAACAAAAAAACAATGGACTTAAACTACACCCTAGAACAAATGGAACAGATATTTACAGAACATCTTACCCAACAACTGCAAAATATGCATTTTTTTCTTCAGCACATGGAACATTCTCCAAGACAGATTATATGATAGGTCATGAAAAAAGTCTCAACAAATTTAACAAAATAAAAATTATACCATGTATCCTTTAAACCACAATGGAATAAAATTGGAAATTAACTCCAAAAGAAACGCTCAAAACTATACAAATACATAGAAATTAAATAATCTGCTCCAGAATGAATTTTGAGTCAACAATAAAATCCAGGTGGAAATTTAAAAATTATTTGAACTGAACAATAGGAGTGACACAACCTATCAAAACTGCTGAGATACAGTAAAAGCAGTGTTAAGAGGAAACTTTGGCCAGGCATGGTGGCTCATGCCTGTAATCCCAGTACTTTGGGATGCTGAGGCGGGCAGATCACCTGAGGTCAAGAGTTCATGAACAGCCTGGCCAATGTGGTGAAACTTCGTCTCTACTAAAAAATAAAATAAAATAAAATAAATTAGCCAGGCATAGTGGCAGGTGCCTGTAATCCCAGCCACTCGGGAGGCTGAGGCAAAAGAATCACTTAAACCTGGGAGGTGGAAGTTGCAGTGAGCCAAGATCGTGCCATTGCATTCCAGCCTAGGCAACAAGAGTGAAACTCTGTCTCAAAAAAAAAAAAAAAAGAAGAGGAAACTTCATAGCATTAAATGCCTATATCAAAAAGTCTGAAAGAGGACAAAAAGACAATCTAAGGTCACACCTCAAGGAACTTGAGAAACAAGAACAAACTAAACCCAAACCCAGCAGAAGAAAAGAAAAAGAAATAACCAAGATCAGAGCAGAACTAAATGAAACTAAAACTAACAAACAACAAAAAAAAAAGATAAATGAACAAAAAGCTGGTTCTTTGAAATGATAAACAAAATTGATAGACCATTATCAAGATTAACCAAGAAAAAAAGAGAGGGCTGGGCTTGGTGGCTCATGCCTATAATCCCAGTACTTCGGGAGGCCGAGGCAGGCAGATCACCTGAGGTTGGGAGTTCGAGATCAGTGACTAACATGGAGCAAACCCGTCTCTACTAAAAATACAAAATTAGCCGGGCGTGGTGGTGCATGCCTGTAATCCCAGCTACTTGGAGGGCTGAGACAGGAGAATCGCTTGAACCTGGGAGGCAGAGGTTGCAGTGAGCCAAGATTGTGCCATTGCACTCTGGCCTGGGCAACAAGAGTGAAACTGTGTATTAAAAAAAAAAAAAAAAAGAAAAGATCCAAATAAGCTCAATTAGAAACAAAACGAGAGATATTACAATCAATAATACAGAAATACAAAAGATCATTCAAGGTTCCCATGAACAACTTAACACACACAAGCTAGAAAACCTAGAGGAGATGGATAAGTTTCTAGAAATATACAACCCTCCTAGATTAAACAAGAAAGAAATGGAAACTCTGAACAGACCAATAACAAGCAGTGAGAATGAAACAGTAATTTAAAAATTGCCAGCAAAAAAATGTCCAGGACCAGATGGATTCACAGCTGAATTCTATCAGACATTCAAAGAAGAACTGGTACCAATCCTATTGACACTATTCCAAAAGATAGAGAAAGAGGGAATCCTCCCTAAATCATGCTATGAAGCCAGTATCACCCAATACCAAAACAAGGAAAGGACATAACACCAACAACAAAAAAAAACAGACCAATATCTCTGAAGAATATAGATGCAAAAATCCTCAACAAAATACTAGCTAATCGAATCCAACAGCATATCAAAAAGATAATCCACCATGAACAAGTGGGTTTCATACCAGGAATGCAAGGATACTTTAACACACACAAGTCAATAAATATGTTACACCACATGAACAGAACTAAAAACAAAAATCATATGATCATCTCAACAGACACAGAAAAAGTGTTTGACAAAATCCAGCATCCTTTATGATTAAAACCCTCAGCAAAACTGCCGTAGAAGGGACATACCTCAAGGGAATAAAACCTATCTATGACAAATGCACAGACAACATATACTGAATAAGGAAAACTTGAAAGCATTCTTCCTGAAAACTGGAACGAGACAAGGATGACCACTCCCACCACTTCTGTTCAACATAGTACTACTGAAGTCCTAGTCAGAGCAATCAAACGAGAAAAAAATAAAGGGCATCCAAATCCGTAAAGAGGAAGTTGAACTGTCATTGTTCGCCAACGATATTTTATCCCTAGAAAACCCTAAAGACACACCCAAAATGCTCCCAGATCTGATAAGTTAATTTGGTAAAGTTTCAGAATACAAAATCAATGTACACAAATCAGTAGCACTGCTATACACCAACAACAACCAAGCTGAGAATCAAATCAATAACTCAACCCCTTTTACAATAGCTGAAAATAAATAGAATACTTAAAAATATACCTAACCAAGGAGGTGAAAGATCTCTACAAGAAAAACTACAAAACATTGCTGAAAGAAATCATAGATGACACAAACAAATGGAAACACATTCCATGCTCATGGACAGGTAGAATCAATATTGTGAAAATGACCATGCTGCCAAAAGCAATCTACAAGTTCAACGCAATGCCCATCAAAATACCATCATTTTTTTCACAGAACTAGAAAAAAAAATCCTAAAACTCATATGGAACCAAAAAAGAGCCCACATAACAAAAGCAAGACTAAGTAGAAAGAACAAATCTGGAGGCATCACATTACCCAACTTCAAACTATACTACAAGGAGATAGTTACCAAAACAGCATAGTACTGATATAAAAACAGGCACACAGACCAATAGAACAGAATAGAGAACTAAGACTAAGTAAAAAGAACAAATCTGGAGGCATCACATTACCCAACTTCAAACTATACTACAAGACTATAGTTACCAAAACAGCATAGTACTGGCATAAAAATAGGCACATAGACCAATGGAACAGAATAGAGAACCCAGAAAGAAAGCCAAATATTTACAGCCAACTGACCTTCAACTAAGCAAACAAAAGCATAAAGTGGAGAAAGGCCACCCTATTCAACAAATAGTGCTGGGATAATTGGCAAGCCACATGTAGAAGAATGAAACTGGATCCTCATTTCTCATCTTATACAAAAATCAACTCAAGATGGATCTAAGACTTAAATCTAAGACCTGAAACCATAAATATTCTAGAAGATAACATCAGAAAAACCCTTCCAGTCATTGGCTTAAGCAAAGACTTCATGACCAGGAACCCAAAAGCAAATGCAATGAAAACAAAGATAAATAGATGGGACCTAACTAAACTAAAAAGCTTCTGCACAGCAGAAGAAATAATCAGCAGAGTAAATGGAAAACCCAAAAAGTGGGAGAAAATCTTCACAAACTATGAATCCAACGAAGGACTAATATCCAGAATCTACAAGGAATTCAAACAAATCAGCAAGAAAAAAACAAAAAATCCTATCAAAAAGTGGGTAAGGACATGAAAAGGCAATCCTCAAAAGAAGATATACAAATGGACAACAAACATATGAAAAAGTGCTCAACATGACTAATCATCAGAGAAATGCAAATCAAAACCACAATGCGATACCACCTTACTCCTGCAAGAATTGCCATAATCAAAAAATCAAAAAATACTAAGTGTTGGCATGGATGTTGTGAACAGGGAACAGTTCTACCCTGCTGGTTGGAATGTAAACTAGTACAACCACTATAGAAAACAGTGTGGAGATTCCTTAAAGAACAAAAAGTAGATCTACCAGTTGATCCAGCAATCCCACTACTGGATGTCTACCCAGAGAAATAGAAGTCATTATATGAAAAAGACACATGCATACACATGTTTACAGCAGTACAATTCACAATTGCAAAAATATGGAACCAGCCCAAATGCCCATCAACGAACAAGTGGATAAAGAAAATGTAATACTGTCCAGTCATAAAAGGAAATGAAATAATGGCATTCACAGCAACCTGAATGGAGCTGGAGACCATTATTCTAAGTGAAGTAACTCAGAAATGAAAAACCAAACATTATATGTTCTCACTTACAAGTGGGAGCTAAACTATGAGGACACAAAGGCATAAGAATGATATAATGGACCTTGGGGACTCAGGGGGAGGGTTGGGATGGGGGTGAAGGATAAAAGACTGCACATTGGGTACAGTGTATACTGCTTGGGTGACAGATGCACCAAAATCTCAGCAATCACCACTAAAGAACTTACACATGTAACCAAAAACCACCTGTTCCCTAAATATTATTAAAATTTTAAAAATTAGACATTTGGTCTAAATTAGACAGGTAAGATACTACTGTCCTTACTAGATGCTTTAAAGTCATAAACTGCTTCTATGGCTTTTGATAATTGTTCAACTTGCTTGCTTTAGAGCCATTGGATTCTAGGTAAGGCCTAGAGACATTTGGAGTTAGCCATATCCCCTAGCTATGCTAGAAAGAGTCCGACATTATCTGTGGTTCTGCCCTGTATCCTACACTCTACACCTGATACATAATTAAAATTACTTACACTAAAAATAAAAATCATGCATTTTTAGTAGAAAGGTATGGAAATTATAGTTTCTTCTAAGAGAAAGTAATTCTGTCTAATTTAGAGGGTTTAAGCATTGTTTTAAGATAGAAAAGAATAAAACTGAAAGTTTAAGCAAGGTGTAGGAGGTTTGTAAAAGATTAATCTTACAAAGAAAAATTTGTGTGTGAGCAAGACGACTAAAATTAAAATGGCATCATTTAGTTTTTCCATAAATTAAACATTAGCACTGATGCAGGGCCAGAACCTGAGCCCATGTGTCAGAATAACAGAGTTCTCTTGGAGCATTGATCTGCTCTTTAACAGAAAATTGTAAAAGGTTATAAAAGGTTTATTAAAGTCTTCTTTTATGATTAAACTTGTTTAAATTAGATTTACATATAAAATTTTATTAAAATTAGCTTTAGCATTACTATATTACTGCAAAGAAAAAAGTTTGGTTTACCTTTGATCAAGATTTCTGCTTGCCTACAGGAAAAGGGGACAGAGAAGAGACAGATTCAGCTGGCCTCAAACTGTCTTTATTGGGTCTTGTTATTTGGAAAGCTGTCTCCTCTCTATAAAATAATAAAGGATTTTTGCTTTTTTGAAATCTTTGAGTTAATCACTTTGGCTAAATAAATAAACTGTGGTCTTAATTTTGTGATATCAAGTGTTTTAAACCTTTGATATGTGACAAACTTTCCAAAATCAAATTCTAAATTAGCTTTTTTTAACCTGATTAACCCTGTTAGATATTAGTTCCCCTAGAATCCAAAAGAAACATATTCAGTTTAATATAATTAATTTAATTTAAATCACATGGAAAACATTGTCAAGTATAAAATAGTGCTTAATTTTATTTGGGTTATATCCATATAAATGTGTTATTAATATAGTTTTCAAAATTGTAATTCTGTCAATATATTATCAGTAATAATTATTATCATTATGTGCCACTGGCATAACCAAATTTACTTGTCAATTGTGTCTTTAACTGTGACTGTCCTAAGACTTTTGTCATCCACAGACAATTGTCCTGTTTGATCCTTTTCAGAGGATGGTTTATAATTAGCTATAGGACTCTGACAGGCACTCTTGAATGCAGGCCTCTGATAACTTTGGTGACTGGGCCATTAGAATAGAGAAAAAATCTTCCAAGATTCTCTTGGAGAGCTACTATGTTCAAAAATATCAAGCAGAAAAGGAGTTAATTGCATGGACTGAACCAATACAACATTAAAATAATCTTTCTATGACTTTTTGCTTGAAACTTTGCTGATCCTTTGGTTTTTCAGTCAAGAAAACTTGTTTTTTCTTTTGAGCTATTTACAGCTTTTAACAATGAAGTATACTCCTGTGAGCAAAATTTGGAGAATGTTTCTTTCTCTCTACCTGGTTTCTCCAGAATTTGGAAACTATTTGTGAGTATTCTTAAATTATGGCAATATAGTCATTTGCATAAGTACAATAAGAATCTGTTTTATAGGAGCACAGTTGGAGACGCTGGTTACTTTACCAAGGCTTTGACTGAAATGGCATTCTTTTAAATAGAAACAGACTGCTTTAAGGAATCAGAGGTGATTTATAGAGCCAATAAAATCCCTTGAAAAAACTGGTCCTCACATACCTTCTCTACCCAGTCCCTGTACAGGAGTCCTAACCTGTGGTAAGTAAAGAATGCCACTTTCTAACAAGCCCAGGAGCCCCAAGTTAACTTTGGACCTCCATAGGAGAGGAATTCATCCAATTCATACAGGTATTTGCAGGCACAAATAAATCCATGGATGGGTTCAAGGCTTTAGAAGGTCTAATCTGAGACTCCTTATGGAAAAAGTTCTAAGAATGCCAATTTGAAAGAGAGCTTATATGACAAATAATTATTCTTGTTGCATTTTATATAACTAATCAGGCCAAATATAAGACTAAAACTTATTTTTGCAAACAAATTGGTTCTACCATGATTTGTCTTGGATAAAAATGAGAGAATGGAGAAAGATTATAATACACCTATTGTTAGATTCTAGTCTTGTCTCGTTTTTGAGGTTTTTTTTAATATGTATTATTTTCTACAGTTTGGACTGAATCTTAAATCTTTTCTGGATTACAAGTCTTCAAACTAACATTTTCAAAATATCACCCATTTTTCTGACTAAAGCTCAATAGAATTGCTACTACCTCTTTCCTGAGGCCCTATAGGCTAAAACGTATTTCTTACGATACAGGCAAGAAGAAAATGTCAAACAGCCACCGTCCTCCTCTTCTGTAACTAAGACGTTTTGAGTTTAACGTCTGGATAGACTGTTAAAGAATGGAGCTCTCCATTCTTTAACAATAAAATTTCTACCATTAACATTTGTTTTTCTTGTTTCCATAGAAATGCCTCTTACTAAAAGTCTGTTTGCCTTACATTTCAGACAACAGGAGATTCATTTTCCAGCCTATTTACTTAAATTCCCAATGGTATCTGATCTTCTTTTTATTTTTAGACAGGGCTCTGGCTCTGTTGCCCAGGCTAGAGGGCAGTGGCACCATAGGGCTCACTGCAGCCTTGACCTCCTGGGCTCAGGTGATCCTCCCACCTCAGCTTCCTGAGGAGCTTCCTGAGGGGAAGAAGTGCTGAACAATTGCTTTACAGCCTTTTTGCCACAGGCCAGACCACCAAGTGGCCCATTACCCAAGATAACCATTGCAACCAGATAATGCTGACCTGCACACCCTGTCCCTCTTTGATTTGCCCAACTCAGCCTGCATACCCTGCCCCTGATATCAATTCCCATACTTTGCCCAAGAAAAAAGCCCTATTGGCTCTTTTTGGAGAGTCAGTCAGGGAATTTTTTCACTCTTTCTCATGCTGCCTCCCTTATATTTGGGCAAAAGCTCCAATGAAGGCTTGTCTGGGAAAACTCTTTTAGCCTCATGTCAATTTCTATTACACTGAGAGCCCCCAGAACTTATAGTTGGTAACACCTCTATAGGATACTTACACAGTACATTACACATTCTAAACACAGAGTAAGTATTTGTTAAGGTTGTTATTGTCTAATTCATTTCTTAAAGTCACTGTACACTTTATACTCTATAGTGTACAGTACAGGAGTAGTGTACAGGGCAGTGTACAGTACAGGAGTAGTGTACAGGGCAGTGTACAGTACAGGAGTCCATCTACCTCCTTTGTTCAACTGCATTGTAAAAGGGAGTGCCTATTCCATACTCCAACAAATTCATATACCCCCAGTAGCTCCCAGTTCTTATACTTGAGCCATTATTTCCTTCACCAACATAAAGCTGATTCTTTTTCAAAACAAAAACAGAAAAAGTAAAAAAAAAAAAAAAGAAGAAAAAGAAAGCAAATTGATTTCATGCAAATTGTCCTAATTTTATCCAGAGAGTTCCAAATCCCCTGTTGCTTTAAGGCTTTCTAAGGGGCAAGAGTCAAAACAGAAAATGGAAGAAGAGATCACATTTTCCCTGAAAAACAAAGCCATACTCCCTACCCCCATCCAAAGCCTCTGTTGCCCTCAGGCCTAAAGAATCCAAGGGACTAAAAGCTTCAGAGACCACCTGCTATGCTGAAGCAGGCCTGACAACTTCCAACCACAGACAGTTGGAAATCAAGTTGTGTGGCATTTAAAGTAAGCACCTTATTTCTATGGCAGATGTTTTTGTCAAAAAAAAAAAATCCATCCTATAAACAAAAATAGAACTCTGTGTGGTAAGGAAAATGCCTGGGAGAATCCCCTCAGGTTTACTTTTCAAAAATCATTTGTCCTCATCCAAACCTTTGTCCTAATATCATAAGCTTCCTTTAAAAAAATTAAATAACATAAACATTGCTGAGTAACTAAGTGTTCATCACAGCCTATTTATGGCATTTTGATTGGAGTTGTTATCCCAAATCAGTGTACTACAGATTTCAAAATCGTTTTTAAAAAATAGTAGAAAAATCTAAATATGGAAGATGAAAAACACTGAAAACTTCTTATAATCAAAGTATGCATAGATAATAAGAGCAGATGTGTTACAACATTTTCTAAATAGTCAATCCCAAAAAAGAAAAAAAGGCCAGCATTAAACTATAACCCTCTGCATAAAAGATTTATTAAGTCTGAATTCAGAAATAGTTACACATACTAACGTATGCACGTACATCTGCCACACACTTCCTGAGCAGCACCAGGTAGACCATACAACAAGAATAAGCAAGGCTGAGATTACCCTATGATTGGTGTGGTTTTTCAAGTAAAGCATGGGAAGTGTACAATAATTGACAAGGAACAGGAAAAAATGTCATGGAGAACAAGGTAGTGTCAGGGATGGATTGAAAGAGAAGAGTAAAAATTGTATCACACAATGGTGGCAGGGACATGAAGACACAACTGAAAGCAAAACTTTTGAGGGTAAAGAAGACAGCCATCAAGAAAGAACCAAAGTAAGAAAGAGCTGCAACCGTGGGGAAAGTGGGAGTTGTATAAGAAAGATGATGACCCACCGCAGCTCAGCAAGGCCACTGCGGCCAGACTGCCTCTCCAGATTCCTCCTCTCTGGGCAGGCCATCTCTGAAAAAAAGGCAGTAGCCCCAGTCAGGGACTTACAGATAAAAGCCCCATCTCCCTGGGACAGAGCACCTGGGGGAAGGGGCAGCTGTGGGCGCAGCTTCAGCAGACTTAAACGTCCCTACCTGACAGCCCTGAAGAGAGCAGCAGATCTCCCAGCACAGTGTTTGAACTCTGATAAGGGACAGACTGCCTCCTCAAGTGGGTCCCTGACCCCCATGTATCCTGACTGGAAGACACCTCCCAGTAGGGGCTGACAGACAACTCATACAGGATAGCCCTGGCTCGCATCTGGCGGGTGCCCCTCTGGGACAAAGCTTCCAGAGGAAGGAACAGGCTGCAATCTTTGCTGTTCTGCAGCCTCCACTGGTGATACCCAGGCAACAGGGTCTGGAGTGGACCTCCAGCAAACTCCAGCAGACCTGCAGCAGAGGGGCCTGACTGTTAGAAGGAAAACTAACAAACAGAAAGGAATAGTATGAACATCAACAAAAAGGACATCCACTCAGAGACCCCATCCGAAGGTCACTAACATCAAAGACTAAAGGTAGATAAATACATGAACAGGGGGAGAAACCAGCGCAAAACGACTGAAAATTCCAAAAACCAAAATGCCTCTTCTCCAAAGGATCACAACTCCTCACCAGCAAGGGAACAAAACTGGATGGAGAATGAGTTTGACGAATTGACAGAAGTAGGCTTCAGAAGGTGAGTAATAACAAACCCCTCCAAGCTAAAGGAGCATGTTCTAAATCAATGCAAGGAAGCTAAGAACCTTGAAAAAAGGTTAGACGAATTGCTAACTAGAATAATCAGTTTAAAGAAGAACACAAATTACCTGATTGAGCTGAAAAACACAGCACAAGAACTTCGTGAAGCATACACAAGTATCAATAGCCGAATCGATAAAGCAGAAGAAAGGATATCAGAGATTGAAGATCAACTCAATGAAATAAAGCAAGAAGACAAGATTAGAGAAAAAAGAGTGAAAAGAAACAAACAAAGCCTCCAAGAAATACGGGACTATGTAAAAAGACCAAATCTATGTTTGATTGGTGTATCTGAAAGTGACGGGGAGAATGGAACCAAGTTGGAAAACAATCCTCAGGATATTATCCAGGAGAACCTCCCCAAACTAGCAAGACAGGCCAGCATTCAAATTCAGGAAATACAGAGAACACCACAAAGATAATCCTCAAGAAGAACAACCCAAAGACACATAATCGTCAGATTCACCAAGGTTGAAATGAAGCAAAAAATGTTAAGGGCAGCCAGAGAGAAAAGTCAGGTTACCCACAAAGGGAAGCCCATCAGACTGACAGCAGATCTCTCTGCAGAAACCCTACAAGACAGAACAGAGTGGGGGCCAATATTCAACATTCCTAAAAAAAGAATTTTCAATCCAGAATTTCCAATCCAGCCAAACTAAGCTTCATAAGCAAAAGAGAAATAAAATCCTTTACAGACAAGCAAATGCTGAGAGATTTTGTCACCACCAGGCCTGTCTTACAAGAGCTCCTGAAGGAAACACTAGACATGGAAAAGAACAACCAGTACCAGCCACTGCAAAAACATACCACATGGTAAACACCATCAACACTATTAAGAAACTGCATCAACTAACGGGCAAAATAAACAGCTAGCATTATGATGACAGGATCAAATTCACACATAACAATATTAACCTTAAATGTAAATGGGCTAAATGCCCCCAGTTAAAGACACAGACTGGCAAATTGGATACTGAGTCAAGACCCATTGGTGTGCTGTATTCAGGAGACCCATCTCACATGCAAAAGACACACATAGGCTCAAAATAAAGAAATGGAGGAATATTTTCCAAGCAAATGGAAAGCAAAAAAAAAAAAGCAGGGGTTGCAATCCTAGTCTTCAATAAAACAGACTTTAAACCAACAAAGATCAAAAGAGACAAGGGCATTACATAATGGTAAAGGGATCAATGCAACAAGAAGAGCTATCTATCCTAAATATATATGCACTCAACACAGGAGCACTCAGATTCATAAAGCAAGTTCTTATAGACCTACAAAGAGACTTACACTCCCACAGAATAACAGTGGGAGACTTTAACACCTCACTGTCAATATTAGACAGATCAATGACACAGAAAATAAACAAGTGTATCCAGGGCGTGAACTCAGCTCTGGAACCAGCAGACCTAATAGACATCTACAGAACTCTCCACCCCAAATCGACAGAATATATATTCTTCTCAGGAACACATCGCACTTATTCTAAAATTGACCATATAATTGGAAGTAAAACACTCTTCAGCAAATGCAAAAGAACAGAAATCAAAACAAACAGTCTCTCAGACCACAGTGCAATCAAATTAGAACTCAGGATTAAGAAACTCCCTCAAAACCACACAACTACATGGAAACTGAATCCTGAATGACTACTGGGTAAATAACAAAATTAAGGGAAAAATAAATATGTTCTTTGAAACCAATGAGAACAAAGACAAAACATACCAGAATCTCTGGGACACATTTAAAGCAGTGTGTAGAGGGAAATTTACAGCATGAAATGCCTACAAGAGAAAGCAAGAAAGATCTAAAATCGATACCCTAACATCACAATTAAAAGAACTAGAGAAGCAAGAGCAAACAAATTCAAAAGCTAGCAGAAGACAAGAAATAACTAAGATTAGAGCAGAACTGAAGGAGATAGAGACATGAAAAACCCTTCAAAAAAAACCAATGAATCCAGGAGCTGGTTTTTTGAAAAGATGAACACAATAGATAGACCACTAGCCAGACTAATAAAGAAGAAAAGAAAGAAGAATCAAATAGACGTAATAAAAAATGATAAAGGGGAGATCACCAACAATCCCACAGAAATACAAACTACATCAGAGAATACTATGAACACCTCTATGCAAATAAACTAGAAAATCTAGAAGAAATGGATAAATTCCAGGACACATACACCCTCACAAGACTAAACCAGGAAGAAGGCGATTCCCTGAATAGACCACTAACAAGTTCTGAAATTGAGGCAGTAATTAATAGCCTAAAAATATCCGAGGACCAGACAGATTCACAGTCGAATTCTACCAGAGGTACAAAGAGGAGCTGGTACCATTCCTTCTGAAACTATTCCAAACAATAGAAAAAGAGCGAATCCTCCCTAACTCATTTTACGAGGCCAGCATTATCCTGATACCAAAACCTGGCAGAGACACAACAAAAAAAGAAAATTTCAGGCCCATATCCCTGATGAACATTGATGCGAACACCTTCAATAAAATACTGGCAAACCGAATCCAACAGCACATCAAAAAGCTTATCCACTACAATCAAGACAGCTTCATCCCTGGGATGCAAGGCTGGTTCAACATACGCAAATCAATAAATGTAATCCATCACATAAACAGAACCAATGACAAAAACGACATGATTATCTCAACAGATGCAGAAAAGGCCTTTGACAAAATTCAACAGCACTTCATGCTAAAAACTCTCAATAAACTAGGTATTGATGGGACGTAGCTCAAAATAATAAGAGCTACTTATGACAAACCCACAGCTAATATCATACTGAATGGGCAAAAACTGGAAGCATTCCCTTTGAAAACCAGCAAAAGACAAGGATGCCCTCTCTCACCACTCCTATTCAACATAGTATTGGAAGTTCTGGCCAGGGCAATCAGGCAGGAGAAAGAAATAAAGGGTATCAATTAGGAAAAGAGGGAGTCAAATTGTCTCTGTTTGCAGATGACATGATTATATATTTAGAAAACCCCATTGTCTCAGCCCAAAATCTCCTTAAGCTGATAAACAACTTCAGCAAAGTCTCAGGATACAAAATCAATGTGCAAAAATCACAAGCATTCCTATACACGAATAACAGAGAGCCAAACCATGAGTGAACTCCCATTCACAATTGCTACAAGGAGAATAAAATACCTAGAAATACAACTTACAAGGGATGTGAAGGACCTCTTCAAGGAGAACTACAAACCACCGCTCAAGGAAATAAGACAGGATACAAACAAATGGAAAAACATTCCATGCTCACGGATAGGAAGAATCAATATCGTGAAAATGGCCATACTGCCCAAAGTAATTTATAGATTCAATGCTCTCCCCATCAAGCTACCACTGACTTTCTTCACAGAATTGGAAAAAAACTACCTTAAATTTCATATGGAACAACAAAAGAGCCTGCATAGCTAAGACAATCCTAAAAAAAAGAACAAAGCTGGAGGCATCATGGTACCTGACTTCAAACTATACTGCAAGCCTACAGTAACCAAAACAACATGGTACTGGTACCAAAACAGATATATAGACCAATGGAACAGAATAGAGACCTCAGAAATAACACCGCATATCTACAACCATCTGATCTTTGACAAACCTGACAAAAACAAACAATGGGGAAAGGATTCCTTATTTAATAAGTGGTGTTGGGAAAATTGGCTAGCCATAAGCAGAATGCTGAAATTGGATCCCTACCTTACATTTTATACAAAAATTAACTCAAGATGGATTAAAGACTTAAACGTAAGATCTAAAACCATAAAAACGCTAGAAAAAAACCTAGGCAATAACATCCAGGACATAGGCATGGGCAAAGACTTCATGACTAAAACACCAAAAGCAATGACAACAAAAGCCAAAATTGACAAATGAGATCTAATTAAACAAAAGAGCTTCTACACAGCAAAAGAAACTATCATCAGAATGAACAAGCAACCTAAAGAATGAGAGAAAATTTTTGCAACCTATCCATCTGACAAAGAATCTACAAAGAATTTAAACAAATTTACAAGAAAAAAACAACCCCATCAAAAAGTGGGCAAAGGATATTAACAGACACTTCTCAAAAGAAGACATTTATGCAGCCAAAAAGCATGAAAAAAAGCTCATCATCACTGGTCATTAGAGAAATGCAAATCAAGACCACAATGGGATACCATCTCATGCCAGTTAGAATGGCGATCATTAAAAAACAGATCAGGAAACAACAGATGCTGGAGAGGATGTGGAGAAATAGGAATGCTTTTACACTGTTGGTGGGAGTGTAAATTGGTTCAACCATTGTGGAAGACAGTGTGGTGATTCCTCAAGGATCTAGAACTAGAAATACCATTTGACCCAGCAATTCCATTACTGGGTATATACCCAAAGGATTATAAATCATTCTACTATAGATACATGAACATGTATGCTTACTGTGGCACTTTTCACAATAGCAAAGACTTGGAACCAACCCAAATGCCCATCAGTGATAGACTGGATAAAGAAAATGTGGCACATATACAGCATGGAATACTATGCAGCCATAAAAAGGATGAGTTCATGTTGTTTGCAGGGACATGGATGAAGCTGGAAACCATCATTCTCAGCAAACTAACACAGGAACAGAAAACCAAACACTGCATGTTCTCATTCGTAAGTGGGAGCTGAACAATGAGAACACATGGACACAGTGGGGTGGGGGCATCACAAAAAAAAAAAAGAAAGATGATTAATATCTGACAGCCACCTCAGAAGCCCCCAATGTCAGAAACACAGGACACTGGAAGGGTGTCTCATTGACACTGGTAGGTCAATGAAATAAGACACATATTTCAATTTCAATCACTATAGTCTATACAATTTTAAACACATAAGTACTGCCATATAACTAACTCGGTCCTCCTAGAAGCCATTCCAGAGTAGAATTTCACACTTCCTCTAATGTGGGAAAAGACAGAAATCCTAACGGAAAAAGATGGTAAGTGGCTGGGCGCTGTGGCTCATGCCTGTAACCCCAGCCCTTTGGGAGGCCAAGGCGGGTGGTTCACGAGGTCAGGAGATCGAGACCATCCTGGCTAAAACGGTGAGACCCCATCTCTACTAAAAATACAAAAAATTAGCCGGGCGTGGTGGTGGGCGCCTGTAGTCCCAGCTACTCAGGAGGCTGAAGCAGGAGAATGGCATGAACCCGGGAGGCAGAGCTTGCAGTGAGCCGAGATCGTGCCACTGCACTCCAGCCTGGGCCACAGAGCGAGACTCCGTCTCAAAAAAAAAAAAAAAAAAAAAAAAAAAAAAAGGAAAAAGATGATAAGTTTAACTACTTGCAAAAATATCTATATAAACCATTCAAAACAATAGGCTAGGAGAACATATCTACAAGAATATCTAATAAATAAAGGTTTAATATCCCATTACATAAAGGGTTCCTGCAAGTCAATAAAAAAGACAATCCAATTAAAAAACAGCCAAAAGGAAATGAAAAGACAATTCACAGAAGTAACCAATAAACATGAGGAAGAAAATACCCTTACTCATGGTTAAAAACTTAAAAGTCAAAGTAAATAATGTCACATGATATGCAAAATTTTTCATGTTAAAAAGCCATTGTGGATGAAGTTAGGAGGCTAATACCAAGATTATGAATTAGCGACGTTATTTGAATCAACTTGGCAATATCTATCTAAATTTAAAACAAACATGCATTTTGACCTTGCAAGCATAATACCAAGGATTTGTCCTGCAGAGATACTGACATAATGAAGCAAAGATATCCACACAGTTAATTACAGATACATAGCTGTTCACTGCCACCCTGTTTGTAATGGTTTAAAAACAAATTGAAGTAGGCCAGGTGTGGTGGCTCATGCCTGTAATCCCAGCACTTTGGGAGGCCGAGGCAGGCCGATCACGAGGTTAGGAGATCGAGACCATCCTGGCTAACATGGTGAAACCCCGTCTCTACCAAAAATACAAAAAAAAAATTAGCCCGGCGTGGTGGCGGGTGCCTGTAGTACCAACTACTTGGGAGGCTGAGGTGGGAGAATGGCATGAATCCGGGAGGCAGAGCTTGCAGTGAGCCGAGATTGTGCCACTGCACTTCAGATTGGACGACAGAGCAAGACTCCACCTCAAAAAAAAAAAAACAAATTGAAAAAAATCTAAATGTCCATGGGGCTCAATTAAATAAATGGTGGGTTAACCATATATTATGATGTGATTAAAAAGAATATCATAAATCTAATTTTGCCAAAAAAAGTTATCGGAGATTTTTTTTTTTTTTTTGAGACAGAATCTCACTCCATCGCCCAGGCTGGAGTGCAGTGGCACAATCTTGGCTCACTGCAACCTCCACCTCCTGAGTTCAAGTGATTCTCTTGCCTCAGCCTCCACAGTAGCTGGGATTACAGGCACCCACCACCACGCCTGGCTAATTTTGTAATTTTAGCAGAGGCAGGGTTTCGCCATGTTGGCCAGGTTGATCTCGAACTCCTGACCTCAAGTGATCCACCCCCTTCGGGCTCCCAAAATGCTGGGATTACAGGTGTGAGCCACCACTCCCGGGCTTAAGACACATTTTTATGTGAACAAAAAAGTTACAAAACTACAGATAGAACATGATTCTATTTGAGTTATTTCATGTATATACATAAATATACACTATATAAAAAGGGGTTCAGGGATACACCACCCCAAAGTATGGCACATTGACCTTTGAGGAAATATCAGAAGCAGGAATGACTCTCTGACCTCTCCCACCCTTCTCCCCTGAAGCAGGTCATAAAAGAATTACCTGACCTTCCTGTAACATAGGATGTAAGACTTTCATTCCAAAAGTGCCTTCCCTATGCCCAGGAAAAAAAAAAAAAAAAAAAAATCCTTATCCTCGAAGACACAGAGACACCAAGAGGAATCTGAGCAAACAAGCCTTGCTAAGTTCCCCTCAGCTTACCAATATTTGATCATATCCTTTTGCCATCCCATCATTCTTCTGCCCAACTGTACATAAAAATACACAGGTTTCCCCATGCTTTGGATCTTCACCTCTCTTTTTTTTTTTTTTTTTGAGTTGGGGGAGGGGCTTCTTCATTCTTAAGGCTCCTGTGTCACATAAAACTTACATTAAATAAATTTGTATGCTTTTCTCTTGTTAATTTGTATTTTGTTATAGGAGTCTCAGCTATGAACTTAGTGGTGGGTAAGGAAAGATATCTTTTCTCTTCTACAATAGGCTTGGAAATTTCTAGAATTTGTGGAAAGGAAATGGTATTTAAAGAGAAAGGGATGAGAGTAAATCCCACCTTAAAACCTTGTTGAGGCGTTTTCTTGTCTTTGCCATGAGCAAATATTGTTTTGAAAGTTTTAAAACATATATATGGGAGATGTTATATTCACTTTAAAATTCCATATAATTTGCAAGAGCTATCAAAATAAAATAATTGTCATTGCAACTCTGCCAACTGCAAGCCCAATAAAGCAAAAGAACACTGAACAACCTGGATTTAAATCCTGGAGTCACTTCTCAGTCACATTACCTTCTTTTCTACTTACTTAGTTAACTCTGAGCCAGTTTCTTCACATTTTAAGAGAATCGTGGTGAAGATTAAATGAAATAACATGTAAAGAGTGTCTTGCTCAATTTTGCATACACATTAGGCTTTCAACAAATACTAGTTTCTTTCCATTTTTTCTGAATGACATCAGAGCTCAGAAAATGCAGCGGCTCAAAGTAGTGGCAGATTCTCAGTTATCTGAAATTCTACAGCAGGACAATAAAACTGCTTCCAAATGTTGAAGGAATTTGCGTTTCTACACCATCCTAAGCAATGTGGCCTAATCCCATGGCATTAATTCCAATCCACACACAGATAACTCCAAATGTAAATCTCAAGCCCCATCCTTTGCCTTCAGTTCCAGACTTGCTCGTATAACTGCTGAAGATGACAAGCATTAATAAGATCTTAAACATCACATAAATCTTAAACCTGCTTTTCTTCAGCCTCTCCATCTCAGTAAATGGTTCCAGCATCCCCTAATTATTTAAAATCCAAACCAAAGATTCATGATTGTTTCCTTTCTCCATCCTTCACAGTCTTGACTCTCCATTTGCAATAACCCACATCTGCCATTTGTCTCCATCAATCTGGTGACCCCCTTTCTCAATGTCACAGCCAATATGGTATTTTTAAATGGTCAAGTAGACGTCTCAAATACTCCAGCAACCTCCCACTGGGAGCGTAATTAATCCCAAACTCCTCGCCAGGGGCCTGCATGGTCTCTTTCCAGCCTCTCCCTCCTGCCCTTCTTTCCAAAGATCACTAGACTCTGCACAGTTCCCCAGCACACTTTGCACTCGCTGTACTCGCTGTTTCTTTTCCCTGAAATACTTGCTTCTCAGCTATGTGTATGCCTTACTCCTTTTTTATATTCAGGTGAAGATTAAGTAATTTAAAGGGACAAGTCCTGTCCACCCAATCTAAAGCAGCCTCCTAGTTAACTACTATTAACAGTCATTTTCTTCATTTCCTGTCACTGTTCACTAAAATGTAAGCTCCGTAAGGACAGAAATGTTTTATCATCCCATGATTTTCTGTGCCTAGACGAATGCCTGCCACACAGCAGTAACTACATACATTTTTGTTCACTGGACTAATGAATTGGTGGTTCAACAAACAGATCTAAAGGAGATCCCCAACTCTTGTTGGTTGCCTTTTAAAAAATTAAAGAGTATTTTAAGAATAAAAGCAGAGACTGATTTGTGGTTATCTCAGAGCCAGTGAATTTTAGCATTTAAAGCTAAGATCTGATGAAGAGCCAACACAAATGGTAAAAAATGATAATGGTTAGCTTAGATTTTAATCGATTTGTGTTACTTGTGCTAATACCAAAGAACTTGATTTGAAAGTGTTTTATTAGATCAATCAGAATATAGTGGAGTCACCCAGCTGGCTGCAAACTTATCCAGTCAAAATATCTTCCAGAACTTCAAGTTTCAAAATAGATAAACTTCCTAAATCAGGTCTTTGGGCTGCCTGCAAGAGTCTGCCATATTTTAGGCTCCTCTAGTTTTCTGAGAATTAACCCTTCCTTTGGCATATACCGTCTACATTTTCTTCTTTCTGACTCCGGCACTGTAGTTAATCACACAAAGGTGAGGCTCTTAACACTAAATCTGTATATTTGTTTACATTATGAGAAACAGAGAAAAGACTTTATACAAAAATGGTGGCAACTATGATTGATTCTGGCTTAGAGGGTTAAGGATAATTCATATTCTTCTTTATTCTCTTCCCTGTTTTCCAATAAACAAGTAACATTTTACAAATAAATACAGTTTTTAAAAACTTCTTAAACTAGTACCTAATATCCTATGTACCCAAAAGGAATAAGAACTAAAAAAGAGACTTGAAAATTAAAAGACAGACACTAAACTTCTTTCATATGATTGAAGAAATTTTTGGAATTTAAGATATTCTTTTATGGCTCACCACAGAAACTACTTCTAATTTTTAATTTTTTAGGGAAAAATTTATTATTCTTAAAAGTTGTTTATCTAACCCTAAAATTCTGATCCAAATTTATTATTAAAAATCAAACTGGTCCACATTTAAGTCACCTTTGCCTGACTTACAGCCACAGCAATGCATTAAGGGAACAAAATTCTCGGTATTTTGGTAATTTCACAGGACCACGGCAGTAGACTCAGAGTAGATGCTTGACAAATAATAAAATACAAGCCTTAAATATGAGATGGCACTCTTGCATATTACTGATTATATTATTAATGCTAACATCACTAGGATCCTAGTGTAATGCTAGGATCATTGCCAAGTTTAAGTACACTGTGTTTAAATATGATGCATGCACTTGAAGCAGTAGAACCTCAATTCAACAAAAAGCACTGAGGCAGCATACTTGTCAACATCCGGGAGATGTAGGAGCTTTGCCTGGACTCCGGCTCTCCCAGACGTGGGTCACTACAACATTCAGTACAGGAATGAACAATGTATCGAACTGTTATCCTGTAAGGCTGCTTCCCTGAAGGATTGTTCACAGAGGAAAATTATGTCGCAATCTGCATGCTATTTTGAATTTTCATAACTGATTCAGCACTCCAATTGCTGATAAGTACCGTAATCAGAAATCTTTTTCCTCCCACAGAACAAGAACAATTCAAACATCAGAATTTATCCCCACAATCCAGATCTGAAAAATGAAAAAGCAACAACTAGACCTACATCTTCTTTAAATCTCAAAGAAACATTTGCTCTGTGCAAGACAGTGCTATTCTAATGATAGAGGAAACTTCTGATGAATAATGCAGAAGCACCTGTGGACATTTAGGCACTAGTGGCCATTTAAATGCTCTTTCCCTACGTGAACAAGTGACCACAAGAACTCCTTTTTTTTTTTTTTTTTGTCTTGAAGCACTTGACTCAGAAACATAAAAATAGTCAAGATTGGTTTAACTGAAATCACACTTCTGTGTGATCTGTATGCATCCTTTCTTTTGTTCCAGAAATGTGAGGATCCAAGGTTTTAAACCTAAGCCAGTCTGGCCAGCTTGACTCATCCAGGACATCTTTCAGTAGTTTCACAGTGGCCATCAGCTCTGTCAGACACCGGACATGGCTTGAAAGGGCCATGTCAGCAAGTGATCATTATTGTGTCTGAAAAGAGCTGTGCTTGATGGCTGAAATATTACAACTACCAAAAAGCTACAAGTGGAAACTCCATAGAATCAGCTCATTTGTAGTCACAGAATACTCTATTCCTACCCACTTTCACACACGCTACTCCCTATATCTCCATATCAAGAAAAAAGTCCTGTCTTCTTTAAGTCAATTACCATGCTTTAATCCAGAATTTGGAATTATTCAGGGAAACCAAATCAAGTATCTATTACCTTCTAGAGCCATCATCATATCCATGAACAAATCAGCTGTAAAGCGGTTTATCTTTGGGGATTAAATACTTTCCAGTCCAAAATGCAGTTTTTAAAATGCAATTTTTGCCTTCTCTTCTGTATTGAGATGACTAGGCCTATGTCAATTTAACTGTGTCTCTATAAAGTCATGCAAATGTAGGCACTTTAAAATGACTGCTCACAAAAAAATTGTTAAGAGCTCTGCTTAAAAATCTTGCAAATAAAAAAAACAGTTCCTCATACAATTTTTCTAAATGGTGGTGAGGGAGTGTTCTTAAAGTTATATCCTGATTTATGGAAATCTTTTATTAGTAAACTAAAGAGGATGGTCTGCACATGATCTGTAATATTATTATTATGAATGCTCATGGCAATTACATTAGAGAAGTAATCCTCATTTGAATTTCTGATATTAATAAAAAGCTCATTTCCAACTTGCCAAATTCCCAGGCTATGCTGATCTCCAAAGCCTATCCCACTTAGACACACACACACACATCAAAATTCTTTTCTGAAAAAGAAAAATCACTTTCCCTCCTACTACTAACATTGCCAATGAGGTCAGTGGTTGACCATAACGTATTTCCAGATTTTTCCCTTCCCTGAGTGTGAAGAACTCAAGTTTTTCTCTTTTTACCATGATAAATCCTATTGCAGGGGCTGGAGGTGAGACAGTCAGGAGACGTTTTAGATCATGAGGAGGGTCACCCTGGAGGGGAGAAAGGGGGCTACAGCTCCCATTGCTGAGGGCACCAAGACCTACCTACTTGTTAGATCCCCACCTTCTCAAATGTATCATAGTCCAAGCATGGAGATGCTCTAAGAGGCTATGCAGTTTCGAGGTCATAATCTTATTTTGATTATTGTATATCTGCTTCTGCACTGGTAATATGCTCCTTGAAACAGTTTAGTTTTCTTCAAAAAAAAAAAAACCTACTCTTTCCTGTTTCCTTCACTGTTTCTTTCAGCACTTATTATATAACATCACACACACACACACACACACACACACACACACACAAACATAAACACACCTACTTGCATTATTATTTCCGTCTCTCCTGCTGGAATGTAAGTTCCATGAGGGTAAGAATTTTTATATGCTTTTATTACTGCTATATCTCCCATACCTGCCAGTGTTTGGCAAGAGGTAAATGCTAAGTAGTTGATGAATAAATCAAAAGATAAATTATAGCAGAAACTCCATGGTGGGCCAGGTGCGCTGGCCCACGCCTATAATGCCAACACTTTGGGAGGTTGAGAGGGGGCAGATCACTTGAGGCCGGGAGTTCGAGATCAGCCTGGCCAACATGGCCAACCCCATCTCTACTAAACTACAAAAATTAGCCGGGTATGGTGGTGCATGCCTGTAATCCCAGCTACTCAGGAGGCTGAGGCACGAGAACCACTTGAAGCCAGTAGGCAGAGTTTGCAATGAGCCGCACCACTGCACTCCTCCCTCAGCAACAGAGCGAGACTCTGTCTCAAAAAACAAACAAACAAAACAACTCCATGGTGAAGCATTCCTGACTCCATCTTTTTTTTTAACTTAAAGGTATTATAGGCTGCAATCCACGTCTCCTCTAAATTCCTTTGAGTTGTTCTAACAGCATCAATAACTAAGCCTAAAGCAGACTCCCTACTGCTTACCATCCACGGGTGCCAAGAAAACTTGCATTTCAATATCAAGTTAATTTAACTGTGAAAATAATTTCATGTATCCTTCCAAAATAATCACCCTAATTTCTTCAAGTCAAAACAACTCAGAAAATAAGATGTTTGTGACCAAAAGAGGGCTGTAAGAGCCTGGCCTTCACAGCCCCTCCAACCAAGAAACAGCAGCAGCGTGTTGCTCTGTTACACCTGTGCCCTTAGAAAAGGTTCAGACTGTGCTTAACTGCGCTGCCTACTGGTAACCATCAAATGAGGAATAAGCATTGCGCAAGGTAGTTTTGGGGGAAAAGCCTCTTTTCCCCCAAATCAATAGCATTACCCTTCCCATTTTCCCAGAGGCCTCACTGTGGTGAGTGGGACTGAAACCATGGGGCTTCAGGTCACCATGACCAACAGAGGGCAATGGAGCTGGTTGCTGAGCACTTACAGGACAGTGGGGACTAAATGAAGACTGAAGGATCCACCCATAAGGGGGCCAGAGGTTCCCTCACTGTCTAGAACAACTGGCTGAAGCCTGGCTCTGGGCTCCAGAGGCTGGAGAAAACTGCTTCTCTCAGAACTGCTGCTTAAGTAAGCAGGGCCCAGGAGGCATGAGAAAGTAAACCCAGCCCCTCTACCAAAAGCCAAACCAAGCCTCATGCCAGAAAGCTCACAGAAAGAAAGGGAGAACTGCGGGCAGAGAAAGGTGTTCAGGGACCAGCTATGTTCTTAAAGTTGTATTTCTTTAAATGACAGAGTGGAGGACTGGATACCTGGGTGATTCCTATACTATTCTTTGACTTGGCTATACAGTTGAAATGTTCCATATGGCAAGAGTGGTTCATGGGTAAAAGCGTGAACTATGAAGGCTGTGGGTCTTGGAAAAGATAGTTAACTTCCCTGGACTGGACTCACTTCCTTCATCTGTAACTGGGCATGATAATGTTGTCTGTTTGATGGGACTGTGGTGAGGATTCAATGAATTAATGTAAGAAAAGTGCTGAGGACAATCTCTAACACATAATAATGGCAGACTCAACGTGTCATTCATTTCTTAATTAAAAAAAAAAAAACTAAAATCTCTCAGCTCTATTGCCAGCTACACTCACTCATATGACCTCATTCAGCCCCCATCTCTTTTTCCTTTCCATCTACTTGTCACAAACTCCAGCACCCAAAATGCCTAGTCATAGTTCTTTTTATACTCATAGGTACTTCTCAAGCCCTGCAGCTTGCATCTCCTCCATCTGGACATTTCAGTAAACTTTCAAGGCTGAAAGCAGAGCACTGAGGAATTAAAAAAGACTGTGCAACCCCTCAGCCACAGCCTCCAATGGTTACTGATGATCCATAACCTACAGCCTGCTCTGAGAGGACTATGCACATTGTGCACTTGCCTCAAGACTCAAAACAAGATTCAGACTTGATTTAACCTACCCCTTCTGAAGGTTAGAAATATCCCATATCTCAAAACAAAGGCAGTCTTTACAGCTGCAGTACACCTTATTTTTGTGACATATGCTTCTTCTTAAACATTTGGCTCACTGAGCAAATCCTACAGAGATCAGTTCATTCCTTCTAGTAGTCTTTTTGCTTGCAAGTCTAAGAGCTGCCACCTGATGAAAAGCCATGCCTTGCGGTAGAGCATTGCATGGGAAATTGATTCTTAAACATCTAATTAATTACTGATTTTCCTTAAAAATTGAACTCCTTATTAAAATATCATATATGCTTTGAATGATTGCAAATTACTGTTTAGATACTTTTGGCTGCAAATAAGAGAACGACAAATTGCTTAAAAGATAAAGAATTTTTAAATCCCATATAAGAAATTTGGAAGGCAGTAAAATTAGTTTATTTAGCAATTGAATAATTCATTGAAAATCCAAGTTTCTTCCATGTTTCTACTCTAATCATCATAAACGCATAGGTTGACAGATGGCTGTAGCAGCTCCAGGCATCATAGCCTCAAATCATTTCATCGTATCTTTTTTAAGAGGAAAGAAAACTTTTTCAAAAGTGCCCCAACTTCCCCAACTTCCCTCACATCTCACTGGCCAGCATTGTGTCACTTGTTCCTACCTACTCCAATCATTCAGCAGGAAACTGGAATAACCAATGTGATCAAGATTCACCCAGGACTAGGCAGATAACCTAGACTTCCCTGGAATAGGATTAACCTGTTGAGGCGCTGTTTTAAAAAAAGGGAAAATGTAGTCAATGTTTTGTTGTTGTTGCTGTTGTTGTTGTTTTTATTGTTGCTATTAGGGAAAAAAGTGAATATAGCAAATTTAAATCAAGATATCATTTTGGGAAATTTTTTAAGGGGAAGCTTCTAGGTGCTATTTAACTTTTTCAACTACAACTAAGTAGTTAGATTTTGTAGGCCAGGCGCGGTGGCTCTCGCCTGTAATCCCAGCACTTTGGGAGGCTGAGGCGGGTGGATTACCTGAGGTCAAGAGTTCAAGACCAGCTGGCTAACATGGAGAAACCCCGTTTCTACTAAAAATACAAAAAAATAGCTGGGTGTGGTGGCTCACACCTGTAATCCCAGCTACTCAGGAGGCTGAGGCAGGAGAATCACTTGAACCCGGAGTGGAGGTTGCAGTGAACCGAGATCACGCCATTGCACCCCAGCTTGGGCAACAAGAGTGAAACTCCATCTCAAAAAAAAAAAAATTAGATTTTGTGTCTCAGCGTGATTCCATGCCAATCTGCAAACTATTTGTGATGAGTACAAAATGAGATAAGTATGCTTATCTCACATAAGTGTAGATATATTGAAAAAAATTAGAAAACTTTTATAACAATTAGATAGTCTAATTTTATATTTGTTAAATCTAATAAAACTTTGGAGCTTATATTTTTTATGTCTCGGTTTTTTACTTTTAGTAATTGATTTTTACTGTAGTCCACAAAATTATCAGTCTGTAATGGACTGGAAATTGGAACAACAACAAAACAGTCATTCACTAGAGATAGATCACCCTATCCAACTTCTCTAATTTTTGTGTAAATTATATACTTTTAGAACAGCTTAAAGCTCAGCAGCTTTTCCCCCCAAACTGATTGGACCGTAAGCCTTTGACAGCTAAAGATACAGTCTGAACATTGTAAACTATACCTGGATGCAGAAATTATATTAAAAAATAAAACTGACTAGGATAAATTAATGAGCCCTCAGTCAGAGGTCCATTTCCCTGTGGACTACTCAGTGCCAGAAGAGGCTAAACCCTTAACTTTGGCCAGCCCCTGGGCACAACATCAAGTAAAAAGGAATTCGAAAGTTCTATATGACTTTGGCCAGGCCAGCATTATTAGAAAAACATGGTAGGTCCTGTCCTAATAAAAGATGAGAAAAGTCCTAAGGATGAGCAAAATAAAATGCCATGTAGATAAGGATCCATATCTGTAGATAAGGAATCGATTCAAAGTTCATATTATTTTTTCCTCGAAGTGGGAAAATATTACCTACATTCAATTAGCACTTTTGCCCTTTTGCTATGGAAAATGCGTTTTGTGAGTAGTCCCTTATCATTTTTATTTCCTCAGACAGCAAATTAATTCTTATACTTCTCTACAGAGGACAGGACAAACTTGTAGTTAATATTGAAGATTAGGAAATGACCTTAGCCACAATTATCATACATCAATAACACTTTCCCAAAACCCAAGAAAGAACCTCTCACCTACTTTAGTATGTTTACTCAGTGGATTTAAAGTAACCTTTCAAATCACCAACTGCAAAGACAACATTCCACCTCAAAATGTATTCAAAGTGGGCTCTTGAATTGCGCTTTTATGGAATTAACCTACCATCTTCTTATGAAAAAGTCACCTGACATCCCTGGGTGCACTAGCCAGTGCACAAAGGAAGCAAGGGGTTCAACAGTTAGGAAGACAGTTTGCACACGATCTGCACATGTTTACCGTCAAATCAAAGCTTGATGATAAACATCACTCAGCTTTGGCACATCTACTGATGGCATTTGTTGGTGGATTATGCTTTCTTCCCCTTATTTATTTCACAATGGTTATCATGGCACAGCTTTCCAAATGATGTTTTTAAGTGTTCAGTTGTAAGAATGCAAGTTCAAGTATGCTTTCTTCCTCACTACAAGAGAATATGATTTCAAATATTCAACAAATTGGTTTACCTAATGGTCTCTTTGGAGGGGTCTCCCACTATTCTACTACCCACTATCACCCCAATAAATACTCTAGTGATATAACCCCTTCAACAGTTATCATCATTGAACTTTAAAAACATAACACCATATACCTTTAACCATGTACATGTTCCCCACCAGTTTCCACAAAGAGCTAAATTTAAGCCTGCTATAAGAGAGAATCGAAATTTGGTTTGCTTTCTTTTAGACTCTGCTACATAGACTTTAAACATGCAGAAGAGCTGACTTTGCCAACAAAGCTCATCCTTCTTTTTTCCAAAGCAGCCAGCTGTGACTTCATTTTGGATTTAGGCTATGATTTTTCTGATTTTTCTCTTTGCATGTGAATGTTTATTTGTGAAGTCTTGAACTTCAAGCTACTTCCAACTCTAGAAATGATTTGGGCAAGCTGCCATGTTTATAATCTTAGAGCCTCCAGCTTCCCAGATAATACAAACTCTCTTGTTATTTAATTAATGTCAAACTCATAATGTCATGCAACATTGCTGTTAGATTTCTATTTTTCTAACATGTCTATTCTCCTAGTTACTCCTAACTAGAATGAGTAAACCTTCTGAATAAATCAGAGACATCTTTACAGGCAAATGATTAAAGGGTTTGACTGCCTGCCATAATATTGGAACAAGATCTGGGGGAAAATATTAATGAATAAAGGATTATAACCCTGGACAAGCAAGCAAATGTAGCTTAAATATATAACAGTTTCCCCCAAAAAGTAAACTGGACTTTATACTATATATAATTATATTATATTCCATGCATCTCTATATTACAGCACCTTAAACAGTGTAGATAACTAGTAAATATCGGTTAAATAAATGAGTAAATGAAAAAAATTGACAAGATATACCACCTTGTTGGAAAGATAGGTTCTTGGCTGCCTTAAGCTTCCCATAAATAAACCAGGGGCCAGGGGTGGTGCTCACACCGGTAATGTCAGCACTTTGGGAGGCCAACGCGGGAAGATCACTTGAGCCCAGGAGTTCGAGACCAGCCTGGGAAAAATGGTGAAACCTTGTCTCCACAAAAAATAAAAAATACTTAGCCTGGAGTGGTGGTGCAAGCCTATGGTCCCAGCTGCAGAGGAGGCTTAGGCAGGAGGATCACTTGAGCCCAGGAGGTTAAGGCTGCAGTGGGGCACGTTCATGTAACTGCATTCCAGGCTGGGCTACAGAGCAAAACCCTGTCTCAAAAAATAAATAAATAAGCAATGTATATGGCAATCACAGTCCTCGGTACCAAAGACCAAACTCCAAGCCTATATGAAGACATCTGATGTTATAGTCATTGGAAAATGAAAAGGGAAGGAGTGGGCTAAGGGGAGCAACAAAAGGTTGACTGTGTTTTCTTCTGGCAGTCTGCTTTCACAGCCAGTACTATGCCTGTGGCCATCTCCCAGGCTCAGGAGAGCCTATCTTACTCTAGCCCATCAGATTCACTTTCCCGGGAACTGGAAATAGAACCTTGATATGGTTTGCATTTGTGTCCCTGACTAAATCTCATGTCAAATTATAATCCCTAGTGTTGGAGGAGGGGCCTGGTGGGAGGTGACTGAGTCATGGGGGTGGATATCCCCCCCTGCTGTTCTCAGGATAGTGAGTGAGTTCTCACGAGATCTGGTTGTTTAAATATGTGTGGTACCTCCAGCTTCTCTTTCTTCCTCCTGCTCCAGCCATGTAAGACATGCTTCCTTCTTCTTTGCCTTCTGTCGTGATTGTAAGCTTTCTGAGGCCTCCTCAGCCATGCTTTCTGTACAGCCTGCAGAACTGTGAGTCTTTATAAATTACCCATTCTCAGGTACTCCTTTATAGCAATGTGAGAACGGACTTATACAAACCTCTATCTCTGCTGATCACTTGTGGGAAAGACATCTAAACAAGTGAGCTACAGGGTGGCCATTTCCAAACATGCCAAAGCAGAGACAGTCCACAGAGAAAGAGAATGAGGCAGATGGCAGGGAGAGCCACGGAGGTCAGAGCTGGGCAGGAAGGCCTGCCTGTGCTCCCAGTTCACCTCTTGTGAACCCTGGTCATCCTTGAATTCCTTGAGATGACTCAATATCCAAGATGTCTGGGTGATAAAATGGCAGGGTGGAAGAAAAACTAAAATGAGAGTGAGTGAATGTAATAATTGTTCAGACTTCCTTTGAGGGCTCTGTGAGCCACTGAACGTTTTAAGCAGAGTGACCCACGATGGGATACTCATCTTTACAATCAGCACCCTGGCTGAAAGTAGAGAATGGGTTAGAATGGAGGAAGATTGCAATTAGGAGGCTTTTGTGGTCCTTTAACAGCCTATTGTCCCAGGGAAGTATCTGTTGCTCATGTGTAATGCTGCCTACTAGCATAATTTAAATACATAGGCTATTTCTCTTCAAAAGGGCATATTTTATGTAACATCTCTAACCATTACATGAAAACTCATTCTTTGTCACCAGCATCAGTTAATTATTAGATTATTGGCCCAAAACCTCCATGATTATATAATATATATTAGGACTAGAAGTTAAGTCACCAGAGAGTTTCCAATATTTAATAGTGCCATATTTCAGAAATGCCCAGGGAGAATATCAGTCCACTACTCCGCTAGCATGGTATCCAACATTTCTTCCTTAATGTTGTAGATCCTTTCCTAAGCCTGTCAAAGTAAATTTCAACGAACGAATTCATAACATAACATTTGTGGTAGCAGATATTTTGCTAATTTCACAAAATCTTTCTAAATCCTTTAAGGTTTGCGACTCACTACACTTCTGATTATAAATGAATATTAAGCTAGCTAAAAAGAAGTAGAGTGCAAATTAGGTACTGAAATGGAGACTATCATGGCTCTGCAATAAGAAAGAATTTAGCTTTCTACAATTACTTGAGCCCTATAGCCTCCGTGTCACCTGGAATACATGTTTAATACTGATTTTCAACGTTAAAAAAAAAAAAAGTCACAAAAACAAACTCCTTTTAACACTGTTTCACTGGCCCTAGTATTTACAATTTTTTTAAATTAAAAATCTTGATAATTCAAGTTTTCCTATAACCTGTCTTTATAGATTTTTTTTTTAGATTTAAATGGTCATAAGTGTTATACTACCTCATATTTCTCTCTGTATGATAAGCCCAAATATTCCTTAACTGTGTTTGATCTACTTTGTGGTCAAAATTTGGGGGATAGGAGAGAGGTCCTCATCAAAACTCAAGATCAGCAAAAGCTGAGGAATTTTATCAACACCAGACCTGTCATATAAGAAATATTAAAGGGAGTTCTTCAATCTGCAAAAAAAGGATGTTAACAAGCAAGAAGAAATTATCTGAAAATGAGTAGAATTGGAATGTTCCTAACACAAAGAATGACAAATGTTTAAGGTGACAAATATCCAAGTACCCTGATTTGATCATTACACATTGTATGCCTGTATCAAAATATTATATGTACCCCATAAATATGTACAACTGTTATGTATCCAAACAAATAAAAAATTTTTAATTTTTTTTAAACTTTTTAAAATCTCAAGTTTAGGGCACCTGGATCCTATCAATTGAAAACTTATACTAAAACCTCAAAAAAAACCCAAAGGCTTTCCTGGCAGAGAAGTTATTAAACACTAGTCAGAAATTAATCCTGTTTAATCAGTCAAAAACCTAAATAAGACCACTAATGCTAAGATTCACCAGCTGCAGAAGGTTGGCATACTAAAAAATGGATCAAGAGTAATTGTTCCCAGTTGTAAGAAATAGTGAATGCATTAATATAATAATAAAAAAAGAATAGCTAAATCTGCCTAGCATTTAATAGGTACTCACAATGCAGTATTCACAGTGCTTTGCATGCTTGGAGTCATTTAATAATCTAAACAACCCTATGAGGTATGTGCTATTATTATCCCTATTTTACAACAGAAGCTACCAAGGCATAAATAAGCTAAGTAACTTCCCCACGGTCACACAGCCTGTAAGTGGTGGAGTAAGATTTCAGCATCCACATTCTGAACTACTTCCCAAGGCTTAGATGTTACTTTAAATTAAAAATCACTGCATTCTTTAGTATAATGAAAGTAGAAAGCAAAAACCACTCAGGATAAATTGCAGACTCTCCCACACTGTCTCCACCATCACCTTCACTGAAAGAAGTTTAAGGGGCTCCACTTGTGATTGTTAATTTTATGGGTCAACTTGACTGGGCCACAGGATGCCAAGATATCTGATTAAACATAATTTGTGGGTGTGTCTGTGAGGGTAGTTCCAAAAGAGATTAGCATTTGAATTGGTAGATAGAGTAAAGCAGATTGCGCTCTCCAATGTGTATGGGCATCATCCAATCTGTGGAGGGCCCAAATAGAACAAAAAGGCAGAGGAAGGTTGAACTGGCTCTCTGCTACATAGACTTTAAACATGCAGAAGAGCTGACTTTGCCAACAAAGCTCATCCTTCTTTTTTCCAAAGCAGCCAGCTGTGACTTCATTTTGGATTTAGGCTATGATTTTTCTGATTTTTCTCTTTGCATGTGAATGTTTATTTGTGAAGTCTTGAACTTCCTGATATCCATGTCTTTGGGTAGTGTCCTCCTACATTGAATTAGACAGTCTATGTAACCAATGGAGTATGACAAAAGTGACAGCAGGACTTCCAAAGCTAGGTCATAATGGGCCTTGCAGCTTCCAACTTGTTTTTTGGTTGGTTTTTTGTTTGTTTATTTGTTTTTTGGAAAGGGAGTCTCACTTTGTCACCAGGCTGGAGTGTAGTGGCATGATCTTGGCTCACTGCAACCTCCGCCTCCTGAGTTCAAGCAATTTTCCTGCCTCAGCCTCCTGAGTAGCTGGGATTACAGGCACCTGCCACCATGCCCAACTAATTTTTTTATTTTTAGTAGAGGCGGGGTTTCACCATGTTGGCCAGGCTGGTCTCGAACTCCTGACCTCCAGTGGTCCACCCACCTCGGCCTTCCAAAGTGCTGGGATTACAGACATGAGCCACCAAACCTGGCCCCAACTTGGTTACTTAGATCACTATGCTCTGGGGTTAGCCAGTCACCATGTTGTGTGGACACTCAAGCAGCCCTGTGGAGACATTCACATGAAGAAGAACTGAAGCCTCCTGCCAGCATCAACTTGAAAGTAAGCAGATGGTGCAGTCTCAGCTGATCTGACTATATACTCATGACATACCCTGAGATAGAATCACCTAACCCAAGCATTCTGAATTCCTGACTCACAGAAACTATAAGTGATAACAACCAGTTATTAATTTTAGGGTAATTTGTTGTCAGAAATAGGTAATAAAATTGTCTGTGTGTCTGCTGGCATTGGCATTAACTTTTCAGAGTGCCTTGATATCGTAACATAGTTCCCCTGAAATTCATCTTTAACTGTTCAAAATCATTCCATTAGTTATATTCCACATTTCCATTTCATTGGACCTGCCAGTGTGATGCCTCAGCATGTACGCTCCATGAGAGCAGGGATCATGTCTGGTGTTGCCCATCATTGTATTTCCCAGTGTATCCAACAGTACCTGGCACATGTTCAGTAAATATTTGCTGAATAAATAAACAAATAAACGTATGATTGGAGAATAAAGAATGAGTGGCAACCAAGTGCTTCGGTCTACTTCATTGAGTAATTTTTCTTCTCTTCTTTCTTTCTTAGTCAATCCCATCCAACCAGTGGCAAGTTCTACTCCAGAGATCCTGCCCAGTCCCTGATTGTTATGATATGGTGAAATGCAGGCCCAGAAAAGAAAAGCAACTTGAGGTCACATCCTGAATTAATTTCTGTGGCTGGATCACACACTGGAAAAAACAGTCACTGGAATGAAGAGAGCCAATAATATCAACAGACAGGTATACATACAGAGGCAGTACCTTGTAGTGCAGAAAAGGAAAAAACATTACATGGGAAAAATGAAGGAATATGAAGGGTGGTGTTACATTCTCCAACACCCCAGAACCACAGCTCCAACCTCTTTTTGTTTGTAGTCTCTGGAGCTCAGAGCTATTTAATCTCCAATTTGAGAAATTATTGAAGTGAGTATAAGAAGTTTAAAAGTACTGATTCCAGAGGCCGAGTGTGGTGATTCATGCCTGTAATCCCAGAACTTAGGGAGGCCAAGGCAGGCAGATCACTTGAGGTCAGGAGTTCAAGACCAGCCTGGCCTACATGGCGAAACCCCCTCGCTACTAAAAATACAAAAATTAGCCAGGCATAGTGGCAGGTGCCTGTAGTCCCAACTACTCGGGAGGCTAAGGCAGGAGAATCACTTGAACCTGGGAGGCGGAAGTTGCAGAGAGCTGAGGTCGCTTCACTGCACTCCAGCCTAGGCAACAGAACGAGGCTCCACCTCAAAAATAAAATAAAATAAATAAAATAAAAATAAAAGTACTAATTCCAAAAAGCATGCAGTTAAAGAAACAATTTTTTGAAGGAGAAGGATAAGAATTTCCAAGAAAGGAAATTCAAATATTGATTTTATGCTGTCATGTTTATACTTATAATTACTGTCTCTGAATCTGAACAAGTGAAAAATATTAACATCCTGATATTCTCCTCTTCTGTTGATAAGAACAGGCTCCTTTTTTAGAAATCAAATCTGAGCCACTGTGGCGGCAGTGACATTCAGCCAGTAGAACTCCTGTAAATGTTCCTGTCTGAATAAAGATGGGCATCAAGGGGTTACAGCAAAATTTCTTTTTTACTTATTCTTGGTGAGATATAGCTACTTCATTTACACAGTACTTCCTAATTTTCAAAGCCCCTTCTCATACATGATCTCAACTCACACAATCCTACGAGACAGAATAGAGAGGGAATATTGAGGTATTTCCCCAAAGCCCAAAATCCTGATGTCCAATTGCCCCTAGATATCTCCAGCCAAATATCCCAGTACCCCCAAGATACTCTGAACTCAGTATGTCTAAAACCAAATTCTCCATGACCCTCACCTTTTTTGTTTTTAAAGAAATGGAGTTTTACTATGTTGCCCAGGCTACAGCACTGTGGCTATTCACAGGCACAATCACGGCACACTGCAGTCTCAAACTCCCAGTCTCAATCAATCCTCCTGCCTTAGCCTCCTAAGTAGCTGGGAATACAGGCGTGCACCACTGATCCTGGCATAGCCTCACCTTTTTATAGGTACCTGGGATTTGTTTTACTCCTAGTATAAGACACATAGTCACAGAAATCACTAGTCATGAAGGAAGGAGTTATTTGTTGTTGCTTTTTGGTTTTTGTTTGGGACAGGGTCTTGCTCTGTTGCCTAGGCTAGAATGCAGTGGCACGATCACAGCTTACTGCAGCCTCAACCTCCCAGGCTCAAGCGATTGATTCTTCCACCTCAGCCTCCCAAATAGCTAGGACTACAGGCACATGCCACCATGCCCAGCTTTTTTCTTTTTTTTCAGTAGTGACCAGGTCTCACTATGTTGTCCAGGCTTGAACTCCAGTCCTCCTGCCTCAGCCTCCCAAAGTGCTGGGAGAAGTTTTTTAAACTCACAGTTCCCTAGAAACAGGAGGGATGGCAAGACAATATGGAGAGCAGGTGGCCACACAGAGAACCACCAAGGCCAGTCAGGAGGTAAAGGGAATGGGATAAGGGCAAAATGCAGGCAAATGTTTTCATTGTTTTCCAAAGCAAAGAACTAGTGAGGCAGGTTAAGCAGACTTGGGATTGACTAGTTTGAATAATTTTAGCAGGATCTGGGGGGAAAGGTGCTATACTTAGATGTCTGGTATCTGGCCCTGGAGTGATTAGGCAGGTGGATGGTGGCCCAGGTTTGAGAGACTGATAAAGGACATGGTGAGGGTATGGGCTATAGATTTGTTGGTTTGCATGTGAAAGGTGTGTTTCTGGAGAGCTGTTTACGATCTCTAGAAATCAGCTAACCCTGAGAGAGGCAGTTCCTCCAGGATCAACAAGGCCCCAGATGTGAAAGCATTAGGATACAAAAAAATAAAAAGAAATGGTTATACACCCACCTACATATGAAACCCTCTTGGCTTCAGGCTCAAGCCTGGATGACATCACCAACCACCCACTGGCCGAAGCCTCCCCTTCTCCTTCCTGAACTTCGCCCCCTCTGTCCTCACTGTTCAGTCCTTCAGCACTCACCTTAGCTGTCACCATAACTTCTGAAATGACATCCGGAACAGCGACCAGCTAGTGTCACAGTTCTGTCTCACCCCACCCTTTCTCAGCACTGCCGACCATAATGTGCAACTCCAGCCTCCTCATTCCCACACTCAAATCCTTTGCAGACTCTTGTTTTATCTTTAAAAAGTATGTGAAATTACACATTCAACTCCATAATGAGAGTTCCCTAAAGTCCTTGAGTAAAACTGCCCTTCTAGGAATAACCTTCTTTTTATCCTGATACTTCTCTAAATGACTTAGAGGGTAAAGTCACCACCATTTGGAAAACACAGGCCTAAAGCAGAGAACTGAAACTCCTTTGCCTGGTCTATGAAGCCCTCCTTGAACCTCCTCCCTAACGAGTCAGCTTATTTCCCACACAACCTGCCTCCTGCCCCAAGCTCACGCTCTCTATACTCTGAAAAGATAAACCCATAAACATATCATGCTGGGTTTGGATAAAATAGCTAAATAAAGCAATGAAGCACAAGGAACATTACAATACATACCTGTGGTTGTTTTAAAATATATTCACAAATTCTTGGACACTCCTTTCACTGGGAGATGAAGTCCAATTCCCCACCCCATGGACACAGCTAGCCTTTGTGACTCCTATCTAACAAATAGAATGCATCAGCAGAACAAACACTGATAGAGAACCTAGACTTGTTGCAGCTGCACAAAATTAACCACCACCTTCCTTTTTGATTTCCAACTCTCTTCTCAGAGAGTGAAACAATTTTGTATCAATGTCGTATCATGCAGGGCCAACCCACTTGCTTTTCCTATTCAGTAAGCTGAGGATACAAAAGCATAGCTAATGAAAAATGCATGTATTCTTAACCTGAGAGTCAATAAGGAAAGTGAATGTGGTCTTCTACCATAAAAACAAGCATTTGTCCTCTTAACGTTTTAAAGAATTCCCTACACACACTTTAATATTCCCAGGATGAAAGACGCTTGACTGCCTCATTCAATAGTAATTTAATAAGAATGTTTCTGGGGACAGCACTATCAAGCAGAAGACACACTTCCTCAACCTCTTTCTCCTAAACTTGCAGAATCTGTTACACCAAAAGACACAATGAACAGGAAATTGCATTTTCTTTGCAGATCAACAAAGCAGCCAAGTTAGATCAGACAGAAAAAAGATCCACAAAGAGCATTAGGAAAAAATACAGAGTCTGAAGACCCCTGGCAAAGCAATGCCCAGATGACTTTTGATATGAAAAAGGTTTTAACTTATGACTGGAAAATACTTAATTCTGTCCTTCACCCTCACTCTAAAACTTAACAAGACTTTTTCAAAAGTCTTTAAAAATAATAAAATTAATTTTTTTAAACTTCTGAAACAAAAAGAAATGATTGTACAATGGTAAAACAAAGTAAATATCATTCCTTTTATTCACTCAAGCAGCTGTAAGCATCAATAGAATATTCATGCAGCACTCCCTAAGAATTTCTGATCCTAATGCATAGCTAGATTCTTAAATCCTGTGCACTTTACCTGCTTTCTTCCCTTTCCCTGGTATTTACTGCCCCCACTATATGCAGTAGAGGAATTCTGGTAGAGGTCCTGAAAGAAGCAATTTGTGTTTCAACCTGCTGTATTTATCCAAAGGCAATAAAACTGAATTTGTACAAGTTTTCCAATTGAAAACTCAGAAGACTTGAAAATTTAACTCTTGGATCAAACAGGGGAGAAAAGCATAATGTAACTGTAATATAGTCATCTTAAAATCCCCCAGCTCTAGGGGTAGCCAGACTATGCCCACAAGGTCAGAGCTCAGGAATTTAAATTCTTCACAGTCCCCAGGGAACAATAGTAGTAGTATTGGAGATTTCCTGATGTCCAGCTTCAATCCTCTTACATTCATCAAATCAGGTTGAAGACAAAGAAACAAATAAAAACAGGCAGAAGAACCATCACCACAAGATGTTAGGGCCTTGGGAAGGAAAAGCAGTCCTAAAAGGGCAACTTTACGGACAGATGGGACCATTTATAGCCTCAGTATGTTTACGAGCTTCTGGTCTTGACGTCCTCCCTGGAAAAAAGACTCTTCCCCTTTACAAAGGCCTACTCCCCTGGTGAACATGCAACTTCCATCAAGGAGAAAGGCCGGGTCACATTTAAATTTCCCTACGTGCCTCAGTTATTCATATGTTCTCTCTTTCAGCAAATAAATCGTGAGCATCTACTGTGTATGAGAAGTATTTCTAGGTACTGAGAATACAATAATGAGTGTGACAGACAGAATGCCTGTCTTCATTAAGCAGGGGTGATGGACATGAAACAACAAATTAGACAACAAAGCATTTCATAATATTTGCCCTAAGTACCATGGTAAGGCACAGCAGGATATAAAGAGAAAGCAAATGACAGAGGACCTGGCACAGGCTTGGCTGTCAGAGAAGGCTTCTCAGTGGAGGTGGCTGATAATCTGAGCTCTGAGGCTGAGCAACCATCAGCCAGGGAAAAGCAGGGGCAGAGCCGGCCATAAGGCAGGACCAGCATTGCCAGAGTGCTGTGACAATGCCCAGGGAGGGGAGGCAGGGCCAACGACATAGGCCTCTTAGGCCATGTTAGCGATCTTGGTTTCCATCCTGAGAGCAACAAAAATCCACTGAAGGCTTTTAAGCAAGGAGGTAACCTGATGAGGCTGGCCTTTTCTAAAAGTAAGCCTGGCTGTGGCTTGGGGGACAGTCTGGAGGGCAAGAGGGGGGCTCAGAGGGCAATTCGAGAAACCCAGGCACACAAGGAGTGACTGAGACCAGGGCAGTACTGAGATATGTAGGCTCATAATTTGGGCCCTGCTCAACCAGTAACCATTAAATATCTCCTCAACATTGATTTAGACATGCCTGAAGCTGCTAGAGGAAAGTGAGGCAAGGAAGCCCTTGAGCATCAATTCCAGACTCGCCTCCACTACCCTATATAATTCTGTTTCGGCCCTAAAATAATAACCTGATCACGAAACAAACCATGCTACTCAGCAGACCTTGTTCCCTTAGAAGGAGGTCTAGGGACCATCTGACAGGCATGTACCCTTCAGGCAGGGTGTGCACACCCCAAGTAGCACCATGCACAACCTATGCTACACCTCAGAGCAGCCCTGCCATTGCAAGGGAGGGGTCTCACTTCTCCATCTTGTATTTCTAGTCATTTCAGTTCCCCCCCATATCACACAGCACCCTGGGACAGGCAGCTGACCCATCTTTAATCTGACTCTGATTTGGACTGTGATGATGGTAGTGGGAATTGGGAAAAAGAGAACCATTCAAAGCCCAGTAAGAAGTAGAATTAATGGCCGGGCGCGGTGGCTCACACCTGTAATCCCAGCACTTTGGGAGGCTGAGGTGGGTGGATCATGAGGTCAGAAGATTGAGACCTTCCTGGTTAACACTGTGAAACTCTGTCTCTACTAAAAATACAAAAAATTAGCCAGGCGCGGTGATGGGCGCCTGCAGTCCCAGCTGCTGGGGAGGCTGAGACAGGAGAATGGCATGAACCCGGGAGGCGGAGCTTGCAGTGAGCCGAGATAGCGCCACTGCACTCCAGCCTGGGCGACAGAGTGAGACTCCTTCTCAAAAAAAAAAGAAGTAGAATTAACAAGACTCGGGGAGTGAGTGCTTACAGGCACAGGGAGGCGTGAGGGAGGAGAGGGTCACACTTCTGCAACTTCCAGTGGTCTTCCACAAACAGCCCCCCCAAACCCCCAAATAAAACAGTCATGAAACTAATAAAAATGTGTACAGCTTTATAGCTTATGCTATTTTACTCTCATTATATCATGTGACTGTCACAACAGTCCTATGAGATGTGATAGGTATAATCCTTGTTTCAGAAGTAAAATTTCCAGCAATGACACAATTAGTACACACAGGAAAATACCCAAACGAAGAACTTCCAAATCCAAATCCATGCCCTTGCTACTAAAATGCATTATCTGTATATGATACAATAATCTAATAGTGTCATAAACAAGCACCAGCAACTTGTATTACCCCTGAGAACATGCCAGGAGAGATCATTACTGGCAGATCTAGTAGGAATCGCTATGACCAGGCGGCCAGAGGCCTCTCAAAGAAAATGTTACTTGGGAGTCTAGAATTAGCCTCAAGTCACTGAACTGGAATAAGCCTTAAGTCACCTTTAAACCACAGAGAAAATGACAAAACATACCATGAATGAAGTAGGAAATTAAGAGAAAGTAGTTGAATACATTCATAACATATGTGACGCACATTATACCTACCTCATATTCAATGAGCTATTATGAATCAAGAAAAAGATAAATCAGTATTAAAATGATTACAGGATATAGACTATGTGTAGAAGAAGAAATTACCAATAAACATGAAAAGATGCTCAACAATGCTAGTGTTTAAAGAAATGCAGATTTATGGGAGGCCGAGGCGGGTGGATTACCTGAGGTCAGGAGTTCGAGACTAGCCTGGCCAACATGGCAAAACCCCATCTCTACTAAAAATATAAAAATTAGCCATGCATGGTGGCAGGTGCCTGCAGTCCCAGCTACTAGGGAGGGTCAGGCAGGAGAATCGCTTGAATCTGGAAGGCGGAGGTTGCAGTGAGTCAAGATCACATCATTGTACTCCAGCCTGGGCAACAGAGCGAGACTCCGTCTCAAAAAAAAAAAAATGCAGATTTAAACAATAATATTCAACTGTTGGCTGGATTTAAAAGGCTGACATTACCCAGTGTTGGCTAGAGTAAACAGGCTTTCTCATAGACTAGGGGGAAAAATGTAGCACCATTTATCAAAATTTCAAATGTTCTTACTCTGAAAGTCTGCAACTTCAGCTCTTGAAGTTTACACACTGCACAAGGATTCAAAGGCATATGTAAATGAATGCCTGTTATAGCATTATTTGTAGAGCAAAAAACTTAAATGTCCATCAGAACTAATTACTTAAATCATGGTACAGTCATGGTATTATATTAAAAACTATGCAGTTGTTTAAGAGTAAGACAGATATAAGTTAGGAAAGAAATACACCAAACTGTCAAACTGTCAATTGTAATATCTACAGAGGGGAATAGCAAGTTGGGGGGTTGGAGGGGGTGGCGTGGAGGAGTATGACTCAAAAGAGAACTTTTATATTTTATTTCACATACTTCTATAGTATTAAATTTTCCCAAGGATGGGCATAGATTAATATTACAATTTTTAAAAACTAGTAAGAATGTTGTATTATGAAAAAAATAAAACTCTGGAGCTTAATGTTCCTGAGCAAATGAACTGCAATGTAAACATGCTCTACTCTTATTTACTTTGTTTCCAGATAGCTTTCTGTTTCAATATGAAGTTACTTACCACCACCTGATCTCTCATGAAACATTAATATAGGGGATCCCTAATTCCTTCTTTCAATTTTATTGATAGGCAAATTAGATGTTCCAATTATTTTCTCTGAAGTACTATTTCTAAAATCAGTCCTCAGAGACAGTAAATTCTTACCCAGGATAAACTAAAAGAAAACCTAAATATCAATCAGCTTCCATTTTTCAAGTCCTAACTTCCTAGGCTTTCTTCCATCCAGGAATCTGTAAAACTATGTAAGTTCTGCCTCAGAGTCTTTGGACCCATGCCGTTAGCTATGCAAAGCAAGCTTATTAATTTGACTTTCTTGGCAGATACACTGTTCGAATCATCTGAAATGAGCAAGAGGACACAGCAAAGCCCTTGGCAAAGATTTTAGCATTTATTTGACTTTACACCTAACACTACCTCTCATTTTTCCAAGTATTCCTGGAGAGTTTTGACAGTGGGAAGCCCGTTAACTTTAATCACTCATGCTACTGGACCCCTCAAACAGCTGTTCACATTTTTTTGAGCACCATGTTAAATTCCTAGATCTGATCATTTTGTAGCTTGCACTGTATTTGCACAGTATCATTTATCTAATGGACACGAAGAAGCCAGCATCACATAGACAGCCAGACTAAGATTATTATCCACCAGAGTTCTCTAGAGTCAGTAGGACAAATCTGACTCAATCTGACATCCAGTCACA
The DNA here is from genome assembly GCF_000001405.40 of Homo sapiens. Classification (NCBI taxonomy): domain Eukaryota; kingdom Metazoa; phylum Chordata; class Mammalia; order Primates; family Hominidae; genus Homo; species Homo sapiens. The sequence goes on from NC_000003.12 coordinate 155,652,427, forward strand.
ATAGGTTAGAATCCCTGTTTAGGTTAGCAAAGGAAGAACTTTCTGTTTTGTTTTTTTGCGTGTGTGTGTGGGACCTTGTTGAACACATTCGCATTTTATGAGCCCACTTTGAACATAGCACTACATTTTCAAGATCATTTATTCATCAAACGCTTAGTACTAGGTTTCATCTACCATTTATAGAATGCTTATTACATGCAGGAAGAGTTTTAAATGCCTCATCTCATTTACTTGTTCTCCTCACTGCTGCTTTCAGACCACTGATTCCTCCTCACACCTATGAACAAAGCACAAGCCATTGGCTCTGACACCTGCTACCTCGCCTCAAAGGAGTCATAACCCACCCTCTCAGGCACTCACCCTCATCCGCTGATGATTTCTGCACCAAGCCCCACTTCTATTCTGCCATCATCCCTGGCAACATGAACTTGAAATTGGCTGATACACTACACTTTGGCAGTTTTATTCCTGGACCACTTCACTTGCAATAATCTGTCCTCCACCTACCTCAGCCTCCCACTTTAATAGTCCCACCTAAGACCTCTAATTATACAATGCCACTAATTGCATAATTCCCAAAATCTCCACTTCCAGATTTCCACTAGTCTACAAGACTACTGCCACGTGGGTGGGTGGGTAATTTACATACATTGCTGGAAGATATATAGATACAGATACAGATATAGATGTAGATAGATATAGATATAGATATAGATATAGATATAGATATAGATATAGATATAGATATAGATATAGATATAGATATATAGATATAGATGATGCAGTCTCACTGTGTTGCCCAGGCTGGTCTCAAACTCCTGGCCTCAAGCAATTTTCCAGCCTTGACCTCCCATGGGCTGGGATTACATGCATTGGCTACTACACCTGACTTGACCACCTAGTTTTTGTTTCGTTTTGTTTTCTTCCCTTCCTCTGGTGTCCCAATTATTTCACCTTATTGGGAGGTCCAAATCATTGGCTTTATTTGAACTGTCCAAATGCCTTCCTTATGGCCCTCTTTACCCAGTGTTGGTTCCACAGTCTCACACATGCACTCAATTCCTTCACCCCGCATTCCCTTACCCATGTTAGTTCCTATTCTCCACATCCTTTATGCCTGCACAAAACAAGGGAACAAAGCTCATTTTAAATATATACCCTCACTTTTCAAATAGGCCCTCATTTCCCTTGTCAGTTCATTTCATCACATCCAAAATGACTTCTACACAACTTTTCTCTTCAAATCTCCAATATCCTTCCCACTCTTCACTGATAACTTTGCTTCTAATTTCACCAATAGAAGAAATAGGTAGAAAAATTCCTCATTCCAACTACCATCTTCACCTATGCCTGTACACTCCACTTCTTCACTCTCCTACATCATCAATTTATTTTTTCTCTGCTGGATTATTCATAAGAATCTTCAAATATGCTGTCAAAACTACCTTAAAAAATTATGTTCCCTGATCCTATATCCCTCCCTAGTGACCACTCCATGTCTGCATATATCTTTAAGGAAAAACTCAAAAAAAATTGTCTGTCTCCATTTCTTCCCCTTCCTCTCTCTTTTGAATCAATTCCAACCAGGCTTTTGTCTCCACCTCTCCACTGAAACCAGGCTGATCTAGCATGCCCATGACCTCCATGTTGCCAAATCCAATGGTCATTTCTCAGTGCTCATTTTACTCAACTCCGCAGCAGCATTTCACCCAGCTGAACATACCCTTCTCCTTGAAACTCTTCCCTCCCATGGCTCCTGGGACATCATATTCCCTGGTGTTTCTCATGTCATATTGGGCAATCCTCCTTGGTTTACTTTGTTGGATAATCCTCCTTTCCTGAGATAAATCTGGAGGAGCCCAGGACTCAGCCTATGACCTTCTTCTTTCTCTCACTCTTTAGTGATCCTAGCAAGTACCATGATTTTAAATACGTGATGATTCCCTAATGTATATCTACAAAGCTACAACCTCTCTCCTGAGGTCAAGAATTGAATATTCAAACTTCCTGTCAATGTCTCTACCTGTACATCTAATCGATATCTCAGTCTTAACATATCAAAAGAAGAACTCTTGTCCCCCACTCATACACACATAAACCATTTTCTTCCTCTCTCGGGCCTCTCCATCTCAGAAATGTTGCCACCATCACCATTTATCCTGCAAGAATCTCTTTCACACTCCACATCTGACCAATCAGGAAGTCACATCAAGTCAACTCTCAAAACATATTCTAAGTCTGACCACTTCTCATAACTTCCCCAGCTTCTGCTCCAGTCCAGACCACCATCATTTCATGTAATAATATCATGACTGGTCTCCCTGTCTCCTCTCATCTCATAGTAAGTCCATCCTCCATGGTGCAGTCTAAGAGGTCCCTTAAAGAGAATCCTACCATTGCCCCACTTAATATTTTGCAATGGCTTCCAATTACCCTTAGGAAAAACTCTAAATCCCATGGTCTGACCACTGGCTGCTTCTCTGACTCATCTTCTACCATTCCATTCTTTGTATCATCGACTTTGCTTCCACTGCCCTGGCCTCCTTGCTATTACTTAAATACACCATTCCTGACCCTGTCACAGGGCCTTTGCACTTGCTCTGTTCTCTTCCTGAACACTCTGCCTTTAGATGTTATATGGTTCACTCCCTCACTTTATCCAGGCTTCTACTCAAATATCACCTCTTATAAAGGTCTTCTTGGATTCTTCTACCTAAAATATTCCCCAGCTAGGTGTGGTGGCTCATGCCTGTAATCTCAGCACTCTGGGAGGCCAAGTCAGGAGGATCAATTGAGCCTGGGAGTTCAAGACCAGCCTGAGCAATATGGCAAAGCCCCGTCTCTACCAAAAATTTAAAAATTAGCCGAGCATGGTGGCACATGCCTGTAGTCCCAGTTACTCGGGAGGTTAGAACGATCATTCAAGCCCAGGAGGTTGAGGCTGCATGATTGCCATGATTGCCCACTGCACTCTGGCCTGGGTAACAGAGCAAGAAACTTGTGAGAAAAAAAAAAAGAAGAAGAAGAAGAAGAGAAAATATTCCCCTTTAGTCGCTATTTGTGTTTCACATCTTTATTTTATTGGATCAGTCTTGCACTTTCAGAATTCTCGCAGATAACAGCAGCTGCCTGAATCCAAATCTCTCCATACATTCACCATGGAAGCCCAAATAAAGCCTTCCATCCATAACTAGGGGGTCAGACAATACTACAAACTTCCATGTACATATAAGTGATAAAATAAACAGCATAACCCAGCATAGCCAACCCTAGAATCGGACATCACCTGCATGGAAAAGAGAAGGGGGTAGTGGGGACTTAGGAGTGGTAGAAAACAAAAATCTCTTCCAAAAAGAAAGGGTCCCACCCAAAAAGCTAGTAAACCAAAGAAAGCATTCAGAAAAGAATTAAAGATGAAATTTTAAAAGAAATAAAATTATTAAATACATTTTAAAATGCAAATTCTTTGGAGAAAAATCAATAAAACAGATTACAAAATACTAGCAAAACTACCCAAGGAAGAAAAGAATGAGAAAGCACAAATAAATAAGAAACTTCAAAAGAGAAAGAACCATTGAAACAGCAGATACGTTTAAAAGATAATCTTCTACTGACTCAACGAAATAAATTTGAAAATCTAAATAAAAGGGATAATTTCCTAAAAAGATATACTTTCCTCCTACTTCACCCCAAAACAGATAGTAATAGTTCAATTTTCATAGAAGGAATAGAGAAAATTACCCCCCCCCAAATAAAAACTACCACCACAAAGAAGCACCAGACCAATGTGATTTAATGGGTGAAATTCTACCAAAGCTTCAAAGGATAGATCATCCTTATGCTGCTTATATTGTTCCAGAGCATAGAAAAAGAAGCATAAACTGCTAAATTATTTTCATGAAGCAGATATAATACTGATATCTAAACTTTATTTCATAAAAGATTATACTCAAAACTATATACAACCCTCACTTATGAATATTTACACACATATAAAACTAACAGCAAATAAAATATTATTTCATTAACCAGTGAAATTTTTTCAGGAATGAGAAAATGTTTCCTTCTTAGACAATTCATTAATGTAATTCACCATTTCACCAGATATAAGAAGAAAAATCATATGATTATCTTCAGAAATACTAAAAGGGCTTTCAAATTCCATGCCACTCCTAACTTCCAAAAGCATTCAATAAAATAGAAATTAGCGGTTATTTCCTTGTGAGTATGTGTGTGCCTGTGTGAATTCCTCAGACATAAAGTCAGCATCTTAATAGAAAAACACCAGAGGCATTCAACTAAGGTCAGGAATAAGGCAAGGATGCCCACTGTCTCCATCTAACATTGTATTAGAAGAGGCATTAGACAATGTAATCAGATAAGAAAAAAACAATCAAAGGCATGAGAATTGAAAGGGAAATAAAATTATAACTATTTTTAGGTTATGTAACCATATAACCTATAAAACCCAAGATAATCAAAGATAAAAATTTTAAAAATTTAGTAAGGTAGAAAGTTATAAAATTCACATACTAAAATAAATAGCCTGCATGCAATAACACAGTAACCAGCTAGAAAATATAATGGGAGAGAAGATTCTCATATATGAGTAACAACAAGGACAAGTTTAAAAAAAAAAAAAAAAAGTTTCTGCAACTAAATAAGCTGATTCTTAAGTTAAAAAAAAATGTAAGAATAGGTCAGAAAAGAGACTTCTGCTTCCAACCAAGATGAGTAACCCACATGAAACAAACAGAATATATGAACAACAGTTTTCAAGGCTTTGGAGTCAAGCAATGAAGAACAGTGATCTCTGAGAGACAGGAACCAAATGAAGTAGGCCTATGGTTGCCTCAGCTTACTGCCTGGAGAGATTTTCCAGACTATAAAACAGAAAAGGGGAACCTAGGAAGAGATCAGTGGTCTCTGTCAGTTGAGAAGACAAGGCTGGGAGTCTAGGGAGGCCAAGACAACTACAGTTCACAGGACAGGTTACTGGAGAGGAAACAGCTGCCTAGAGAAGAGCTCCGGAGATAGATGCGGACTCTAGCATTCGGCTGAGTACTAATTAGTGCATATATGTGAGAAAACCACCCACAGCGAGATTGGGACCACCATAAGGAGGAAACACTAGTCAGAGGTCACAGTTTAACTTTATAATAATAATCTATTATTTCCAAAATATTTATTGAATCAGAAAATCTGAAACTACGCTTATTGAGAAAGAGCTAAGATATTCCCAAACATTCCGCATTATTTACGCTTTAAACTTTACCAATAAAATACAAAGGGATTCATATAGTAAACAATACCTTGCTTTCTTATCTTGCAAGATGGCAGGTGAAAACTTTAAAAGGCTGGATACTAAGAAGAGACTGGAAGCCAAGAAAGCTGATACTAGTGGCAAAGTGAAAAAGGGTAAGTCAAGGTGAAAAAGGCTAAGTCAAGGCGAAAAAGTCCAAGAAGAGGAAACTCCAGTGCAGCCGAAATCCTGTCCTGATCAGAGGAACTGGCAGATATTCCCTGTCTACTGTGTATTCCAGAAAGGCCAGATACAAGAGGAGGTACTCGCCACTAAATTCAAGATTGAAAAGGAAAAGGAAAAGGTTCATGCAACTGTTACAAAACCGGTTGGTGGTGACAAGGATGGTGGTACCCAGGTGGTTAAACTCTGCAAAATGCATAGATATTATCCTACCGAAGATGTGCCTCGAAAGCTGTTGAGCCACAGCAAAAAGCCCTCAGTCAGCACAGAGGAAACTGCGAGGCAACATCACTCTTGGGACCGTTCTGATCATCCTCCCTGGGCACCACACAGGCAAGAGGGTGGCTTTCCTGAAGCAGCTGGGCAGTGGCTTGTTACTTGTGACTGGATCTCTAGTTCTCAATCAAGTTCCTCTGTGAGGAGCACACCAGAAATTTGTCATCACCACCTCCACAAAAATTGATATCAGCAATGTGAGAATCCCAAAACATCTCACTGATACCAACCTCAAGAAGCAGCAGCTGCGGAAGCCCAGACACGGGAAGGTGAGATCTCCAACACAGAAAAAGAGAAATACGAGATTACAGAACGGTGCAAGTTTGATTAGAAAGATGTGGACTTGCACATTTTACTAAAATAATCAAAGCTGATCCATGTTTGCCCTGACGAATAGAGTTTATCCCCACAAATTGGTGCTCTAAATTTCTTACCAAAAACCTAATTAAATAACTGATTTTAAAAAAAAAGAATATTCCTTAAAAAATAAAATTTACTTTTAAAAAAGTTTATTTCTCTAGTCAATCTCTATTCACTTTTGATGCAACTACTTCAGTAACTGAAATAGTTGATGACAAGTTAACTCAATGGTCAAATATTCCTACCGACAAGTATGCCTTTCACATTTGGAAAGAAGTAGTCACACATATAATTGTACTCTTTGTCCCTGGCTGCCTGCCAAAAGCAATCACAGTTCAATATTACAGCTTCTCCTTCACAAGTAATTAAGAAGTTAATCTTACTTAGAAAACGTAATTATCCAGCAGACCATAGCACCAACTTAACTGGTTGACATGAGTGAAATCTCAAAGACAAAGGAGCCATACCACATTCAAAGACAAAATCAAAATTGTCTTCTTAGCTGCCACATCATCACTGTTTGGAGATGTGTGAAGCCCATCACAACCCATCAGTAACGGGGAACCAAGACATCTCAGCTTCTTTAAAACACCAAGAAGCAATGGGGCTGAAGGACACTGGGCACAGTTAAATTCCTAGTTCGTCAGGACAAGAGATGATGTCTTAATAACTAAGGAGACTTCCCAAGCTCAAAACTTCAGAATATTCCTTCACTGCTCTGACCACAGGCCAGGCGTGAGATGTCTATTCACTTCTTTTTTTTTTTTTTTTTTTTTTTTTTTTTTTTTTTTTTTTTCCGAGATAGGGTTTCACTCTGTCACCCAGGCTGGAGCACAGTGGCATGATCACGGCTCACTGCCTGAACCTCCTGCATTCAAGCAATCCTCCCTGTTCAGCCTCCAGAGCAGCTCAGAGTACAGACTAATGCCATCAGGTCTGGCTCATTTTTGTTTTTGTTTTTGGTTTTTTGTTTTGAGATAGACTCTCTGTTGCCCAGGCTGGAGTGCAGTAGCATGATCTCGGCTCACTGCAACTCCACCTCCCAGGTTCAAGCGATTCTCCTGCCTCAGCCTCCCGAGTAGCTGGGATGACAGGCGCCCACCACCATGCCCAGCTAATTTTTGTATTTTTAGTAGAGATGGGGTTTCACCATGTTGGCCAGGCTGGTCTTGAACTCCTGACCTCAGGTGATCCAGCCACCTCGGCCTCCCAAAGGACTGGGATTACAGGTGTGAGCCACTGCGCTCAGCTAATTTTTGTAATTTTTTTAGAGATGGAGTCTCACTATGTTGGCCAGGATAGACTCGAACTCCTGGGCTCAAGCAATCCACCACCTTCAGCCTCCAAAAGCATTGGGATTACAAGCATAAGCCACCACGCCCAGCTGTCTATTCACTTCTAATAATTTCCTAACATCAGTCGATCATTAGAAAAAGAGAAGTTCTGCTTAATTTGACACTGGCATATCAAGTGCCTGCTATGTTATATGTTAACTTGGAAAGAATCATTACCTATATTCATGAGTGGGGGAGCCAGATGTCTTCTAGAATGGATGGATCTCCTGACAAGGCACCCATACCTGAATTATGAACGTGGCTGCCCACTCTCTGTGGCAGTCCTCCGTGCCTAACAGGCTGAACACAATTGAAAGTCGGACTTTTCCTAATACAGCAGAGCCACGGCCTGCCTGGATATAACATCTTTTGGGAAACTATATTCTTTTCAAAAGTCAACAGCCACTTTTACCAACCTATTCTCTCTCCAAGATGGCTCTCAGAGCAAATTCTGAAATTCTTAAGAATACTGCATACACTGAAGGCATTTGAAATTGAGATGGAAGCAGCAGGCCAACTCCAAGGCTATTTCCAGTCAACCCCTGTAGGTCTTACACAATAAAGACTTTTTGGTGGTTAGTATACCTTAGAAACTTGCTGTGTGCACAGTTCCATTCTGGAGAATACAGAGATTGACAAAGGCAGACAGCACCATTTTTGCCCCTGAAAAACATATACTTCATCCTAATATCCTAATTTTAAAGTGATCTAACTACAGCTGCTCCTGAACTTTAGCTGAATAATTTCAATTACTACAGGAGTTGGGGGTAGGGGGTTTGCCCTAAAATAACTTTTCTATCCATCTACCCATATCAGTCTCTAGAGTTTTGCCTCATCTTCTGTGCATTGGGATTTTACATTATCAAAAGAAAATCAACATGCCCCTTTTTTAAAAAAGAAAAATCCCTTGTTGAAAAAGAAATTGACAATTTTCCTTTTCCTATGTATCTCAGGATGAGTGACTCCCCTAGAGTGACTTCATAGGTAATTGAATTTCATATGAAATTTACCAAATAACAAAGGTCTGATATACTCTACAGATCATTCCATATAGCTGAAATACCTATCTGCCTGCCTGAGGCTTTTAAACAAAATGCCACATGAAGAACTGGCATATTTAGAATAGGGAAGTATTGTCCTCTGCCAAATTTGTCAGCATTGCCCATAGCAGAGGTGGACAGGAAACATTTCAAATACCATATATGATACCTTCCCTGGTGGTCTAGTGGTTAGGATTCGGCACTCTCATATACCATATAAGAGGCAAACAATCAACTTTTTCAACAACTTTGTAGTTCACATAGCACAACCTTATTGATTTTTGGCTAAGGCAATGAAAGGGTTCTGTGCTCAGACCAGAGAGATAGAGAGCAGGGAGAGAGAGAGAGGTTGAACAGAGCACTGAGTCCAGGGTTACTTACACTGGGTCACAGAGCAACCCTAGCTGGAGGGTAACAAGGCATATTTTGATTAGCCCATCTATAAGCCAGGTTCTGAAGACACACTGAACCCAGGAGGGAGTCTCAAAGGCTACTGGCTCTTTATCAAAGCCAACTCATAGCTCAGATTCTGAGCCTTGGTTCTAATTGCTAGCATCCCATCCCCCCATACCTGAACCTTTCACTTGCCTTACCAAATCCTTCAGTGCCTTCATTTCCTTCTGTCACTCATAAAAAGAACAAGCTTTGAAGCAGAAATGTTTGGGGGAAAAACAGCAACCTGTACCAGCTATAAAATAAACACATCTCCAGACCTCTGAATAAAGAAGGGGAAAAAAAGTGTCTGGCAGGGTCTCTCCCCCTTTCCTCTCTGATACTAGATTTTTATTTCCCACCTCATTCATATAAAAAAGATAACCCACAGAGTTATGCACCAAACTGTGAGCAAAAATGAATACAGTTAGGGTTGTGGTCTGCTCTCTGTTCATTTGGTAATTTCCATAAGCAAGCTCAGAGCACTCAGGTAGTTAGTTTTCTTTTCTAAAGCTAAGGAGCTAATCTTAAGCAAATAGGCACTTCCTACTTCTTCAAGCATTTGACTCAACTAGAGACAGTACATAAACACAGTGTTTGGTAATGTTGTAATGGTATCTGATAACACTCTAGAAACACCTCTTAATGAATCAGCAGAATCTACCTGAGTTAGGGCTGTCACCTTCCATATTCTGGTTAGGGGCCCATCACCCACATAGTTCAATGAAAGGCCTTGAAGGTATTGCTTTAACAAGCTCATGATGAGGACACTCACTAGAACTAGAGAAGCTATTGCCATGATCTGAAAACTGTATATGAGCTAGGCACGGTGGCTCTTGCCTATAATCCAACACTTTGGGAGGCCAAGGTGGGAGAATCCTTTGAGGCCAAGAGTTCAAGATCAGCCTTAGCAACAGACTGAGACCCTGTCTGCACACACACAAAAAAAATATTTAATTAAAAAATTAGCTAGTCATAGTGGTGCACACCTGTAGTTCCAGCTACTTGGGTGGCTGAAGTAGGAGAATAGTTTGAGCCCAGGAGTTAGAGGTGGCAGTGAGCTATAATCGCACCACTGCACTCCAGCCTAGGTGACAGAGTGACACCGTCTCTAAAAAAAAATTAAAAATAAAAATAAAACCTATATATGTATATATACAAGTTTTTTTTTTTTAATCTTAAGCCTAAAATAAGAGACTAAAATAAGAGGCCAAAGAGAATGGAGACACATTGCAACCAAATACCCCCAGCCCCAGTGGGATCTCTAAATTTTTCTTAGATTATTATTGCCTTTCAGGTTTATGTATTTCTTTTTTTGTTTTGTTTTTTTAGATGGAGTCTCACTCTGTCGTCCTGACTGGAGTGCAGTGGCGCAATCTCAGCTCACTGCAACCTCCACCTCCCAGGTTCAAGTGATTCTCATCCCTCAGCCTCCAAGTAGCTGGGATTACAGGCGACAACCACCACGCCCGGCTACTTTTTGTATTTTTAGTAGAGATGGGGTTTCGCCATGTTGGCCAGGCTGGTCTTGAACTCCTGACCTCAGGTAATCCGCCCACCTTGGCCTCCCAAAATTCTGGGATTACAGACTGGAGCCACCACTCCCAGTTCAGGTTTATGTATTTCTTACCTTTCTTCTTTTTTGGCTATAATTTAAAAAAGTATTAAATCTTTTCTTCTGATTGAAAAATCTCCAATGTTTTATAAATAAACAATCATGGTGTGCCAGCTCCATCGTAGGACACTAGTGCAGATTATAAGGATGCCAAGTGGAATGAGACACTGTCCCTGTTATGTAAATCTCCTAGGAGAAACACACTCTGATATTTTCAATAGTTAAATTCTAGAAAGGTTTTCTGGCTAAGTTCATATCTTGTGTTTTCTACATCCTCTTAAAATCTTACTATTTAAAATATAAAGACAAAAGAGCAATCTACAAAAATCTATGTATATCTCTTTTGTAACCTGTGATTTAATCAATTTAGACAACTGCCTTTGGTTAGATTTGGGTAACTAAGAATATGCATGGAGAAGCAAATCCTGACCTAATTCTATCACTAACTAACTGCTGAAACCTTTTGCTCTCTTTCCGCTTTTGCTCCTTTCTCCCACTTTCCATAAGCCAGTCAAAGTATTCAAGCTCCACATTATTCTAGCTGTAGAGACTTCTGCTCCAGATATTAATGTCTATAAAAATATTATCTCCCAGCAAAACCTTCCCTGTCTCTCAAAAGTAGGAAACATTTACCCATTCCTTTTGTATCTTCTCCCACTTAGTTGTGTGTGCCTCACGCAGGGGCTATGGCTTATTTACCCAGCTATCCTTTGCACACAGTATAATGCAAGATGCATAACAGCTACTAAGCAGTCAATAAACATTAGCTCCATGAACTTCCCCTCCAACATTTAGCTTAATATCTCTACATGCTAAATGCTGAATTTGTACTGATTGGCTGATATAAACTCTTAATTTGCCAATCATTAGAGGAAAAGCATTACTATCAAGTTTGCACCACTATTGTTTAGGCTATTATGTCTTCAAACTATTATAGCAAAATTCAGGCTATGCAACAAGCAGAAGCAAACATTAATGAGACAGTGCACTTGTGATACCAAAGCATTCCTCAGCCAACTGTCTTTTACTCTGCCTTTTACTCCCTGCTATAATCATTCAGTTAATATTTGCTAACCGATGAGTTGAATAGTGATGCATCATAAACAGTCTGATGACAGTACCAATTATAAAGACAAGAAAGGACCATGTGTTTATGTTCAGAAAAGAAACTGGCAAAGGCAGCATAGTAGAGGGGATTCAGCTGGGACTGAACTCAGGGTGCCTGATTATCTTGGCTAGTTCGCTATTCCACAAGTGTAAAGAAACCTATGGTGCTCATCCACCCTAGTGGAAAAGCATCTTTCCTACTGAAATTACCTTCCAGCTGCATAATGTCTGAACTATAGGGCTCTAAAAAGAGATTTCAACCCTTCGGTCAAGACTCCCTGAGCACCTGCTGTAACTCAGGTTCTATAATAAACAATAAAAGAATAAGATCTCAGACACTCACAGTCTAGTCTAAATGCTGGCAAACATTTTTTGTATAAAGCCAGATAGTAAATGTTTTAGGCTGTGTGGTCCATACAGCCTCTGTGGCAATCACTTTTGCATGCAGAGCAAAAGCAGCGTTAGAAAATATGTACACTATTAAATATGGCTATGTTTGGGTTGTAGTCTGCTTTATATACAAAATCAGGCAACTGACTGAATTTGGCCCACAGGGCGTAGTTTGCCAACTCTTGGTATTCAGGTACATTTTTTTAAATTGCAAAACAGTGAGCTGTATGTTGATGAAAGCTTCCCCTTGCATTTGCATAACATTTCATAATTTATGAAGCTATTTCATATATATTAGCTCAAAATTTAATCCCTCATACCAACCCTTTAAAATAGGTAGGTCTTATTATCTTCATTTTATAAATAAGAAAACTAAGGCTCAAATAAATTAATTTCCTTAAGTCATCATATAGGTAGAGATGGAGCTAAGATTTGAGCTTCCACCTTACAGGCGTAGATTACTAAATGCTCACCAAAACTTACTTCCTCTTCCTCCAGTGCACACAGACCGACTGCATTTTCCAGACTCCTTTGCAGTTGGGTGTGGCCATGTGATTAGGTTCTGGCCAGTGGAATTTGGGCATTGCCCTTTAAAACTTCCTCATAAAAACTGGCTAACATGATCCTCTGCTTTCTTTTCTCCTTCCATTTGGCCAGAGGAGGTACTCCTAGGGTAATCTTTTGGGTAACATGTTGACAACAGCAGAACCACAAGACAGAAGCAGCCTGGGCCGCTGAATCATCTCTTGGAAGAGAGCCACTCAAGCAGGAACACTTGTATTAGACTGGGAAAGCAGTAAGAAATGTGTATTAAGCCACTGAGATAGCTTTATCTGCATATTACTTTAGCTAATAGAGCCTGTGCCCAGGTCCAGTGTTGTTTGCATTCAACTATAGCCAAGATGCAAAGGATGAGTTTACCAGGCCAATGAGACAGAAGAGATCATATTTCAGAAGGGGACATTCAGGCAAAGCAAAGAGTGCTTTCAAGAAAGAAGAAATTGTTCTACATGGTTAAATAGTAAACTAGCAAGGTAGTGGAAGGAGAGGAGGCAAAGATAAGCACTGGGAAAGACCTGTGCCAACACTGCGGTAAAAGGACTTGGAGAGAACAAGAGACAGCAATTAGATCTGCCTCTAGCACACTCAATCTAAGGAAGAAGAGGCTGGAGGCAGGGAGACCACCCCTAGAGTCTGATCAGCCCCGGCCTCACCAGAGCAGAGCTGTGAGCCGGCAAAATATTTTCTTTATGTACCCTGATTTTTAAATAAATCTGATTTTTTCCAATTATAAATGTAATATATGATAATTACAAATGTATAAAGAAGTATGAAGAAGAAAATAAATCACAAATAATCTCATACTCAAAGATAACCAGTATTAATATTTCAGAGCATAAACTTCTGAGCTCATTTTACCTTTCTCTTTAGCAGATATGTTTAGGCATGAAGAAAAATGGAAATGTAAGATAATATTTTCAATTGACTATAACTATCAGCATCTTCTCATATCAATCACCATAGATATTCACATACTATTAGTAGCCTTGTGCACACAGTATAGATGTGCTATCATTTTTTAAAATCAATTGTCTACTAGTATATATTTAGGTTGCTCCCTTTTTCTTGCTATTACAAAAATTATTGCAATAAACTTACTTATACATTTATCTTCGTGCAAATGTACAAGCAATTTGACAGGACTAATTTCTGAGCCAAAGAGTTTTTCTACTGTCAAATTGCCCTCCAGAGAGATGGTACTAATTCAGATTCCCACTAGTGGTGTATAAAAGTGCCAATTTTCCCACACTTTTGGTGACATTGAATGTCATCTTTTTTTTCCTTTTAATTCTTTGGCAATCTGGTAAGGCAAAAACATATATATCTATCTCATTCTTTTAATTTTTGAAAACACAGTTACTCAAGTTTTTAGTTCTCTTCTTTGTATTTTAAAATATTCTCTCTGGTCTATGGATGATCCTAAACATATATTTATTATCTTTAAAGTTACAGTGTGTTTAATTTATACAACTGGGCTAAGTGAATAGAAGCAGAGTCATTTTTGGATTTGAAAGACTTAGTGTGAAAGAAGTTAACACAAATAATCACATGTTAATTCTCCTCAAGGGGTATCAAGGATGGTGGGTGAATTAGCATTGTCAGAATTGAGTAGATAATCTATTTCTGCTTTTATGTGCTCTAAATAACAAGCCAGGTACTCATTAAAATTAGCTAAGGATTTGTTTAAGTTATTGCTTCTTTGGTGTTTTTCACACCTTTATCATATGCTTGACTTATCTTTGGTTTTGGTTATATACTAGCTAGGGCAAAGGGTAAATATACAAGGAAGCTTAGAGAAAAAATATAAGTAGAAAACTAATATAGGTTGTCAAACCTGAGAAAAAGGAAATGATGAGACACAGATGAGGTGTGTGTGTGTGTGTGTGTGTGTGTGTGTGTGTGTGCATGTGTGTGTAAGACAGATACTAAAATGAGCAGGCATGTATTATTAGGACATATATTCCAAGGTAACATTTATTAAAGGCCTATGTACCAAGCACTGGACAAGACTTGTTATCCACATTATTTTATCTGATCCTCACAACTCTTTGAAGTGCACAGAATCCATATTTTTTAAATGAAAATGCCCAAAATCCATATTTTTAAATTGTGTGCCAGAGAAATTGACCAAGGGATTAGCCAAAAGCTCAGCCACTATTAGAACTTTCGCTTGTCTTTTGCTATAATTTTATTCCAAATTCCATACTCTCCCCCACTGTACACTAAAAAAATCCTGGATTAGAATTTCCAGTGCTCTCCCTGACACCAGTGTTCCTCTTCTCTCATGTAGGGGTACAAAGAAACAAATAAATGATAAAGTAAAAAGGGGAATGGGTTGCATGTGAGAATAAGGGATGGTCCCAGCAACTTTAATAAAGGAATAAGAAAATAAATTATCTATTGAGTATATGAGAAATTAAATTGAAGGGAATGTAACCTTAGAATAGTGTCAGAAAAGTCAGGAATAAATAAGTTCAGGATAAAGAAGTAGCACAATAAAATAATGGCATGAAAAAACACACATATTTGTAAAATGAAAATATTTCTAAAATGAAAAATAATAACTAGAAACCACATAATTATAAAACTGATTGGCTCAACTGAGAAATATTATGTCCAGCCCCTTAATCTTAACCTGCTGTTAAAGGAACACTTTCTCCATTGTGTTAATATTCTTAATAATCACATGCCAACTTCCCCACCACTTTTTAAATGCAGTAACCAAAACTGAACCCTTTCATCAAAAGAGTCACGTTGGCCAAGCGCGATGGCACATGCCTGTAATCCCAGCACTTTGGGAGGCTGAGGGGGGTGGATCACCTGAAGTCAAGAGTTCAAGACCAGCCTGGCCAACATGGCGAAACCCCATCTCTACTTAAAAAAAAAAAAAAAAAAAAAAAATACAAAAATTAGCCAGGAGTGGTGGCGTGTGCCTGTAATCCCAGCTACTCAGGAGGCTAAGGCAGGATAATTGCTTGAACCCAGGAGGCAGAGCTTGCAATGAGCCAAGTTTGCACCACTGCACTCCAGCCTGGGTGACAGAGCAAGACTCCATCTCAAAAAAAAAAAAAAAAAAAAAAAGAGTCACATCACCCAGCAAATACAAAGAGAATGCTAGTCAGGAACTGCTAACACTATTTGCAGTAACAATCAACAAGTTGAGAACTTTCATCTGTTTGTTGCTCTCTGTGAACCTCATCGGGGCTTCTGCCAAGCCTGCCAATATTTGCTTCACTTTGCTTTGTTTCTGTTCTTAATAACACTTACCCGAGCTTAGAACAAGAAAAAGCACTGGACTTAGAAAGATCCCCTAGCCCAACACAAGAGGTAGACAACTGACTCCAAGGTCTGACAGTTAATTCAGGTCAAAGCCAGATACAATCAACCATTGATTCTTATCTTCGTGGGCATGCATGGGGTTTTATAAACCAAATATATTCTAAATTGTATTTCTATGTAAAAAATAAGACGAATTGAGAAAACTAGGGAAAAGATGTCTAAAAACAGAAAGGACAACTGTGGAGAGATTACAACAAATAGGAGAGGGTGAGGGTTCAGAGGGGAAAATAAGAAACGTGAGCCTAGGCTGGGTGCGGTGGCTCACACCTGTAATCCCAGCACTTTGGGAGGCCAAGGCGGACAGATCACCTGAGGTCGGGAGTTCAAGACCAGCCTGGCCAACATGGTGAAACCTTGTCTCTACTAAAAATACAAAAATTAGCCAGGTATGGTGGCACACGCCTGTAATCCTGCTACTTAGGAAGCTGAGGCAGGAGAATTGCCTGAGCCCAGGAGACAGAGGTTGCAGTGAGCCAAGATCACGCCACTGCACTCCTGCCTGAACCTCAGAGAGAGACTCAGTCTAAAAGAAAAAGAAAAAGAAAAGCGAGACTAAAGAGTAGAATGGGATGGCTTCATTCTTCATCCATTGTATTCTTCCTTTGTCCCCTTGTGCATAACTGGGGACATAAATGGTGTAACTCCTTTCTGTTTACATGTGTGTGTGCATGTATGTACTACATGTACTGACATCTCTGGAAAAACACAAATCCACATGCCAAAATATCAACCACAGTTATGCCCGAGGAGTGGGCATCACCACTTGCTTTCATCCACTACTTCTTCAGAAAAAAAAAAAAAGGCATACATTTGTGGTCAAAAACAGTAAGTAGTAATGAGAGAATATGAAATAAGTTGAGAATGACTATACACAAAGATTAAATAGAGAACTGGCTAAGCACATTTTTTTAAATAAAATAAGAAACTTGAAGGCCAGGCACAATGGCTCATGCCTGTAATCCCAGCATTCTGGGAGGCTAATGCAGGAAGATCACTTCAAGCCAGGAGTTCAAAACCAGCATGGGCAACATACTGAGACCCCATCTCTAAAAAAATACAAAAATTAGCCAGACATGGTGGCATGCACCTGTAGTCCCAGCTACTCGAGAGGCTAAGGTGAGAGGTTCATTTGAGCCCAGGAGGTCAAGGCTACAGTGAGCCAAGATTGTGCCACTGCACTCTAGCTTGGACAACAAAATTTGTATGTTCTTATTCTCTCATTTTCTTAGTTAATTTTCTGGCCTTTTCATTTTTAAAACCATCAGTGAGAACATAAGAAAATAAGTTAGTAAATAAAAGGAATACAAAAATGAGAAAATAAGGAAGGTATAATATCATTGAAATTAAGATTAAAACCTCAAAATCAGAAAAATACTCATGGTGTGAGAGGCACCTGTTTACTAAGTCCAACTGAAGACCTGTCTCCTGTTCATACTGTTCATATTTCAACAAGTAGAAATAGGAAGGTGGAGATATGAAATGGCTCACACGATGTATAGTCTTCGTTCTCTTTTGTTGATCACATAAAAGTTTAATTTCTTTATGAGACCTACATCAATGGCGTAACTCCTTTCTGTTTACATGTGTGTGTGCATGTATGTACTACATGTACCAACACCTCTGGAAAGACACAAATCCACATGCCAAAATATCAACCATGGTTATGTCCAAGGAGTGGGAAAGGCAAGAAGAAAGTTCATTTTAGCATTTGATATAAATCAAGATTGCTTGTTTTTTTAAAACAGTCCTTGGGTATAACCTTAGACATTCAAAATAAAACAAAGAAAAAAGATTATCAAGGGCAAATGATGAGCTCAGACATAAAGATGAAATGCAAAGAGAAATTATAAAAGAGGAATGAAATTGTCCTTTAAAGCTGCCTTTTATTTCATTTCTTCTTTTCTCATTTGATTTTATTTCACCATCTGGGGAAAGAGGGTTGCCTCAGAGCCCTGCTTGTATATTTTCTCAAGTTTTATCTTTATACATCCTCCCTGATAAAACTGAAAATATTCACATGGATTTTAAAGAAAAGCAAGAAGCAAGAGGTCACTGGATTAGACGAAAACCTTATGTAACACACATATGCAACCATGACTTATTCTTTAAACAGATCGATAGAAATAATCATTCACCTTTCTTTAGAGAGACAGCTGAAGTAACTCTAGCTCACTCATGGTAGCTTCTGTTTTGCTGACAAGTAATTAGAGACAGTTACAGATCATTTGTCAAAACTTCAATGGGTAGGGTTCATGGCCCTGATCTGAACCAATTTCTCAAGCAGATGACAAGACCCTTTCCCTTGGGCTGTGTAATCTATCTTTCATAGCATTTCTAGACTCTTTTTCCCAAAATACCACTTTTACATCACCCATATACTCCAAAACTTACCATGTTCTCACCTTGCTCTTTAGATCCAGCACAAACTCCTCAGGGAGATATTAAAAACACGGCTAACCATTCTTACCCCACTGCTTCCCTGTGCCAAACCCTGTGTAACCTACCATACTGTTCCCCTTTCCATCTCGCACTCAGGAAGTATATATTTGCAGGCCCATTTATTCCAAGGAATATCAGGCCAACCTGTCGGCTGGGGAAAGGCATATGCACAAAGGAGGAGATGTTAAATGGAGATGTCTTCATAGAGACAGAGAACCTTTTACAAAAACAGGCAATCGATTGCTTCCTGCCTATGTATCTTACCACCTCTAACAAAGTAATAACATTTCTAAGAGAGGGAACAGAGCTGCAAGTCCAGGTTCCAAAGTCAGCCAGCAGGATTCAAATGTCAGCTCTACCAGTTACAGCTGACCTAGAGCAAGTTCTTTTCTCTCTCTGCACCTCAGATTCCTTGCCTCTAAAATGAATATAACTATATGCACTTCACAGAGTTATGATGAAGATTGCTAGTTGCCAAAATTAGTAGTAGGTACTCGATTTTTTTTCTAATGAATTTGATCCCAACATTTGCTATAGAAAACTATAGAATCTGTCCTTTTCCTCTGATGCTATGTTCTGAAGCAGTAACCCTAATCAAAATAACTTAGGCGGTTACTTTGATGAGCATTTATATAGTCACAATAATGTAAATGTAAGTAATCACAGTAATGTGAACTTTGTTTATTGATATTAAACTTTTAAAGTCAATCTATGATCAAAACATAGGAGGAGTGATTCTGAGTATAGAAAAAGAATGAAAAAATAATTATACTAAGAGAAGTTAGGAGGGATAAAAGAGGCAAAGGTTTGGCAAAGGGAGAGTGATGGTCACTAGGTAGAGTAATCCAGCTGGCAGAGCAGGAAACCAAAATGTAAGTGAATTGTTAAAACTACAGGGATAACCAATACAGTAACCAAAGAGGACATGGGGCAATATAAGTGAGCTATTTCTCATCTATCATAGAAGAAAATCAATAATTAATATCAAAAGTTGAGAAATCAATAAGTGGCAGTGTAAGTGCATCAGTTGGAGATATAAAAGTAACACTAAAACCCTACAAAAAGGAAAGTAAAAGAGTTAAAAGTAATTTATTTGGAAAGAGGCGAAGAAGGCTGAGAAAAAACTGTATTTTTCGTTAATAGTTCTATAATATTGTGTTTAAATTTTTCAACTTTTTAAATTAACAAGGCGTAACAAAAAACTCTATTCACAATACCGACTAAAATCATAAAAATAAACCTACCAGGAAATGTGAACAACCTACATGAAGAAAGCTCTAAATCTTGACTGATATAATAGAAGGACCTAAGAGAAAACGTAAAATATGATGAATCCTACTGTGTTCCTGAAAGGGGGAATCAATGTCTTAAAGTTGGCAGTTCTCCTGAGTTAATCTATAAATGTAATGTAATTCCAACCAAAACCCCAACTAAGTGACTTCTGGAACTAGACAGGCAGTTCTAAAATTTATCTGGAATACAAAATACATGAAAAGAGCCAAAAATTTCTGACTAAGAACAATAAGGGAGAACTTGCCCTCACAGATAATTCAGAAATAAACTAACAGCTCTGTAGAACAGACTAAAGCACACAACATTACAGGTATCACCTTCTTCATTAAATAGGGAAACAGCCATATTCCACAATGTGAAACACCAAGAAATGGCCACAGACCTTCCTGCCCTAATGTTACATTTGGACTGATTATGCAAGCAATATGACAACATTCAAACCAAATTCCTACAACCTAGGAAAAGTTGAGGAGGGGTTCTCTAACTTCTTGGAGAAATCATTTTTTGTTTGCCATAAAAGAATAGGATACTCATAATTAGGCACAATTCTGTCTAGTGGACAAGAGGTCACGACCTTACTAAGAACAGAAGTGTTAAATTTCTTATCAGGCAATGACTTTCTTGTAACTAATTTATCCCAAATACAAGGCAGTGACTGAATAACAAGTGTATGCAGAAAAAGCAGCAGTTATGAATTCTACAGCAGCTTTGATCAGGGGCAAAGGACACCAATGTGGACTTGAGAGCCTAATGTTTTCTTATGAAAGATCATCTTAGCTAAGAAACTTGAATAAAGACCATTGTTTCCTCAACTATTTACTGCAACAGCTTTCTGGTCTCCAGTGCTCCAGCCTCACCCGTTCCACCATCAGTCTCCAAACTGTTGTCAGAGAGCTCTTTCTAAAACTCAAATCTGATTATTCTCTCCCCAGCTTAAAACCTTCTGTTGCCTTTTTTTTTTTTTTTTTTTTTTTTTTGGTAATAATGTCTAAATTTCTTAACCTGGATTACCAGGTCTTTATTATAACACCTGGTCCTTGCTACTCCTTCAGCTTCAACCCTTGCTTATACACCTGACATCATCCTCATCATATTTCAAGGCTCAGTTCAAATGTCACCTCCAGAAATCCTTTGCTGACTTCTCCATACTCAGGTACCACTGGAATGTTCCTCTATTACAGTATTACTGTTATTACAGTAATATAAGCATGTTTGTGCACTATACCAGAAGTTACTACAAGAGAGCTAAGTTCTTTTTATTCATCTTCATATCCCCAACCAGCACCTTGTAGATAAAGCACATGGTCTATCTCTATTAATTGTACCCATTAATGATTAGCAGTTGAGAATTCCACAAGAAGCTCTCCATTTTCCTCCCTAAAAAAAACAGCCTGTACAAAGGATTCAAATGACATAGCATGAGCAAAATCACAAATATCTAAATGTAGCAACTTCTAAAAGAAAAAAATCTGTATGACTGAGAAGGGTAGATACAGCTCTCATGATCTGGGAATTGGATGGCTCAATTCCAGCCACAGATCTGTTACACGTCTTCAAGAAAATTATGCAGTCTCCCTATGACTATTTTTTCTTCTTATAAAAGAATGAGATTGCTATGGTTTCTTCCTGCTCAGAAATCTAGGACTCGCTCTTACGTTGACATCTACCCTTCCATCAGGCATTCGTACACAGCATGCACACTGCTGGCATGTAGGCTATACTAGGCCATGGGGGAAATTAGTAGCAGATGGTACCAAAGTTCTAGGTCAAAGTGTATTTACTGTCATCCCAGAACAAATATGATTTCTTTTCATTAAAGTATATGAAATATACATTATCCTTATTTGTACAACTATACCATCTTACATATCTGGGGTCCTTTTCTATCTTTCAAATGCTTTCAGAGACCAGTAATTCTTACAACAACCTTGTGAGGTAAGCAAGAAAGTAGTATTATCTCTTCTTACTAAAAAGGAAATTGAGGTTCAGAGACACAACAAGATGATAAAAACACCTTCCTTACATGCCTCAAGCTTGCTCCTGCTTCTAGTTTTATGTTGCAGTTCAGGTCCCTACGTCTTCTCAGTGTTGTTCAGAATCACTAAGATGAGCTTTAGTGCATTACATGAAATTCTAAGGTAAACAACAACAATAACAATAATTTCCTAATTATATACACAAATACAAAATATAGGAGCAAACATGGGCTTTATACTTCATGGTCTTCCTGCCTCCGAATAAACATTCCTCAACTTTGTACTCCAGTCAATTGAAGCCACTCCACTAATGTTACTGTTTAACAATGCAACTCAGATTTCATGATATTTCAGAATCTATCAATTTCACACACTCAGATATAGAGTTGATCTGCATAATTCAAGATGTTCCTTTTAAAATTGATCTGGAAATCAGAAGAAAGATTTTTTGAAAAATAGTCTTGCTACCAACTGAAATGATTTTAATACCAAGATGGCTAGTCAGTAATGAAAATTTTTCATTCAGCAGAATAAAATCACTAAGATAAATAATAGAAAATCTATTAAATAAAATATGAAATATTTGCTCAATGAAAAATCTCTGGTAAGACATCTGTATGTGAAAACATCTACCTTGAAACAAGACACCTTACATTCATCAACTTTGAAAGCTTATATGAGTAGGAAAATTATATCAAATTTCCACTATGTTTAAGAATTAAAGCTCTATTTTAAATTTAAAGATCATCTTATGTGGTAAAGGTAATAGAAGTCACTTTCATCATTACTTCCATAATGTGTAAAGCAAGACGACCCTGATAGTATGCTGTGCAGTTCAATTTACTCCTACATTCTGCATACATAAGAGTTTCCAAACATATTATAAGACAAAACTCTAAATGGAAATCCTTCTGACAAACTGCATGTTAAGTAAGCCAAATCCTTCCCTATTTCTGTATGAAAGCTTCTTCCCAGGCTTAGAAAACTCAGGTATACTCAAGAAAATCTCAACCATGGTACAATTTATGTTTTGAATAAAAAGCAAACATCAATGCTGGTACTGGGAACATGGCACATTAAAGCTGAAACCATAAACTAGCAACAATCTCCAGACAGGCTTTCAGATCAGCATTGATGGGATAAAGTTACATTTGAGTAGACGCATATGAATAACCTGAAATGACAGACAAATTTCAGTTTGAAGGTAACTTTAGAAGACATTTCTTGACATGTCATTTATTCTGTCTGACCAGGAAGGAATAATTCTTATAATTCAAGAACAATCTCCATAGATTTTCAATTTCTAATCTCCTAACTCATACTTTAAGATGTTTTTCTCATGCTCCTGGAGCTGACAGGCTGTAAGAACATGATACATGGATCCTGCCTCCATTTTATCTGTGCTAAATACTTCTGCCATTCTATTTTATAGAGCTAATTATTTTTACTATCCCTGACTAGTTTTAATTGATACAAATTGGGAATCATTCTCTCCAGATTATTGTAGAAAGTTAAAATATAGCTTTATTCATCATTATTCAAACTGAACAAGACTTGACAATGTTTCAGTTAAAACCTACTGTTCATAAATGTCAGACAAATGAAATTTTTAGGCATGTCTGTATCCTGACTTATAACCTAAGAATACAAATTATTTTCTCACTGACCATTTTAATATAATGATATACTTTCAGTTTGCCAGCATGCAAATTCTACTCTTATAAAAGTCTACATTTATACGAAAAAAACACTTCTGCCTAAACAAAAATACTTTGTTACCTCATTTCATACTGAAATATAATAAATATGTTCTGAAGAATTCAAATAAATATTTAACTTAACTAAACATGAAATAAAATAAATGTTTACCATCTTTTACTAGGACTATTACACTTACCTTAAAATTAGTAGTATGAGTCTTACCTTTTTCTGGACTTAAGTTTTTATACACTTCAAGGTCTGCCATTAAATTTAATACTATTACACATTATTGGCAAGAGCAGTACAATTTCTCTCTAAAGGCAAAGCCTTTTCCTGATACACATTTCCAAAAAGGGTGGGGGGAAAAAAGGCAAAGAAATCCTTAGCAGCCCCCAGAACTTGGCTCATGCTGCCCTTTATGGCATGATGAGATCTTCACAATTCAGGCTTTATAGTGTGGAGAAAATAAATCCATGAGATATGATTATAGAACTTTGTCCCAAAGTGAAAAGCACAGCCAGATAAGCACGCTGGAAGCATCTGCTCGGGGCTGCCGCTATTGTGGGAATGCAGGCGCTGTGGCTACTTTGGGTATGAGACATGCATGCTTCGTGCAGCGCGTTAAAGCCCTCAAGGCATTATGCACATTTAATGTCTGGGAAGTGTAGGTCTTTATCCATCAAAGAAACCCTCCTCACCTTCAGAGGTCATTGAGAAACACTGATTACCGTGGGAGTGACGCAGACTGAATACAGAAAATGAACATGCACACACAGAGACACAGAAGCACACACACAGACACACACTCTCAGAAGCAAACATCACTCCATCGGAGGCAAACACAATCCATTAAGAAATAAGCTACGACTGCCCTATAGGCTACTTTTGTGCAAGTCAGGTTAAGTGCATATTCAAAGCGTTGAGGGTTTTCCTTGTTTTTTTGTCCTGATTTTATTCACACACAAACATAGCAATGATCACAGAAAAGACTGGAATGTTTCCAACTTAGAAGGAATGAGGTTACAGTTTGAAAACACTTACTCGGTGGAGGCTATTTCTCATGTTTAAAAAAAAAATCACATGCCTGTGGACGTGGACAAGGTAGACAGCATGAATGGGTCTAAAAAAGTCAGTTTTTAGTGAATGAAACCACACATTATTATAGTGCAATTTTCCCTAAAGTCTATGTAAACATTATTTGCAACTTTATTCAACTTCTTTGAAGAGATAGGTAGACAGACAGACACATAAGCAGATACAGTAGCAATTTACAGTAGTCTTGCATTGAGGCATTGTAACTAAGCCTCTCATCCTGAGTATTAACTCTCTCATTCCAGCATTCCCTTTCTAATATCGACCCTATTGCCATTTTCTTCTCCCAGCTTCAGCTGTCCCTCACCCACCTGTGGCCCTTAGGACTCCCAGCATCTCCCATTCTGCATATACCAGTGTCAGGCCCTTTAGGCAATTCCCACCAGGGCCACCCAGCCTAGATTGCTAACTCATCCCTTGATTCCAAGGTGCCAAGCTCTATCCCAGATCCAATTCACCTGTGTCCCAATTTGCACATCCCCTGCCCCAAATTGCAAACTACACTATTTACTTTCAAATACTCTAGGGAAACTTGGATTTCAAAGGTATATGTGGGCACACACAATTAAATACATGATGAAAATATCCTTCTTGCAAGATTCAATCTACCATACATACATACATCACTATACAAAATAGCCATTAAGAGTTTAGGAGCCTATCTGCCTAGGTTCAAAGACTGACTCTGCCACCAACTAGCTGTGAGACTTTGGGCAATTTACTTAAATTCTCTGCTCCTCCATTTCCTTATTTGTACAGTGGGCATAGTAATAGTTTCTACTTCAAAATGTTATTGCAGTAATTAATTTAATACACATAAAGTGCTTAGAATCACAATTATATATTATTATTGTTTTACTATTATTAATCTTGAAATTCTTTACATCAACCCAGGAAAGGAGTGGACTTCATTGCTTAATCTGAATTAATTAGTGGTCCGAACACAAGATGGCACCCCAAAATGTGACATATCTGAGAAATACCCATTCCTGCTAAATAATCCAAGTATTTAATACTCCCAGATAATTTTATACAAAAAGACAATGGTGTTTTCTTAACACAAAATTGGTAACACCAAGTAACGAATATCTCGTTCCTTTGTCTGCCCAGAACCAAACATGCCCAAAAAGCAAGAGGCATCTTGGGTTTATCTCTTGCTCGGTCCTGAAAAGAGGTGAAGACCAAAGCACTCCCAGCTCCCAAGAAGTTTTGGAAAGGCTTCCTTCCAAAGATCCCCCTCCCCACTCCAATCTGGGGTCAAGAAAGAGGAAGGGGACAAACTTTTTATGTGCTCACTTTACCCACTGGGAGTCTTGCTCATAATAAGTTTTTCATCCCTCTCACCTCTTGCTCCTGAAGCCCCAGGCTCCTCCCTGAAAAGGCTGACATGCAGGATTGGATATGGAGCCCAACCACACAAGCACATGGCAGGTTTATTCTGAGTGGCTCTGGGGCACCGTTGAGGGCCAAGCCACTTACCCAGGGGGAGCACATAGCAGCTTCATAGGGCAGGTGGGCAAGCTTTTAAAAAGCAGCCATGGCCCATAAGTGTCTGTTTGACCACAAAGGAGCACTCACAGATTTTTGAGAGCCTAGAGATATCTACTTATTATTAAATATCCAATTCTTCAGCAGTAGCAAATAACCTCCTATGCAGCCCATTCAAAAGAATCATAAAACTTATAAACACCTATCCTGAAGTTGGCAGAGACACTGAATGAATAACCACATCTCTGAAATCACTCCCCTGTATTCTCCCAACAGAAGGTCATGTACGATGTCAAAACTAGGCCAACAGACTTTGGGGACAATGGTGCTTCCTCTGATGGGTCACCTCAACAACCTTACAGCCTTAGAATCTTTAATTTCTTAACTGGAACCCTCATTTGAAAAGTCTGGGCCTTTTCCAGATTCGTTCTAGCATAGTACTTGGCATACAGTAGGTACCTTATAGACCCTCATCAACTTTCTCCATTTTTAATCATTAGACCTAACATGGAATTACCTTCACCAATCAGGTGAAAAATAAAAAACAATATTTCTGAGTTCAGCTTCTAAATTTACAATCAGTGAAGGACTTTACACCTCATCTGACAGCATTTCCCTCATCTTTCACACCTGAGTTCTACTTCTGATTTCTTAAAGAAACATCATAAAGTGTAATAGGTAAAAGCAATGGTTTCCATGGAAGATGGAGAAAGATGTAAGCCCCAGCCTCTTCCTTGATTCACTGCCTGGCCTTGGGTCAGTTATGGGTAGGGTTGTCATATAAAACAAGACACCCAGTTAAATTCGGATTTCAGAGAAACAACAAATAATTTTCAGTATAAGTATGTCCCATGATATACTGTATTTTTTCTTGCTAAATATTTTCTGTATTTTTTTCCTGTATTTTTACTTGCTGTAATATTCCTGTATTTTTTCTTGCTAAATCTGACAACACAATGGGGGTGGTGGGGAGGGCTGGTGCTCTCTAAACCTGTAAGCCTAAATATCCTCCCCTGGCAATGGCAGTACCTACCTCAGAGGGCACTGCTGAAGAGTAAATGGGTGGTAGAGGCCAAGGGCCTAGCCCCAGTGGCTGGAAAAATAAATACTCCATAAATAGAAGCTAATGCAGTAAGTGAATGGCCACTCCAATCACTGGCTTGATATAACTTCATTTAACCAAGTCTCAATGTTTAAAATGTTCTATACAACCCTCCCCCCACACCCCAACCTCACCAGTCATATAATTCTAAACTGAGATAAACTCGGAGTGAAAACATGGTGCATATCTGCCCTTAGGGCTCACAAGTCCAATCAGAAAACCTACTGACGCAAACCTAGGAACCATGTCACTTAATGAAACATTATTATAAAAGCTACCATTTACCAGACACCACTATGCAAATATTATCTTCCCTAATCTTCATGAAAATTCTGCAAGGAGATATATTAGTATCCACATTTTAAAGGTAAGAAAACTGAGATTCAAGTCTGAGAAGATGTCCAAGATCACACGGCTGTGATGAACCAGAATTCAAACCCAAGCTGACTCCAGATTTGGGCCCTTTCCCCTGGCTCTGTGCTTTAGGTCCTGGAAACCATGTCTAAAGTTTTAGGCCTGATATCGAAATTCCTCATGTTTTTTTCCCAGCTAGAAAATATTCCCACACAATGCCAGAAGCTGTTAGTGTCTCTGGCATAGAAACACAGAAATGCTTTAAAAAATAAATAAATAAATAAAAATAGTCGGCTGGGCGCGGTGGCTCACGCCTGTAATCCCAGCACATTGGGAGGCTGAGGAGGGCAGATCACAAGGTCAGGAGTTTGAGACCAGCCTGACCAACATGGTGAAACCCCATCTCTACTAAAAATACAAAAATTAGCCGAGTGTGGTGGCGTGAACCTGTAGTCCCAGCTACTCAGGAGGCTGAGGCAGGAGAATTGCTTGAACCCGGGAGGCAGAGGTTGCAGTGAGCCGAGATCATGCCACTGCACTCCAGCCTGGGTGACAGAGCGAGATTCTGTCTCAAAAAAAAAAGTCAGTAAAGCCATAGTATCACATTAACTTAAAGCATATTCACAGTTTTCATCACAAAATGGAAAGTAGGGGAAAAGCAAGTATAGGGTGCAGCTTCGCCATTGAGAGCCTCCAGTCACACCCAGCTACCACTTCCTAAGACCTATCCCACATACAGGTACCTCAATTAAGGGGAGGATCTCACAGGAACTTTCATACTCTGCTGTTAAGTTGTACATTGAGAGCATAAACTGTAACAAACTTAATGAAGTCATCAGGCAAGATGCAGCAAGATTTGTAAAAATGGTTATGCTTATTTTAGTCAATAATCATTGCTGCTAGAAAGCTACCATAAGGAAATCATCAGAAATATAAAAATCTATATAGAAGGAAGTATCCTTTCCTTAACATTTGTTATAATAATTAATAACTCTCAACTGTCTAATTGTCTACCAAAAAGGGAATGATTGACTTAAATATACATTCACATTTTGGAATACTGTCTAACCATTAACGATGTCTGTAAGACATTGCAATTACCTGGAGAATGTTTGACATACTAAGTGAAAAAAGGAGGATACAAACTAACTACTAATTAAAGGAAAAAAGGAGATACAAACTAACTACTAATGTTACTTTAAATACGTAAAATATAGAATATAGACATATAGAATAAATCCTATAAAAACATATGAAAAAAATGTTATCAGAGGTTATCCACAGCTATCTCTAGGTGTTTTACTTTCTTCTTTATATGTTACTATATTTTGATTATTTAGAACCAGCATTTATTTCTTTTATACTCAGAAAAAAATAACATTATTTTTTAAAAGTGTAGCCAGTTTAGTAACACTAAACTTAGAAAAAGAATATAATCTCTTCCCACTAATATAATATGGAAAACTTGCTTTGAGGCTTACTAACATTTATGAAGCACTTTACTATGTTCCAGATACTGTTCCTAGCATTGCACATGCCTTATTTAATCCTTACAATGCCCTTTTGAGTAGATTAGGTACAACCATTTCTCTAGTCTCAAATGTGGAACCTGAGGCAAAAAGCACTTACATAACTTCCCCAAGATGGCACAGCAAGTCTGTGATAGACCTGGGCTTTGAATCTCCACAGAATGTCTCTAGAATCAGTGATCTTCACCAGATAAGGTAATACGGAGATCTTGAGTCACTTATTGCCTTCAGTCTCTCTTTTTTTATCTGAATGTCTCACAGAACAATGAACAGAGCAACCAGAGCTTAATTCCTTTTAGGAAATTTCACTGTGCACTCAACTACAGAGGAAACCCAAAATCATTGCTATAAGTTATATATCAAAATCACCAATGTAGCTATGCAAACACATGAAACCTCAACAAGAATTTTCCAATCTACATGCAACCCCAAAGGGCTAGATGCAGGGAAACTCCCAAGTGGATGGTCCAGGAAGATGTTCCCAGGATGAGCAAGCACATTTCCTTTCCATAAAATAGGGGGGTTTTTTACTACCACTGAGGCATTGTCCTGTCTGAACCCCTGCTTAGTCTTAAGCTGTTCCAGAGTACTCTGGAGACAATGGGCACTAATCTTTCATCAAAATCCCTTGACCACTCAGTCATCCTTACTCAGCTAGCTGTCCTGGGCAATATCTGGTTCTGAAGCAGAGGGTAGCACTATCCATTATTTGGCCTGTGCAAATCACAGAAATAAAAAATGAACTAACTGAAGGGTTAGACTTTAGCCTCTGAGTGTCTGCTAATAATCTATGGGACAAACTGGAAATATGCTTTCAGTTTTTATTTACAATGGACTCAACTCACTAAAGATGTAGTCAATGCAAACTTTGAGTTAAATGAATGAGAGAAGGTAGAGATCATTTATCAATTCAAACAAGCCCAGCATAGTTCATGCCTTTGGCCTATTCATCATCAGTACATTTGAGGAAATTGCTATTATATGAAGCTCAGAAAGCCCCATCAGGATTGCTTCAGAAAATTGCTGCAACTTTTATATTAAACCCCAAGGAACAAAATGGAATGCTACTCTGAGTTCATATACAAAGGAAAAGGCACTTCACAAACAAAAGTGTATGCAATGTACCTAAATGCTCAATTAAGGTAGTAATTACAATCTCATCAATCCTATGTGATGCTTTATAAACTCTACACCTTACGAAGTCCTCTAGGAACACATACCCCACATGAGCCTGACAGCAACTACAGGAAGGCAGAGAGGCAGAATTATCATTCTGCATTTGCAAAAGAGGAAGCTGAGCCTCAGCAGCTCCCTATGAATGTGCCCAAGATCACAAAATTAGTCAGTGGAAAAACTGGGCTTTCTAATCCAAACACAGTGCTCTTTCCCCACACCAGGCAAACATGCTTAAAATATTATTGCCAGCAAGAATTGCTAGACAACAGGATAACAGAGTATAACCAAACACTTAAATTGCAAACCCAGTGTATTACAAAAATTTTAGCTGAGAAGAGATGAAGACCTGTAGGGGAGCAGGTTTCCATCCAATGCTTGCTGAATAAATGCTGAGAATAGCCTACACAAGTGTTTTACTCAGAGAGCAGGCTTATTGTGAATGTTTATTCATCACTGGAGAGATATAACTCTATATTCTAATGAGACAGAACATGTCCTATAGATCACACACACTTGTCAAATAAACCAGTTTGGATCTCTCCTGCATTAAAAACCTGACATGCATCAGTGGACAGTAATTGCTACACATTTTTAAGCATCTGAATCTCAAAACAAACTGAGTATAACCCATATTTAATTTTGCTATGTTCCACAGGACAGAGATGAGCCACTCATTAGCCTGACTGCCTCTTTGAACGCTGCCTGCTTGATGACTTATTGATCTCCCCTTCGAGACTCTTGGTTTTCATTATTTTTTGAAAGACTTGATTGTTTATTGGTCATGTCACTTTAAATTTTATAGGTTAGCATAAAAATTTGTAGGCACATCACTGTCAGCTTGATGAAGATGTCAATATAATTGAAAATAAAATCTCTCATAGACTCAGAACTTGATTTCAACTTGAGCAATCCATGAAAATAACCAAGACCTCGTGGGCAAGATTTTATACACAGGTGCTATAAGAAACCCAGGAGCTTGCAGCCAGGGAACACTAAAGCACACTGAACTATCTTTGGTAATGACTCAGAAAATGTAAAATTCTGATTGACATTTGGGTGCCATGAACTCATATCCAGCTATAAATAAAAGTACCCAGACTTTGTAAATCAGCATCAGCTATTTGAGCAGCTACCATCAGTGCTGATCAGTGTTAATCATAACATTAACAGAGGAGAATTAACTAGAGATAGGTAGTCACACGGGAATCTCTCATGGTTGTTGACAGTGACATATATTAAAACAAATATCTGTCCTGAGGACTGAAGCTTTAATTAAATTCTCAAAACTTACTTAGTCATATATTCAAACTCCCCTACAGTACTTGGGATGCACTTTCCCCTGAACAGAAGCCCCTTTACCTCCTTCCTTGGGAGGTGGAGCTGGATGACTAGAGTGGAAATGTCCAGAATAAATCCTAAGTGCTTGTATTCTCCAGCACTCCAGCTAAATGAGGACTGTTTGGTTGTATAATAACCACACTTGGACGTACCTGATATCTTAATACAGGATATTTTATCATGCCTTAATCTGCCATCTCTGAGTCTAATAAAAGGTAAATGATATTATCTGCCCAGGCATGGCTTGACTTACAGCCAATCAAATAGGGATTACAATACATGCATTCAAATAGGAGATACGCATGGTCATCATAACGCAAACCCCCTACCCCCTTATCCAGCAATACTGAGCCCTGGGACACTACATATACAGACTGGTCCCATAAGGAAAGCAAACATAGAGATAACCATAAATTGGGGGAAGCGGGTAGAGAGGAGAAGATGATTCTAGATTATTGAACACAACAGCCACATCTCTGGGAAGTCTCTTCAGGCCACCCAAACTCAAAGGCCTGACTAAAGAGAGTTCAAACTTCGAGGCTGCCTCAGAACCACCAGGTCACTTCAACCTGAGCAGAATTCAGGGTTGTTTGCTCTGTACAACCAGAGACTCTCCTGAGAACAGGAAACGGGTCTCCAAGGGAGCGGGATGGCCATAAACTCCTGAAGGACTGGAAGGGGAATGCCTCCTCTGAAAATCTAACCCTGTAATGTCTGAGGAAGACATTTTATTAAAAAAAAAGATGACCTTTAGAGAAAGGATGCCCTTAAATGGTTGAGGCAGGGAGACCTCACTCCTCTTTCTAAAAGAAAACCAAGGAAAGAGATTGTACTGGCTCCTCCGGTAACAATTTTCAATACGTTACAGCTCACAGTACTATCACAACAGTCTAAATTCCTAAACTAAATTACTCTACAGAAATGAAAAATCAACTCCTTTGTCTCTCCCTTGATGAAAGAGAAAGTAGCTCTTCTCCACAACTTCAGCAGTACAATTTTACACATACTAATAGTTTTTGCAGTGTCTCCTTACCTCTTTAGCCTTTCTTCTCATATTATTTCCCCCTAACAGTACTGATTTATTAATTTTGCATTCTGCCTAAGACAACAGAAAAATAGACACAGAAACAAGGAGGAACATAATGTAAATTCCTTGAGAGCTAGAACAATGAATGTCTTGCTCCCTGATGTATCTCCAGGGCCTAGAACGGACCAGAAGAGTAGTGAGTACCAGGAAGGCCTGAGCACAGAAGACCCACCCAGATCCAAACTCAGATTCTGGATAGTTTTCCAATTGTCGGAAGACACTGGGCATAAAGCAAGACTCAGATCCCAAAGGATAACAGAGGGACTCCAAAAGCTGGGAACATGAAGAAAACCAGTTGCTCAATTGTGAGATACGGTAAGGGTAAGTGAGGGGATGATGGCATGTAGCCTTTTCTCTACAAATCAGGGAGAAGATTAAGGTGGCAGCTACTAATGGACAGTTCCCTTGGATGAAAATTATCAACTTATTAAAATTTTCCAAATGGCCTTCTGGTTAACACTTCAGCCTAGTGATTTAGGAAGAGAGAGAGCAACTGTGGTACCAAGGGAAGGCAGAGCTCCTTAGGAGAAAAAGAGAAAGGAC
This sequence comes from Homo sapiens, assembly GCF_000001405.40. NCBI lineage: Eukaryota > Metazoa > Chordata > Mammalia > Primates > Hominidae > Homo > Homo sapiens. The sequence continues at coordinate 155,685,484 of NC_000003.12, forward strand.
AAGTCAATTCCAAATCCAGAAATAATTTAACTCAGTGGAAGAAGAGTTAAGGGGCATAAAGTAGTTGGAGACGATGTGACAGTCAACAGATAAGCAATCAAAAAGACTTCAATTCAAATCCTGGTTCTACCAGTAACTTAACAATCCAAGCCAAGCTATTTTAAATCTCTCTAAGCCTCAGTTTCCCCATCCTCAGCAATATCTATAATAACAGATGCAAAAGTTCCTAGCCCAGCATATAAGTGCTTTAAGCAGGATGAGCTACATAATCTGCTGGCCCTGTATGAAATGAAAACATGGAGACTTTTCCCCCTCAATTATAAAGAATTTCAAAATGGCAACAGCAAAGCATTAAACCAAGCACAGGGCCCTTCTAAGTCACAAACACACAAGAGGCTTGGCTCTAACCCTAAGAACTTGGTAGGATTTACAAAAATATTTTTCTCCATGTTTTTTACTTTCCTCTCCCAGGTTCATTTCCCTGTAGAGACCAGTTGAAAAAACATCTTTCAGAAACCAAGGACATTAAAGGGACTTATGAATGTTAAATTTACTTAAGTTGATAATTATACCATGGGGCAAAGGGCCATGAGGTATGCAACTTATTCTCAAATTATTCAGAAAAAATAATCGTGTGTGCGTGCATGCATGCGTGTGTGTGTATAGAAAGAGAGTGTACAAGTACACAATGATAAAGCAAACTGGATAAAAGTTAACATAACATAAAGTCCCATGTGTGGTTGAGGGGAAGAAGAGGGAAGGAAGTGCAAAGAGGGGCAAGACTGTAATGTAAGCTCCTTACAGACAGGGGCCATTTGTAGTTTGTCAACTGTAGATCCCCAGCATAGAATCTAAGTCAATAAATATTTAAAGCATGAAGGCAAAAAGGGAGCAATATCCCTTGTTCAAACTAGCTTGGGGAATAAGGACCCATGGAAGGGACAAATGATTGATTGTTATGGCAGTGCTTGGGAATCAGCAAGCTGCTCTACTTAGAATGAGACCAAGGAATTTTTGAAGCTGTGGACATGAACACACGGTGTGGCATGGTAGGTACCTCACAATGCACCCATATTGCTCAGGGACTCAGTTGTCACCACTTTCTAACAGTTAGGTTAGGTTTAGACCCACCTTCAGCCCATCACTGAACCTTTCCCAGCCTCAGCATCCTCACTGATCAAAAGTGAGATGTTACTGATTCATCAATCAAATACTTACCAGGCATCTCCCATATGCAAGGCTCTAAAGTCACATTCCCTATTCTCTAGAGCTCTCATTCTAGAAGGGGTCTCAGAAACTGGTGGCATTAAATATTTTCTTGAGGTCCTTGAAGTCTTTCCCAGTTCTGAAAATTCTATACAAAAACTTGGGGCTTTCTATTTAAAAAAATGAACATGAACCTTATAGTATAACCACTCTCTAAAATACTCGCAGTAAATGTATACTCTCCTAAAGGTGAAAGTGTACTAGAAATGCCCCTTGTTTATTAACTTAAAATAATCTGTACACATAAGGCAATAAAATGCTTGACAGCATATATAATAAAGCCTTCTGTCAATAGTCAAATTAGTTTTGGCTGCCAAAATTCTTGCTCCTTGATAAGTCACTCAAATAGCAAGAATTTCAAAAATGTAGCAAAGCTCTTTTGCTAGAAAAGACATTATGGAAGATAGAAATACTTTAAAAGCAATAAATTTATCAATGAGAGAAATAATGCTGAAGTATAGATTAATGATTAGTATTAAAATAAAAACATCAAAAGTATTTTAATTTTCTGCTTCAATAGTCCTCCTCATTCATAGTCGACTAGCACAAAAATGGTTTCAAAAGCTAATTTTGTTAAAGACCTTGGAAAAAAGAAAAAAGAATTGCTCCTTCATGAATACTAAAGATGATAAAATAGGAAACCAATAACATTTTATCACTTTATATAAATTAATCTAATTTAGAAATAATTTAGTACTATGATTTATGCAGAACTTGTTCTCTAGCTAAGAGAAAATTTTACATTACTAGTATCAGAAACATGGTGCCTACAGTTGCTAGACATTAAATGTCTACACTGATTTATATAATTTAGGAGAAATGGTAAGGGATAAGGAAGCAAAAATATAATCAGAGACCAAAATAAGAGACCTATGAGAATATTATTTCCCAGATGGGTTCTTAGAAGCTCAAGCAAGAGTATATATGTATTAAAAATGGTCTCAACAGGCTGCAAGTTGACATACTGAGACTAAGTATTTGTCTTTAAAAAATAACCATCCTCCTGTCACTGACTGATATAATTCCCAAGGATCGGAACACTATTATTTTTCTGGCAGATACACAGGGCAACTGCTTTAAAGGGTTAGCTTCCACAACTAAAGGTCATTCACCTATGGTTTTGCAGAGCAGCAACTCTAAAACCTTTCTCCTAAGAAATGAAAAATGTCTAAACATCCTTTGGATTCACAGAGTCAACACTACTACCTAGTAAATTACCATACAGTGAAATCCTTACTGGATCTAAATGCTACATGGATTATGTTACATTATTTGTAAAGTTCAGCACCTGGCTCCCCACAGAGAGTTAATAATCATTTTTACCTATGAAGACACAAAAAGAAGTCAGTTGGATGCCACTAGGCAAGGAGAGCCCTGTCTCATACAGCCCTGCTGCCATCAATGATGGGAAACCAGGACCTCAGCCCTTTAGCAGCTCCAAAGTGAATACTTCCAGACTTACCTGGCCAACACACAGAGGCCCTGAAATGCTTTCACATAAAATTCCTTTTATGTCACAATATTCCAATGCCATAAATATCTAGCCATTTTTGATAATCAGAAAATGCAGTGATTTACAAGATTTATCCCACAGAAAATCCACTTAGCATTTCATAATACTTAGTTCAGATCATAAAGGCCAGTTGAGTTGGAATGACAGAATACTGGCTTTTAGAATTAACCCCCAGGAGCAAGATGGCAGAACAGAAGCCTACACCATTCATCCCCACTGCTGGGACACCAAATTTTAACAGCTATCTGCACACAGAAAAGCACCATCACAGGAACCAAAAATAAGGTAACAGCTCAGCCACAGTGGGGTAGAGCAAAAACCAGGTTCTTAGGGTCCCTGAGTCCAGGCCTAGGCTTTTGGACAGCATTTCCAGACCCGCCCTGGGCCAGAAGGGAGTCCACTGCCTTGAAGGGTGGGTCCCAGGCCTGTCAGCATTCACCACTGCTGATGGAAGAGCCCTTGGACTTTAAGTGAACACAGACAGGGGCCTAGCAGAAAGCCCCCATGGACCAGTGGTAGCGGGTGGCCACAGAGAAAGGCTCCTCTGCCTGTGGAAAGGGGAGGGAAGAGCAGGAAGAACTTTGTATTGTGGCCTGAGTGCCAGCTTAGCCGCTGTAGAATAGAACATCAGGTAAATTGCTAAAGTTTTTTACTTCAATCCCTGGCTCCCAGACAGCATCGCTGGACATGCCTGGGGCCGGGGGGGATCTTGCCATCCTGAAGGGAAGGGCCTAGGGCAAGTCCCAGTCAGTGCCATGCTGGCTTCAGGTCTCACCCAGCACAGTCCCAGTGGTTGTGATTACAGGGGTGCTTGCATCACCACCCTCCCAGCTCCCCAGTGGCTCAGCAAAGAAAAAGAGAGACTCTATATGTTTGGGAAAAGTAAGGGAAAAAGAACAGGAGTCTGCCTGGTAATCTAGAAAATTCTTCCAGATCTTATCTAAGACCACCAAGGTGATAACTCTACGAGTCTGAAAAAAACACAGCATTATTGGACTTGGGACCCAAGTCTCTTTTAATACCTGAAAGTCTTTCCAAGAAGAACAGGCACAAACAAGTTTAGACCGTGAAGACTACAATAAACACCTAACTCTTCAATGCCCAAACACCAAAGAACATCTACCAGCATCAGCATCATCCAAGAAAACATGACCTTACCAAATAAACTAAATAAGCCACCAGGGACCAATTCTGGAGAAACAGAGATATATGACCTTTCACATAGAGAATTCAAAATGGCTGTTTTGAGGAAAAGTCAGAGAAATTCAAGATAACACAGAGAAGGAACTCAGAATTCTATCAGATATACTTTAAAAGAAGGTTGAAATAATTAAAAAGAACCAGCAGAAATTCTAGAGTTGAAAAATACAGTTGACGTGATGAAGAATCTTTTAATAGCAGAATTGATCAAGCAGAAGAAAGGATTAGTGAGCTTAAAGACAGGCTATTTGAAAACACATAGTCAGAGGAGAAAAACAGAAAAAAGAATAACAAGCAATGAAGCACACCTATAGGATCTAAAAAATAGCCTCAAAAGGGCAAATCTAAAAGTTATTGGCCTTAAAGAGGAAGTAGAGAGACAGAAGTAGAAAGTTTATTCAAAGAGATAATATCAGAGAAATTCCTAAACCTAGGAAAAGATATCAACATTCAAGTACAAGAAGGTTAAGGAACACAAAGCAGATTTAACCCAAATAAGACTATCTCAAAGCATTTAATAATCAAACTCCCAAAGGTCAAGGATGAAGAAAGGATCCTAAAAGCAGCAAGAGAAAAAAAAGAATAAAAAAAAAAAAAAGAAAAGAACATACAATGCAGCGCCAATACGTCTTGCAGCAGACTTTTCAGTGGGAACCTTACAAGCCAGGAGAGAGTAGCATGACATATTTAAAGTGTTGACAGAAAAAACTTTTACCTTAGAATTAACTTTGCCACTAGCTGGTTGCTATCAATATGTACCAGTCACTTACCTTCTCATCTATAAAAGGAGAGTGGTTTTACTCAGAGGTTTATAATTCACAAAAAGGGTAAGGAATAACAGATTATTCTGAAATATAATGAAAGCTAAGGACTTTGTTCAAAGGAAGAGGATGCACAAATGTACATGCATATCTACATAGAGTATCTAGCATAATGTTTGCAAAAATTTCATAAGTGTCCTGAAGCCTGGCTATGGGTTTTGCTCAGAATCCCTTAATCAGAGGGCTCCCCTAGTCCTTGCTATTATAGATCAGGGTATTACGTATATCCTTGACTATATCTTCATATGTTTTAGACACAGAGATTCAAATTTTTAAGCCCATTGTACAAAGAAAATTACCTGCCAATTCATAGCCCTCATGTTTCCTCCTTGGGAATCTGAGTATCAGGATACTGCTGGGGGTCTTGGTCATCAGCTGTGCTCCTTACACACAAGTTTCCAACCTCTCAATGCTTTGTATGATGAAAAACAGTTCTCTTCTCCCTCACACCCATCCTTTTTCCATGTGCTCCTTGGAGAATAGGACAAATTCCTCACTCCAGAGGACTAATACCCAAGCCCGGTGGTCTCCTAAAGCAATGCTGCTCATACTTAATCATCTGAGGACCTTGTTAAAATGCAGATTCTGGCTCAGAAGTTCCCTGGTGGGGCTGAGAGTCTGCATTTTTAACAAGCTCCCAGGGACCACTCCAGTGGACACCAACTCTTAGCCCTCACCCCTAGTTCCTCAGCCCCCTCCCCACACTCAGCCTAAGGGCAACTCACACTGTGTCTCTAGAAGTTCTCTAGTAGCCTTTGAAGAAAGGGTGTTACAGCTCTTTTAAAACACAAACCCACCCCCTCAGCAGCTTTAAAAGAAACAAGTTTGTGTAATGCATTGCTGTGTCACAATAGTGGAAAAACCCTGGATTTGAGAGTCTGACAAACCTAGGTTTGAACTCCATAATCTAACAATGTGACTTGTGGCAAATTGTGATTTCTGTGAGTTTCATCTGTAAAATAGTCTTGTTGAGAGACTTAAAAGAGGTAATGCTACTCCAAAGACAACCTTGACTTAGCATCAACCTAACATTTCCTAATGATCCCTCAAGAATATTCTAACATAGAGTCCACCAATTCCTCCCGACAAGGTCTAAACTCAGTTATAGCAACAACCGTCTCAAATTCCTCTTTGTGTTCCCCTTAAGATCCTATATGCAAAGCCGGAGATATTGTGCAAAACAAGAGCAATCTGAGAAGGCAAGGTTTCTTCTTCACAACTCTGAGACTTCTAGGAATAACACAGAGAACCTGAGCATCAGTTTTCTCACATGTAGCGTAACAGAGGTAGAGCAGATATCTACAGGGACTGACACAGCTTGCCTTCCACAACAAAATGCACAGGGGTCTCTAAGTCTCTGGATACCACTTAGTTTTCCAAAGTAGACAAATAAACACAATTCTAGTTAATATTTAAGGTTGCATCTGATATACTCCAAATGATGGCATTGTTCTCTCAATTCCTGCATTTCATATTTCTTTCTGTGCCAATTCTTCAAATTATCCTACTGTGAACTGTGTAGTTCTCATCATAGATTAATCAAAACAAAACACTATTAATATGTTCTTTGTTATCTGTTGTTAAGGACCTTCCCAAAGTATTTCTACTTATCATCAGAAGACCGTGTACAACATTGTGAGGTCAATTAGTGCTCAAAGAATCGCTTGAACCCAGGAGGTGGAGGTTGCAGTGAGCCAAGATTGCACCACTGCACTCCAACCTGGCAACAGAGCGAGACTCTGTCTAAAAAAAAAAAAAAATTAGTGCTCAAAGGTATATCTTTGTATCATGATATCATGTATCAATATATCTGTTGATATATTGGTAGTAAAGTTAAGGCAAATCACATTTTAAGGACACTAAGAAAGCCTATTAAAGGAAATATGAAATAAATTTGTTACAAAAAAGGAAAATAACCATATGAAGGTCAGCATATCACTTCCCCCTTCCTCTCTGCAAATAGTCTATAAAGTCAAGATTTTCATGTACCACTTTTGCCCAAACTAGTGTACAATTATATGCTGTATTAAATCAGTAAACTCATACCTGATTTTGTGTACTGATCAAATCAATACTTTAGTCAACCAACAACTTCAATGCAGTGATTTTTATCCCTCCCATGTCATCAAAATCACCTGAAGATAGATAAATATACAGATAAAGAATGAATGAATGAATGGATGGATGGATGGATGGATGGATGGAAACATCTGGGTCCCATGTTCCAGAGATGATTTACCTGGGCTTGGGTTGAGTCCAACCATCATTGTTTTTGTTTTGTTTTGTTTTGTTTTAACTTGGTAGCTGGGCACTTACCACAGCAACATCTTGTTCCGTACTGTTGCCTGCTTCTTGGGAATACCTTGCTTTTCCTACTCTCTCCCGTAGCTGCCTGTGGTTATCACAGCAAGGATTCTCTGAGCCTCATTCTCCTCATTAGCGAAATGAGGATAATATTAGTCCCTCCAATCATTAGCAATTTTTTTTTTTTTGAGATGAGTCTCGCTCTGTCGCCCAGGCTAGAGTGCAGTGGCGCCATCTCCGCTCACTGCAAGCTCCGCCTTCCTGGTTCACGCCATTCTCCTGCCTCAGCCTCCTCAGAATAGCTGGGATCTCCTGCCTCAGAGTAGCTGGGACTACAGGCGCACGCTGCCACGCCCGGCTAAGTTTTTGTATTTTTAGTAGAGACGGGGTTTCACCGTGTTAACCAGGATGGTCTCGATCTCCTGACCTCGTGATCTGCCCGCCTCGGCCTCCCAAAGTGCTGGGATTACAGGCGTGCGCCCGGCCTAATCATCAGCATTTTTTAAAAAGCACCCTAGCAGATTCAAATGTATAACCAGATATGAGAATCACTACTTAGTCAATGGTTTTTAAATCACTTTAAGAAAGCACAGACTTGCCGGGCGCGGTGGCTCACGCCTGTAATCCCAGCACTTTGGGAGGCCGAGGCGGGTGGATCATGAGGTCAGGAGATCGAGACCATCCTGGCTAACAAGGTGAAACCCCGTCTCTACTAAAAATACAAAAAATTAGCCGGGCGCGGTGGCGGGCGCCTGTAGTCCCAGCTACTCGGGAGGCTGAGGCAGGAGAATGGCGTGAACCCGGGAAGCGGAGCTTGCAGTGAGCCGAGATTGCGCCACTGCAGTCCGCAGTCCGACCTGGGCGACAGAGCGAGACTCCGTCTCAAAAAAAAAAAAAAAAAAAAAAAAGAAAGCACAGACTTAAAACACATTATTGAGATTATAGACTATTTTTCCCATCTTTACTCTTTTCTATGCTTTCCAAATTTTCTACAGTGAACCTGTGTTGCTATCATCAGAAAAAATAAAGTGAAAAAATATTTTTAAAGAAAAACAGCAGCGGCTGGATGTGGTGGCTCATGCCTGTAATCCCAACACTTTGGGAGGCCAAGGAGGGTGGATCACCTGGGGTCATGAGTTCGAGACCAGCCTGGTCAACATGGTGAAACCCCGTCTCAACTAAAAATACAAAAATTAACCAGGCATGGTGGTGTGCACCTGTAATCCCAGCTCCTTGAGAGGCTGAGGCAGGGGAATCACTTGAACCCGGGAGGCAGAGGTTGCAGTAAGCCAAGATGGGGCCATCGCACTCCAGCCTGGGCCTCAGGAGCGAAACTCTGTCTTAAAAAAAAAAGAAAGAAAGAAAAGAAAAGAAAAACAGCAGCTACAAATTCCCAAGCATAGATGATTCTTCTATATTTTCCTGCTTAATTTATATTCAAATACTGTATTTCTATCCATGTCCTTCTTTTTTAATGCTCCCCCTTCCCTGCCCTTCAAGATTCAGTATAAAATAGACTATCATCACAGAAAATAACCATTATCAAATTCATGAATTCAATAGTTCTGTTGAGAAAATATGTATTGGTCATATTGTAGGTGGGTTTTCAACCCACCAAAATCTAATTGGCTGCCCACTAGAATCACATGAAGAGTTCTAACAATTTCCCCATACCCTGGCCACACCCCAGACCAAAAAATCAGAGCCTCTGAGCTGGGACCCAGGAAATAGTTTGGTTTTATTTTTGTTTTTGTTTTATCCCCAGGTGATTCCAATGCACAGCCAAGGCTGGGAACCATTGATTTAAAGCATTAATTACTTACAAGTCTCCACATCTAGAGATGATAAGCTTCTACTTAGCTTAAAAACACAATACCGTGAAATTCTCACATTGGCACAATTTTAAAGAATGGTCATTTGTAGAAATGCATTGATGTTCAATTTCAGGTTGGCAGGGAGTAAAACTACGACACTAAACAATAAATGTGTTCCCTGTTCTTCTTTTAATTGAGCATAAGCCACCATCCTTTACATTTCAATAGGAGAAATTCTAAAAACACTTATACGTCAGTCACATATGCTGACAAACAGACAAAAACATTTTCACAGATTCTATATTTATCCTACCCAGAGAGGTGTTTACTTCTCAGAGTGATCTTGCTACCTATAAGTCAGGAATGGACTCTCATAGTGCCTGAGATTCTTAGAGGAAAGGCCTAGGTGCTGACCATTTTTCTTGTTTGTGAAGCTGAAATAAAAGTGCATCTTCTTAACTTTTAAAGAAGTCCTATGCTGTTTGATTATTCTCCTCATGTACCCCAACCCCAGGCCTCTTTTCTTCCTCTCTTACTGAGAAAGCTAGTGCTTTTTTTTTTTTTTTTTTAATGCAGGTCTATTCTGTGCTCTCTGCAGTAAGAATTACCCCACAGACAACACTTACTTCTGGACTGGAGATTTTCAGACACAAGCAGCAGAGAATTTTAATAGTATGCAAACAACTGCAATTAAACAGCTTTACTAATAGTGCTATTTTAAAGAGAGAAACCTTCAGTTTTAAAGTCAGATAAAATACATATGTATGTATAACCAACATGGAAAGTCTACAATGAACTCAAAAAGCCTTTTGAAATTACTTTAAGAAATTATTTTAAAGAAATGGTTTTGTCCTTGCCCATTTCAAGGCATTATGCATTTGTAATATACAGTCTTTTCTAAGGCACACTTGGATTCTCATTGGTCTTCTTTTCCTTCTTCATCTCAGCAAGGATGGTTTATGAGTATTTTTTTTCTGGGTTTCCTAAGGCAAAATTCTGAGTAAAGGCAAGAAGAGAGTTTACAGTCAGAGAACTGATGCATTTCACAGCACAAAGATTAAAAATCAAACTCAACAGAGAGTGCAAAAATAGTGAAACCGCTCTTATCTCCCCTATTAAATAAAATATAGAAATTCATTCAGCAATATTTTATTGAGCACCTACTATATGCAACGCATTGCACTGTGTGCTGCAGATAGAAGTCAGAACAGTCTCTGCTCTCCTGGACCTTGGGTTGGAGAGACAGAAATGAAAGTAGTAATCACACAATTAATTGTTTTATTACAGTAATGATAACACAATGAAGCAGCAAAATGAAGCAGCAATGCACAGTGACCGGAGATCATAAAACAGGACCTGACCTGGTCTGAGTAGTCAGAAAAGGCTTCTCCTTTGAGAGGACTTTTACTCTGGGATTGAAAGGATGTGTTCGAAGTTGGCTAAGTGAAGAAGCAGTGAGTTTTGTGGGCAAGGAATGCAAACGTCAGTGTTTCTGGGGTGCAAAGAGAAGGGAAAGGGTGAGATAAGGTTGGCAAGGCAGATGGGTACCAGGGCAGGAAGGAATTCTGCTCCACACATCTTGAGTCTGAGGACCTGGAGAGCATCTGTGGAGCCATCAGGTAGGCAGATGGACATCTGAGTATTCGGCATAGAGGGAAGGTCAAAGCCATGAACACACTTTTGGAGTTAGCATAGACATGGGAACTGAAGCCGTGGGAGTAGGTGAAGCTGCTCCACACTAGGCTAGAGGCTTTAAATTAAAAATCTGAATATTCCTTTGAAACCAACAATTTACTCTTGAAATAACCCCAAACATATTTGCTGAAAGGAATGAGCCCTAAGAAAATATAAAACATGTCACAGATCTCTATGGGGATGACTTCATCCACGTGGTAAGAAGGGACAAACTGCAGTTTTTCAACTTTCTTTTGATAGATAGGAGATTGGAGGGTTTCATGATTACAAACACAATCACTAATTATTACTGGATCCAAGGAAAAAAATCTAGATCTTTTGCATAACTAAATTAAACAATTATGTTGCCCTAGAAGAACCCTGAATCTACTCATGGAAAGATTTTTCATCCTCCCATCAATTTCTGTGCATACATTAGAAACAGAGTGGGAAAGACAATTGGGAAAATGAGAGAGCAGAGGAAAACTAATTGTAATTATGGAAATGCAGCTTCAAGAACAAAGGCTTAAATTTGTAACACAGGTCTAAGGGGAAATAATTCTCAGAAGTAACCACTTAAAACATGAAAGGTCTGCAAATCTGAAGGAAAAAATGACGGTTTATTATACACATTATTTCTTCTTTCTAATTAATTAGAAAATTACCAATTCCAATTGCCAATTAGAAAATTGGTATTCCCAAGCATAAAGGAATAAAACAATCAAGGGCCTTTCTGCCTGGCTGGACTCTCAATGGCCACAGGTTTATGAGAAAGAGTTGGAGAATCTCATGGAAAAAGCCATCCAAGGCTTTCACTTGGCAGCAATAGGCTTGTTTCAGAAAATTGAAAGCTAAAGCTTCAAAGAATGAACACTGTCACTTCTCATCCACCTGGGCTTCCCATACATCCAGATCTCCAATTTGCCATTTAAAGAGCACCTTTTCATCCCCTCCATCGTTGCAGAAGATAAATGACCTTGCATAGAAAGCATGACAGAGAGATCACAGTGGGTTCAGTTACTCAGAAAAATCCCTTCATTGAATTAGATTCCCGATGAGGAATAGAGGCTGATACACCTCAACATGGATTTTTATACATACAGATCATTGCTTGGGTCTGATCAATCCAGCTACATAATGCTGCAAAAAGCAAACAGAATAAAGAACACCAGTAGCTTTAGGGAAATTAAGTCGCCCTAATCTAAAATGTTAGTGAACAAGGACCTGCCTAGAGTGACTCTAGGAGTCCAAGGAGAGCTGTCAGTGGTTGGGGGGCCGGGATTCCATCCATCAAAATCACATTACCTGAGCCGCTGTTAGGCGTATAATATCGTCAATGCCCAGGGTGGCAGAGATGGCACTCTGAGGAGTGAAACTGGAGGAAACACCCCTCACCCCCAGAAAGAAGCAGGGGAAGAGCTACAAAAGAATGACTGAAGAGATTGCTTAAGTTGGTAACATAGGGGAGCAGCCCCTACAGTGTGAGAAGAGACTGTCATCAGCAGGTCTGAGAAGAGCAAGGGGCAACTTCACACCCCATTCCATCTTTCAAGTCCTTTCAGTCTGTAGAGCTCCACATGAAGAAATACGGAGAGAAGAGAAAGGGCAGGAGCCAGACAGTTGCCCCAGTGTCCTCAGGGGCACAGGAAGCTGTGCTCTAGCCAGAGGAAACTGACAGCAGAGAAGGCATGAGGCTGAAGCAAGATGGCAGGTCCTCTCAGGAGGGTCCTTGGTAACAGAGGGAGCCAGGATAAAACTGAGAATCTACAGAAGATGGAAGCAGAGGGAGTCTGGATCACCTCACCGCTGCTGACATACAACAGGGACATGTGAGACAAAAAGCCTTTGCTCTCTCTTCTTTGTACCAAAATCTGTGGAACAGGGCCTTGAATTCTCCTTCAAGGGGAAGGAGTATAGCAGAGACAAAGGAACTCCCACCCTCAACCACCAACAGCCAGGCCAGCGGGTAAGAGGGCTTAATGAATTTGAGATTAAAATTTTAAAATGGACTGGACACTTAATAGCCAAAATTAGCCAGAAAGTAATAGAACCTATCCAAGATGCTACAATGGGACAAAGTATTTTCTGAAGCATTCACTGAAGCATATATGCTACACTAAGTTGAGAATGCTCAATAAACCAGTTACAAATGGAATGCTCATCATAAAGACCAAAAAAATGAAAGAACTTTAGATTTTAAAATATAAATAAATAGCATTCACTGAGAGGCTTTCATTGAGAATTTTTTGTATCTCCAAGACATCAAAGAAGAGTATATGTTCCCAAAAGGTCATAGAACAAGTATATTTCATACCAGCTCACATTAAAGGTTTTTTCCTTTGTGTTCTAAACTAGACATAAATATCCTCTTTTGTAAGGCCTGAATGGATGGCTATGATTTCCCTCAGACAGGGGAAGAAGAAAAGGAGATAAATCAATGTGGTCAGTTAACTCACAGCAAATTCTCCAATTAGCCTGTGTTTAAAAGTAGGGTGAGTAGGGGAGGTAGACAATCTCGCATTTCTTAAAATTTTAGTGCTTAGAAACTTAGAGGTCATTTTCCATAAATGCCAGCATTTTGCTGATATGGAAAACTTAGTCCCAAAGAGAACAACTCACCCAGAGTAACTCAGCCAGTGGGAACCCCTACAAAGTGTCACACCTGGGTCAGGCCATGCTTCCCTCTGTCTAAATCTTCACCACCTGCAAGATACACCTGAACATCATAGGCCTGAAAGGATACCTGCCCTGATGCTTTCTGCTTTGGTGGCCATCAATGGGAGGTAGAGAGCCTTTTGGGTGGGGCCAATAAAAGAAATCTACCTGGCAACGCTGCTTCCAGAATTAGTTCTATTATAATTTATAAAACTTAAATGAATGAAATATATTTTCTCCCTTAAGGCCTATCTTCTTTTTTTTTTTTTTTAACTCTTCCTCTCAATTTGTCTTTGAAATTTTTCCCTGGTCCTCTCTAATAATTTAATGATAATATTTTTAATCTTTTATCTTTTTTTTTTTTGAGACAGTTTTGCTCTTGTTGCCCAGGCTGGAGTGCAGTGGCGCCATCTCGGCTCACTGCAACCTCCACCTCCCAGGTTCAAACGACTCTCTTGCCTCAGCCTCCCAAGTAGCTGGGATTACAGGCATCCACTCCCACACCCAGCTAATTTTTTGTATTTTTAATAGAGACAGGGTTTCGCCATGTTGGCCAGGCTGGTCTCAAACTCCTGACCTCAGGTGATCCACCTGCCTCGGCCTCCCAAAGTGCTGGGATTACAGGCGTGAACCACTGCGCCCAGCCTGATACTTTTAATCTTAATGATGTTCATGAAATCTTGATTGTCATTGCAATAATAGGAATTCTATGTGCACAGGTATTTTCTGGACCTAGAAAAGGAGACTTATAAAGTTATGGCTGGAAAAGCTAGGCTTTGATTCAGTAAAGAAATGCTACTCTAACATAAAATCTAGTGATGCCCCACAAACCTAAAGCAGGCAGGCTGCCAAAGTCTAATAAACTGGCTGAAATCAATTGGAACCCTAATTCACTTTTGCATAATTTCATTCTCCTTGCATATTTTCCAGTCAGGATCTGGAATTCTTCTCTTTTCTTCCAGTGCAGATGGAACTCCAGTGAGGGAGAGCTTTTCACTCTTCATTTTTGAATATAATCACATTTGTCCTGAAAGCTTGTGTGTCAGTCCTAGATATTGGTCTCTCCATGGTCAGGAGAAACCTGTGACCATTCACACACACACACACACACACACACACCACTACCTCTCTCCCCTAAAGGGAAATGCAGCATTTTGCCAGTGCAACACTAACTACAAAGTTTACAGTCCAAAAAGAAATCTTATCTTCTCTTCAATGCCATCTTGCCAGCCTTTCATTCTCATACCCCCGGCCTGAAGAACACTTCCATCTATCATACACCTATCTTGATGTTTGACTACACAGAGACCTCACACCTTGCTGCTATAAGGGAACTTTACAATCTGGCAAAATCCTCACCTGAAAGACAGGGAAACTGAGGGCCCCAGAAGTGACATGAGGCTACACAAGTTAGTTGTTAAACTTGGATTAGAACTAGTCTTCAGGATCCCGTTTCAGCCTACTTTCCATTACAAACTAGCAGTCAAGTTTCTACCCTCACATCACCAACTAGGTCTGTGGCCAGGAAGGGGAGGCTGGATAAAAAGTAATCCTTTAATTAATTAACTAAGTCAATTAGTTTTATTAAAATGTAGTTCTGAGGCAAAGTAAAAGTATTAACATATATATAAGGCAACTTCTTGAAAAGGCATACTGCATAAATATTTAATAAGAGAATTACCCTTAATTTTATCCCTAGATAGTAAAAGATACTCCTAATTCAGTCCAAAATGTTTCTAGTTTAGATTTGTAATGGTTATTCCGAAATATTCATTTAACAACATGATGGCAACAAAAACAAATTTTCCCATAAGAAGTTGAGATGATAACCTAATAACTTACAGGAAAGCAATTAATACTTTTTCCAATAGTACAATTATAACTAGCAGTATGTGAAGACAAACATTAAGTCACTTAGTAAGGAGCTCAAATGTTTGGAAAGGCTTATGTGCATAAGAAATTGCATGTGCATATTAATTGCAAATACACTCATTATTGGTTAAGAATCAAGACTGCATCCCAGGTCAGAAAAAAAAATACTGCAATTCACTGAAAGCAGGAGAAACAGCTGAAGGTATAGGCAATTTTCAAATCAGGATAAATCATGAAGGTATAAGCCATTAAGACAGGGTTCATACCGCACCAAACATTCTTTGCTCAAGATTTTTTTCTATTGCAAACATATCAGAAGAATAAAAGTCAAGTAGGGGAAGATCCCAGAGATTAGCTTCTCTGATAGGTGCAAATTCCTTTGGGTTTTTCCTAAAAATCCAGGCAAAAGACAGACAAGAGGGAAATACAAAAATTCATCATTCCTAACAAGGTTTCTCTCATCGCTGGACATAGTAGTCAATTCAACCAGTTCATTTCCGTTAAGCACTATTTCCCAACCTTTCCAGATATTTCATTCCTGCCTCTGAAATGTGAAGATGAAATAGTAGGTAGATAAAAGGCCGGACATAAGCAGACTCTTAACAGTAGGTTTAACAGTCTCTTTCTCTTTGGGTTCTGGGATTGTGGGTAATATTCTAAATTGTTTCCAATGAGAATATACCACCTCTATAATCAGAAAATGAGGCTATGAATATGGTTTATGAACTGTGAAACTACACAAATGTTACATTTTTATTTTTGCTGCTATTGACCATTTTAGAGTTCTCATTTTAACATAGCTCTTTTATCCTGGCAACACTGCTGAAGTTTGTCTGTAGAAAGAGACCCTGGCTGGCATAATTTATACATCCAAGTCTGCTTATTCCAAAAGTCTATTATTCTGCACGGGAAATGGTTCTTTTCCATTTATGGAAGAAGTTTTGTTTCTTTTTGTTTTGGTTGATTTTGTTATGTAAGGAGAGTTATCAACAAAAACAAGGAGAAGCCAAAGTGAATAAGCAAAAGTGTGGTCAGTAAATGTTCAAGAAGCCCAAGAGAAATCTGACATTTCCTACTCAACATGTCCTGTCCCTTTCTTTTCTCAGAAATGTTCTGAAATCCTCTACAAAGACATTACCACTAGAGCTCCCTTGGTTTAAAATATCCCAAGACTTCTCACAATTCTTCCTTAAGTCAAGTAAGTTCCTATGTTAACAGATTCATTTTCAGCAGAGGTAGAAGAAGAGCAAAAGGCATCTTTCTTTCCTGAATTACAATATATCCTGAGGCAAGGAAATCCAAAATGATATTTTACACTATCAGAAATATATAAAGCTATTGCTGTATTATAAATGAATAGAATCATTGTTCTAATCGGAGTTGATTCTTTTAATCTTGGGAGGATTTAATATCTCTAAATCCTTTCGAAAGAGTAATTCTTGAATGTAAGAAGTAACCAATTCATATTTTAAGTGTTATACTGCCCCCTTGTGTATCTTGTGTTTAGTGAAAAGGGAGCTCAGACAATACAGTAATTGTAATTCTCAGAAATACTTCAGTGGAATCTGAGTTTAGAACTAGAAACAGCCTCAAAAATCATTGAGACCAGCATGCTCATTTCACAGAAAAGAGAACTGAGTTCCTGAAAGATTACGTAACTTGTCCAAGACCGTACACTGCTAGTCAACAACAGAGCAAATACTGTTATATAGAACTTAAGCCTCAGAATGTTAATTTTTTTTTTAATTAAAACGGAGATGGCAGCCTGAAAGAAGAAAAAACAGTGAGGTGTTGGAATTAGGCAGATCAGGATTTGAATTTTAGGTCACCATTTTACAATCTCCACAAGCTTTAGTTACCCCATTCATAAAATGGGTTGAATAATAGCTATAGCAAAGTCCTTGAAAGGATTCCGTATGACAATGTTAATGGTCATCAAGCCCTTAGCATAAGTATCTGCAATATAGTAATAAACTAATTGGTAATACGACTATAAAAATACATAGAAAAAATTTTAAATGATTATAGCCTTTGAGATCTCTGAATAAAGGCATTCTAAAATAATGAAAATAATAATGAGTTTAAGGCACTTAAATCTAAATTCTTTAAAAACTGGCACAAAATAAAGCTTGAAAAAATAAACCTAGTTCTTCTAACTCCCGTGATTTTTCTATTATCATATTTACTATTTTTTAATACGAATAAATTTGCAACAGAACAATACATAAATCAAACACTGCATGAGAGATAAAGCAATGAACAGGACCCTTGGCTGAGGCTAGAGAAAAGCAACGCAGAACCTCAGTGCCACAGGGTCAAGTCGCCATTCCCACGCCTCCTCTGCTAAGGGCACTTCACCACTGGAATGTCAAGAGAACCAACCTGGAAAGGTGGAGGCAGAAATTTTCATGCTGACATTGCTAATACCTAATTAGTTACATCAACTTGGGCAGTTATTTCATCTCTGTTTCTCTTTCTTCATCTGTAAAATGAAATCACTCTCTACTTTACAAGGGCTTTTAGTGAGGTTGTATAATGAACGTTGAAAAAACACTATAAACACCAAAGTGCTTAATAAAGTAAGGTTAAATTTGTTATCTTAAACTTAGTTTAAAGCAATAATAAACATTAAGTCTGTCATCAAATTGGGGAAGACTTCAGAACAATCTTAGAAAGGTGAAAGCAGCTTAGATTATAGGATTCTGTTAAAGAGCACTCCACTCCCCCTGAAATCTCTCTGTTCCCTCTACAATTCCACAGGCCTCTGATAGAGATTACTCCAAAAATTCTGGCACCACATAAGTCTTTGGCTTTTAAATCAGTTTCACCCTGGGGTATCTTGACAGCAGGATTGACAGAGCTTATCCCTGACTGTATACCACAAAACAAACAGATACCAGCAGGGTAAAGGCAATTTGTCTTAGTTTGCCATGAAAATGACTAATATTGATTACTCTCTGATTCACAGCTGCAGTCCTCCACCCTGATAGTAACGGTTTAGTGCTGCAAACTCTTCTGTTCTGTTGTTATATGGGACATAATATATAGATAAGTCTGAAAGCCCTAAAGGACAGCAATAAAAGTGGGTGGACTTCTCTTCAATAAGTGTCTAAAGCAGGTGGCCACAAGCACCCTCTAACATCTCAATTTGGAAGGCCATGCTATGCTGGTAATAAGCATTGACTGGTGATCCACAAATATTAACTGAACAATTATATGGCCCTCACCCAAAATAATTACAAACATCAGAAAGGGATATTACTGGAGTTGACAGTGTGGTAGAAGAGGAAAGGCACTGGTACCAACTACCCTACGAAATAGAAAGAGATAACACTATTATAGTCGTTGAGGTGGGGCCCATTCCTTACAAGTGGAGATAGTAAGTGCAATGGGACTTCTTGGGTAATTATTCATAAACAAGTTAACTCAAGCTCTTGGTTCCATCCAACAATTATACCATATTTGCATCTAGAGTGCTAGAATAAAAGTCCTGTCAGAAACAAAATAAAAGATCCAACTACATAAATACAAGAGACAGCTTACCATGAAACACACTGTTGTCCACCAGAAAATGCCTGCGGTACTGCACACAGTTCCTTTTTTCCAAGTTCCAGTAACTCATTGTCAGAAGATTTCTGGCACAGCATCAAAACCAAATTGCCCTGTCAAGGGAAACAGAATGAGACAAAAATGAAGAAAACGGCAGCCACACGCTCACACTGGTAGCATAATGCCATCGGTTGCCCAGCATTACGGGGCAACATATACGGCATACAACTTCTCCACACATGGAGCTGGAATCCCCCAGGCCCTAAGAAATTTCTCACAAGTCTTCCCAGGGTCTAGAATGACATTTAGCATATCAAAACAGTAACTTTTTCAAACCACCTTTCAGGGCTCAATGTTACCCATCTCCAGGGGAAATAAACCTACCATCAGAGAGCAGGTTTCAGGACCAGTATATGTGCTCCCAGCCTCACTCCTAGTAGTCCAAGATCCAAACTAGTCAACACTGGTAACATTTCAGGAAATTTCAGTTGCAGGTGGGGAGGCAACTAACAGGAACGAAGCTATCATTCCCAATTCCTGAATTTTGTGTCAGTACAGCATCCATGTGGCCATGAATGAGCCAAGCACATTAATAAAATGTGCCTCCCTCTTTTTGGTTCATTGCTGGTGTCCATTTAGGACTGCTAGGGCCTGGATCTGCCCAGGCTGAACTCATTGATGTAACTAGAGCTGGGCACAGGCCTCAGCAAGGTAAACTAGCAGTGCCTGCTCCTACATAAGACTTGCTCCATCACAGACACAGAGAAACACAATGCTAGCTAGAGCAACAACTTGAAAAGCAGAGATCTGAGTCGATGAATTAAATTCCTCCAAAAGCTGACGTGCATAACCCTGAACAAGGCCTCCTTTGTTCACAGGATTTGGCTAAAGCAACTTTTCAGAATTCCAACCTCCTTTCTGTTCACAGAATAAAGCCAGGCAAAACCAAGCAAGGCTGGCATGAAGCAAAACCCACAGGTGGAAAACAATTTGTCATCTCTCCTACTAAAACCACCTAGAATTTTGTAAACGTATCCCAGGATAAAATCAGTCACTTAGTGAAAAAAATATATATTATCAGAGTGTTGTCTATTCATTAATGGAACAATTGGTGAAGGCTCCTGAAGCTTTTGTCAGAGCTTCTCCTTGGCTCCCTATGGCCCAACCTTAACCCACAACACCAGGGATTTTACCTAATTCCTGCCTATCCTGCCTTTTCTCTGGCTCCGTGCTGGACTGGCCACTTCCTCTTGCCTCATACCCACCTGGCTAATCTGACTGCTTATCCTACTCCCTAAGGCTGAGGGAGTCTTACTACTGTATGGAACTGACTACAAAATACAATAGAATATAGCTAATTATGAAAACAACCCAACCTCTGCCCTCTCCCCAGCCAATACTATATACTACAAAGTTCTCTTCTTTAGAAAGTATTTTTAGTTATACAAATAATGCAGTTATATATGTTCATTATTTTTAATAATGTGCATTTGTTTATAGTTAGCAAAATATATTCACATACATGATGCTCATTTGTCCCTTATTAATCTTCTGAGGTGAGTACTCTTCTCTCCTTCTACAACATTAAAGAAGATGACAAGGTGTTAGAGATTAACTGATTCACCCAATGCTGCTAGGAAAAAATAGTAATGAGACTTGAAGTCATATCTTCATATTCCAAAGTCAAGCCATAATAGCAACTAGGACTTTATGAAGTGAGGTCGTTTAAAAAATACAATCTGGGCTGCGCGCAGTGGCTCACGCCTGTAATCCCAGCACTTTGGGAGGCCAAGGCGGATGGATCACGAGGTCCAGAGATCGAGCCCAGCCTGGCCAACATAGTGAAATCCCATCTCTACTAAAAATACAAAAATTAGCTGGGTATGGTGGCACGCACCTGTAGTCCCAGCTATTCGGGAGGCTAAGGCAGGAGAATCACTTGAACCCAGGAGGCAGAGGTTGCAGTGAGGTGAGACAGCGCCACTGCACTCCAGCCTGGTGACAGAACAAGACTCTATCTCAAAAAAAAAAAAAAAAAAAAAAAAAAATCTGCTGGCCAGGTGCAGTGGCTCACGCCTGTAATCCCAGCACTTTGGGAGGCCAAGGTGGGTGGATCATGAGGTCAGGAGTTTGAAATCAGCCTGGCCAATTGGTGAAACCGTGTCTCTACTAAAAATACAAAAAATTAGGCCAGGTGCGGTGGCTCACACCTGTAATCCCAGCACTTTGGGAGGCCGAGGTGGGCAGATCACGAGGTCAGGAGTTCCAGACCAGCCTGACCAACATGGTGAAATCCCATCTCTACTAAAAATACAAAAATTAGCCGGGCATGGTGGCACACACCTATAATCCCATCTACTCAGGAGGCTGAGGCAGGAGAATCACTTGAACCCAGGAGGCGGAGGTTGCAGTGAGCTGAGATCCTGCCACTGCACTCCGGCCTGGGCGACAAAGACTCCGTCTCAAAAAAAAAAAAAAAATCTGCAAATTATTATACATTCCTCCCCTCAAAAGGTAGAATCTAAATTCACCTTCCCTTGAGTATGGGCTGGACTCAGTGACTCGTTTCTAACAATAAAATCAGCTGGAAATGATGCTATGAGTCTTCCAAGATGAGGTCACAAGAAGGATACCACTTCTGCCTGGTTCCCTATCTCTCAAGATGCTTGCATTGGAACCCAGCTACCACACTGTAAGGAAGCCCAGATTTAAGTGTTCTAGCTCACAGGCCCAGCTAGCCCCTCACCCAACAGCCAGCATCAGCCACAGACATGTGCTATATTGAATGTTTGTGTCTGCCCCAAATTCCTATGGTGAAATCTAATGCCCCCCAATGTGATAGTATTAGGAGGTGGGACCTTTAGTCTCCACCCTTATGATTAGGATTAGGTCCCTTATAGAAGAGACCCTAGAGAGCTAGCCCTACCCTTCCACCATATGAGAACACAGCAAGAAGTCAGCAGTCTGCAATCCAGGAAAGGGCCCTCACAAGACATCAAATCTGCCAATGCCTTGATCTTAGACTTCCCAGCCTCCAGAATTGTGAGAAATAAATTTCTGTTATTTATAAGCTACCCAGTTTATGGCATTGTTATAGCAGCCCAAAATGAACTAAGACAACATGAGAATAAATGAATCTACAGATGATTCTAACCCCAAGTATTTCAGATGAGGCCACAGATACTGATGAGAAGAAATAAGCCATCCCTCTGTGCCTCACATGTATTTTTGACCTATAGAAACAGCGAAAGACAAGGCCGGGCACAGTGGCTCACGCCTGTAATCCCAACACTTTGGGGGGCCAAAGTGGGTGGGTCACCTGAGGTCAAGAGTTCAAAACCAGCCTGGCCAACAAGGCAAAACTCCGTCTCTACTAAAAATAGAAAAATTAGCCAGGCGTGGGGGTGGGCGCCTGTAATCCCAGCTACTCGGGAGGCTGAGGCAGGAGAATCACATGGCCAAGACCATGCCACTGCACTCCAGCCTGGGCAACAAGAACAAAACTCCATCTCAAAAAAAAAAACGGTGAAAGATAATAGATAATTATTATTTTAAGACAAAAGATGTGGGGTAATTTGTTACATAGCAATAGATAATGTAACATATAATACATGTAACATCCTCTCAGAGGATGATCATCCAATCAGAGTTGAGACCTTCAACACTTTCGGGACAGAAGCACAAACCTACAGACATATATGTAATATTCACATACTTGGACATTAGCTCACATCAATGGCCCAGGCTTTCCAGCTTCCAGATCTTTTTGCTTTTCTTTAAGGGCTGGGTAACATGCCACTGCCTTCATGAAATGCCCCCAGGAATCTCTCCCTCCAGTTTACCTAAAATTCTTTCATGCACTGAACTCCCATAATCCTGTTTCCCAGTTACTGAGAACCTACTATGCATTAGGAACATTGATAAGACTTTACATCAGTGAGCCTCAACCTTGACTACACATTAGAATCATCTGGGAAGCTTAAGACTCCTGACTCCCAAGTTACACCCAGGCCAATTACATCAGAATCTCTAGGGGTGGGATTCAGGCATCAGCAGGAGACTAATGAAAAGATGCTCTCCCTTCGGCCTTCAGATTTAGAGATAATGGAGGTGGAGATAATAAATAGAGTTAGTAGGCCTGGGGCAAGGGAAGAGAGCTGTGCGATAAGCCTCATTTTAGCTTCCACCAGATTCAGAAGAGCCAGGCCCTAGGGCTCACTAAAGGGATTCAAGTGAAAGGGATGTTAGACTTCAACTAAGACAAACCTCTCATGGTGTAGCCAGAAGGAAACTGAGGCCCAGAAAGGATGTGTGGCTTGCAAGATAACACCTCTAGCTGGAAGATGATAAACTGATGGGAAACCCAGCCTCAGCAGTTCCAAAGCAGGTTGAGTCTTTCATGGCCCCGTTTGTGTGAACACAGTAGGTAAAAACAACTACTGAAGTATACTACATTCATTTATTTTTTAGACAATTTATATTACATTAGAGATGTATTTCCCCTGCATCTTGTATCCAGTTTGAAGTTGTTTGGTCAATATTCAGGCAAGGATGGTTTTAAATTGATCACCTTTTTTTTCTTTTCAACTTGCTTTTAAGACTTACAAAATATTCCACCTCCTAAGAGGTCTAGGTAATATAATATGTTACACATTCAGAACTCGATAAGCATTTACATCTTATAAATAGAACCTGCAGATTTACGCTCTTTATTAAACATACAGATTAATTATGGTACCATACAAAATAGTCTCATTGCCCTAAAGTCTGCTATGCTCTGCATTCTCCCTCCCTCCCCCTTAGCCCCTGACGAGCACTGATAATTTTTACTGTCTCTATAGTTTTGCCTTTTCCGGGATGTCTTATGGTTGGAATCACACAGTACATAGCCTTTTCCAATTGGCTTCTCTCACTTGGTGATATGCATTTAATGTTCTACGTCTTTTCATGGCTTGAGAGCTCATTTCATCCTAGCACTAAATAATATTCCATTGTCTGGATGTGCCACAGTTTATTTATCCACTGAGCTACTGATGAACATCTTAGTTGCTTCCAAATTTTGAAATTTATAAATACAGATCCTGCAAACATCCATGTGCAAGTTTTTGTGTGGATATAAGTTTTTAACTCATTTGGGTAATACCAAGGAGGGTGACTGCTGGACTGTGTGGTAAGAGTATGTTTAGTTTGTAAGAAACAGCCAAGCTATCTTCTAAAGTATAAGATATTTTGTATCATTTTGCATTGCTGCCAGCAATAAATGATAGTTCCTGTTGCTCTACATCTTTGCCAGCATTTGGTGTTACAAGTGTTCTGGATTTTGGCCTTTCTAATAGCTGTGTGGTGGTACTCATTGCTGTTTTAATTTCTACTTTGCTAATGATCTATATGAAGCACCTTTTCATATGCTTGTTTGCCAGTAGTATATCTTCTTCAGTGAGGTGTCATTCATTCATCCATTCATTCATTCATTTATTTATTTTGAGACAGGGTCTCACTCTGTCACTCAGGCCGAAGTACAGTGGCATAATCAAGGCTCAACTGCAGCCTCGACCTCCAGGGCTCAAGCAATCCTTCCATCTCAACCTCCTGAGTAGCTGGGACCACCAGCGTGAACCACCATGTCTGGCTAATTTTTTGACTTTTTGCAGAGACAGGGTCCCATTACGTTGCCCAGGCTGGTCTCAAACTTCTGGGTTCAAGGGATCTTCCTGCCTCAGCTTCCCAAAGTACTGGGATTACAGATGCCAGCCATCATTCCTGGCCTTTTTAAAAATTTTAATCAGGTTGTTTACTTATTGTCAAGCTTTAAGAAGTGTTTGGTTGGTTGGTTGGTTGGTTTCATTTTTGTTTTGAGACGCAGTCTCACTCCGTCACCCAGGCTGGGGTGCACTAGTGCCATCTTGGCTCACTGCAGCCTCCGTCTCCCAGGTTCAAGCAATTCTTCTGCCTCGGCCTCCCGACTAGCAGGGACTACAGGCACACGCCACCACACCTGGCGAATTTTTGTATTTTTTTAGTAGAGACGGGATTTCACTATGTTGACCAGGCTGGTCTCAAACTCTTGGCCTCAAGTGATCTGCCCACCTCAGCCTCCCAAAGTTCTGGGATTATAGACATGAAGCACTGCACCCGGCCTAAGTTTTAAGAGTTTTAAAAAAATGTATTTTGGACAAGAGTCCTTTATCAGATACATCTCTTGCAAATATCTTCTCCCAGACTGTGACTTGTCACTAACAGTGTCTTTTGTGGAGCAAAAATTTTTAATTTTAATAAAATCCAGCTTATCAATGAAAAAAAATTAGATTCTGAATCCTTACAATGATTCAAAACATAATTGACAGTGAATAAGGAACACCATATAAGGAAATAACTGATTGTTATTAAAACTAGTTCTATGGCTGGGTGCGGTGGCCCATGCCTGTAATCCCAGCACTTTGGGAGGCCGAGGTGGGCAGATCACTTGAGGTCAGGAGTTTGAGACCAGCCTGGTCAACATGGTGAAACCCCATCTCTACTAAAAATATAAAAATTAGCCAGTCGTGTTAGCATGCACCTGTAATCGCAGCTACTCAGGAGGCTGAGGAAGGAGAATGGCTTGAACCCGGGAGGCAGAGGTTGCAGTGAGCTGAGATCGTGCCACTATACTCCAGCCTGGGCAACAGAGCAAAAAACTCTGTCTCAAAAAAAAAAAAAAACTAGTTTTAAAATATAGCTGCATGTTTACAAACTTGAAAAGCATAGAAAAAACTAAAAAAAAAAAATGTTCAATGTGATATTACTTATCCCCTAAAGACAATGACCATGGGCACTGTGGTCTTTTTTTTTTTTTTTTTAACACAAATTAGATATTATAAGTCTACTTCTTTTGCTTAATAACTACTAATATGTTGCAACCCTCTAGGTATATCAACAAATATACTTCTACAGAACATAAATGTGATTTGAAAAAGAAATTTTAATGGACTCTACTCAAAGACACCAAACACAAAAAATCCTAATGCAAAAATAATAAATAAACAGAGCCATGTAAGTGTGTAGAGGACTCATGCAGCAAATGGACTAAAAGTATAGCTTAAAAGTTAAAAATGCTCCTAAGCTCATTTTATAAGTGATAAGTAACTTTTGTAATCTTGTAAAATCATGTAAAAATCATGTAAAATTTCTTTATTCCTGACATTTTTAGTTGTAGTTAACACGACCAAAATTGTCAATACCAAACAAGTCATATGTGGCAGTAGGGACACCACCAATGAAGAATATTAGAAATTCAAGGATGGCACTTTTAACTAAGAAAAGTGGGAAGTACTTTGAGTAATAATCATTTGTCAATACTTTTAAAACTCGACAATGAAAAAAAAAATCCTTCACACCCACACCCACTTACTAGAATTAAAGCTCCCTTTAAGAAAACTCCACCACAGTGGACATCTGCTGATTTTTCGCTCCTCTAGAAATAGCACCCCAGTTTTCCTCTGGGAAAATCCTTCTCCCACTCTCTGTTCAAAAGATTCAGGTGCTGTCAGCTTCATCCTCTGATTCAGGTAGGCATGTGGCTTAGGTTGCAAATCAGAGTATTGCATCCACTAGGCCACAGTATAGGAGATCCACACGGCCTGTTTCAGATCACTCAGAGTAAGGCACAGATTTCTGTTTGAACTCTTGGGGGAAAAAAAACTTCCTTTTCAGTTTTACTTGAAGTTGCAAGGTCTAAGCTTCAAGACCTAAAGTTCCTGGCCACCATCCTGTCAATATAGTGGAAAAATTTGTGGAGATTGGATCCAACCCAGAGAAATGGAAACAAACCAAGTCGTGGTAATATCATTTGCCACACCTGAAGCTAGATCTGTCCTTGCACCTTTTAATTAAATAAGCCAGTACATTCTCTTTTTTGTTTTATTTAGTTTTGTGTAAGCCACATTGAGTTGGGTTTTCTGTCACTTGCACCTAGAGTCCCAACTGATGAAATACGTCAGCATAGCAAAATGTAAAGAGGACCCATCTGGCCATCATGAGCTCTCTATTCTGGTTTCAGTTCTAACAACCAACTCACAGGGGACCTTGGGCAAGTTTTTAACAAGTCCTCTCTGAGTTCAAAAATATGACTCAATATTTTCTTTCTTGGGCTTTCCCTAGGGATGTGATGCATTCAAGCCCTTTGTCCTGGCTGAAAAGGATTCCCCCAGACTATCTGAAGGTGTATTTAAGCAAAGCAAAACACAAAACCTTTTCTTCAGCTTTAGAATTCCTTTAGCTATTTTCAAATGTGACGCAAATCTATATTGCTGCTTTAACCTGAGTTTTATGAAACACTACAGATTTGTTCAAGCCACTTGAATGGCTTAAAAGACAAATTATCCCAGTTCATATATGGAAATCAGAATTATAATACTGTGCTAAAAAGAAAAAAAAAGGTAAATCTTTAAAAGATAACTTTAATTAGCCAGGAGAGGTAGCAGATGCCTGTAATCCCAGCTCCTCGGGAGGCTGAGGCAGGAGAATTTCTTGAACCGAAGAGACGGAGGTAGCAGTAAGCTGAGGTGGCACTATTGCACTCCAGCCTGGGTGGGACAGCGATACTCTGTCACTAAATAAATAAATAAATAAATAAATAACTTTATGGGAAGAAGGGGCCCTTTTTTTTTTCTAAGTAGAGGAATTTGTCTATTACACCCTGACTGCCGTCTCCACCTCTTTCTCTCTACTTTATCACCACCAGAGCCCAATCTCCTTCAGTATCCTTTTCCATAAAAACCAATACTCCCTTTACATTCCTTATTAATAATATATTATTTGTAAATCACTTCATGATTTACACAATTTTCCATTTATATCTTGTCTTTAAAAAAAAAAAAGCCCTTACAATAGCCCTGTGAGTTCCACATTATTAACAAATAAGACTAAATGGAAACAGCAGGTTGCAAACCCACATCTCCTGACTCCAAATCCACTGTCCCCAGTCCAGAGCAACACTCCACATCCAGCACCAGTTCCTCCCTGACATTCCGCTTCCCTATAAAAAGAACCTAGAGTTGAATTACTCAGGACAGACAAGACTCTAATTCTTCCCACATCCACCATTCACCCCAACTCTACTATGAACCAAGGAGAAGAGACAGGAGGAGACAACTAAATGAAACATTACTTATTCAAAAAATGCATACCTTGTCCCTCCAGCAGGAGCCTCTGGAGTGTATAGATTAGAGATGATCAGAGCAAAGTGTCACTCCTTTGGGTATAAGATGGTGGATGGCTACTTTGAAATGAAATTTGAGTGAGCTACTTGGACCAAGTTCAGAAACACCAAGACCAAGTTTACTTGCAAGATATCATGGTAAAAACTGTCTGAGAGGTGTGTGTGTTCTCCAAATTGCTAACAGCATTTGGAGAATGTTGGAATGGGAAGAAAATCTGGCCAGAAATTAAAATGTAATGCACACGCCTGCCTCCTTGGTGGAAAAGGAATTACTAGTTCATGGGACATAGTAAGGTATCAAGGGACAATGGACAAACACCTGACTGGAAGTCAAAAACCCAGAGCTGCAGCCCAATCCTGCCTCTTACTAACACTGTGTTTCAGGGTCAATCTCTTCACAACCCTGTGCTTCAGCTGCCTCATCTATGTCACAAAAAGGGATGGCAGTGAATGAGATGTTCTTCAAAGTATTTCCAATTTTAATACTCAATATTCTATTAATAAGGATTATGGAAAACTCCTCCCTAATATCCCAATCCATTCATCTTTTATTATAAATTAAAATAACCCTGAAAAACCACAAAATGAACTGTCAGGTATCAGTTGTGTAGCATTTAACTTACATGGAGAAGTGCTCATTTCCTTCTTCTTAAGCCTTGCTGAGAGATAAAAGGCAAAATTAATAAGCTCTGACAGTAATATTCATAAAACAACAAGCACTTAGGAACAGGAAGGCATAGAAAAACAGGTCTCAAAACTATATCCTGTACTTCGGCCTCTGACATAACGTATGTTTGGGAATTTTGCACCCAGGTATCCCTAAAACTTGAGAATTGAAACTAAATCCAGTTAAAAACTAAGATTTCAAACAAAGTTGCTCCTTTCTCATTTCTCCATTAATTTTAAGACAAAGTAAGAGAATTACACAGGGCAGGGATGGGGTGGGAGGGGCCAGGGATCCTCTTCTCTGGCCCAGCCCCAAACTGACAGCTTCTAAAGCAGTTCAGAAGCCTGGGTCAGGTCCAGAGGGCTCCCATGTCACCCGCCACCCAGCAGATGGCCTTCCCCACCATCAGCCCCTCCCCTACTTCCCGCAGGTTTCTAAGCACCACCAAACTGGTTGTTAAAGGCCTCTGCAAACAGCCTAATTCCACAGCCTAGCCCCCTCCCAGCTATGTACACAAAGGGAAAGAAATAAAAGGGTACTTTGTTCATTTTTTAAGGCTCACAGGAGACACCACTAAATCCCAAGTTCCTGGTGTGTTTTCTTTTCTCTAATGCAATCAGGAGCTGAAAATGCTCTGAGCTAGTTAAGCAATGAGGCGCAATCGACCCTCCAAAGACACCCGGGATGCTGCATTTGAAAGGGCTGGTTTAGAGTATATAATATGTATCCAGAGCTTGAAGGAGTCCTCTTCTGTTTTTTATGCATTACTGGACTTGAATTGCTCATGTTTTATGATTTTTACATGTATGTTCCCAAGCAAGGCTGGCCTATAACTTCCATTTCTCATATTGCTCTCAAAAGGCTTTTATATCGAAGTTATCATAGCTTTACAAAATGAGTTTCTATTTCCTGGAAGAATTAGGTTGCTAGTAAAACCAGTTGAGCCTGAACTTTCCTTTAAGAAGAAATATTTGACTACTGGTTTATTTTATTTATAAATTACAGCATTATTCAGGCTTTCTATTTTTTCTAAGTCAGTTTTGGTAAGTTATATTTGTCTAGATATTTATTCATTTTCTCTAAGCTTTCAAATGTTTTAGCATGAAGTTGTTCATAATATTATTCATATAATTTTAATATCTACAACATCTATTCTCTGAATCCTGATATGGCTTATTTGTGCCTCTCTTATTTTTAAATCAATCTCACCAGGTATTTGTCAATATTGCTAGCTTTTACAGTAATCTCCATTGAATAACATGGAATTATTACTATCATTTCCTTCCATCTGCTTTCTTTTTTTTTGAGACAGAGTCTCACTCTGTCATCCAAGCTGGTGGGCAGTGTCACAATCACAGCTCACGGCAACCTCTGCCTCCCAGGGTCAAGCAATGATTGTCCCACCTCAGCCTCCCGAGTAGCTGGGACCACAGGCATGCGCCAACACACCCAACTAATTTTTGTATTTTTTGTAGAGACAGGATTTCGTCAGGTTGCCCAGCCTGGTCTGGAACTCCTGAGCTCAAGTGATCTGCCTGCCTCAGCCTCCCAAAGTGCTATGTTTATAGGAATGAGCCACCACATCTGGCCTCTTTTTTTTTTTTTTTTTTTTTTAAGAGACAGAGTAACACTCTGTTGTCCAGGCTGGAGTGCAGTGGCATGATCATGGCTCACTGCAGCCTCAACCTCCTAGGATTAAGGGATCCTCATGCCTCAGCCTTCCAAGTAACTAGAACTACAGGTGTACACCACCATGCCCAGCTAATTTTTTGTGGAAACAGGGTCTCACTGTGTTGCCCAAGCTAGTCTAGAACTCCTGGCCTAAGCAATCCTCCCACCTCAGCTTCCCAAACTGCCAGGATTATAGGCCTGAGCCACTGCACTTAGCCTTCCATTTGTTTTCTTTGGGCCTATTTTGCATCTTTTTCTAACCTTCTAATTTCAACGTTTAACTGTTTTCAGGTTTTCATCTTTTTAAATATAAGTAATTAAGGTTAAGCATGTGTTAGCTACTTCCCCAACCCCCAAGTTTTGACTCATAGTATTTTTGTTATCATTCAGTTAAAAATATTTTCT
Source organism: Homo sapiens (assembly GCF_000001405.40). Classification (NCBI taxonomy): domain Eukaryota; kingdom Metazoa; phylum Chordata; class Mammalia; order Primates; family Hominidae; genus Homo; species Homo sapiens. The sequence goes on from NC_000003.12 coordinate 155,716,091, forward strand.
GAATACTATTACAGCTTCTTTTTAAACCCAAGATTATTTTGAAACACATTTCTACAACTATTCATAGTAATCTTTTGGTTATAGTTTCTAGTTTAATTCCACTGTGGTCAGAGATTTAGTCTGTATGACACTAATCCTTTGATAATTACAACTTGCTTGATGACATAGTTTGAGGTCACTTTCCATAAATGTTCTAGTGTGTTTGAAAAGAATGTGTATTCTGAAGTTAGGAGGTGTGATCTTCATGTCTATCAGCTCAAACTTATTAGTTACTTCATTCAAATCTTGTGTGTTAGGCCATTCTTGCATTGGCATAAATACCTGAGACTGGCTAATTTATAAGAAAAGAGGTTTGATTAGCTCATGGTTCTGCAGGCTGTACAGGAAGTATGGCACCAGATCTGCTTCTGGGTAGGCCCCAGGAAGCTTTTACTAATGGTGGAAGATAAAGTGGGAGCAGGCATCTGACATGGCAGGAGCAGGAGCAAGAGAATACGATGGGGGGTGCCACACTTTGCAACAACCAGATCTCACAAGAACTCACTTACTATCGTGAGGACAGCACCAAGGCATGACAGCACCATGTCATCCTTCCCCATGACCCAAACACCTCCCACCAGGCCCCAACTCCAACACTGCAAATTACAAGTGAACATGAGATTTGGCCGGGACATGTATTCAAACTATATCATTCAGCCCTTGGCCCCCCAAATCTCATGTCCTCCTTATATTGCAAAATACAATAATGTCTTCCCAACAGTCTCCCAAAGTCTTAACTCATTCCAGCATGAACCTAGTCAAAAGTCCGAAGTCCAAGGTCTCATCTGGAAATGAGTTCCTTCCACCTATGAGCCTGTAAAACCAAAGCAAGTTCTCTACTTCCAAGTTACAGGGGTGGTACCAGCATTAAGAAAACATTCTTGTTCCAAAAGGCAGAAATTGACCAAAAGAAAGGGGCCACAGGCCCCATGCAAGCTCAAAACCCAGCAGGGCAGTCATCAAATCTTAAAGCTCCAAAGTAATTTCCTTTGACTCCATGACCCACATTCAGGGAACATTGGTGCAAGAAGTGGGCTCCCAAGACCTTGGGCAGCACTGCCTCTATGGCTTTGCAGTGTTCAGCCTCTGCAGCTGCTGTTACAGGTTGCTGGGAGCCTGTGGCTTTTCCTGGAGCAGTATACAAGCTGCCTGTGGCTTTACCATTCTGGGGTCTGGAAGACAGTTGGCCCCCTTCCCACAGTTCCACTAGGCAGTGCCCTGGTGGGGACAGTGTGTGGAAGCTCCATCCCCACATTTCCCTTCCATACTGCCCTAGTAGAGGTTCTCTGTGAGGGCTCTGTCCCTGCAGCAGGCTTCTGCCTGGGCATCCAGACTTTCTTGTAAATCCTGTGATATCTAGGGGGAGGCTACCAAGCCTCATTCACTCTTGCACTCTGCACACCTACAGGCTTAATTCCACATGGAAGCCACCAAAGCTTATGGCTTGAAATCTCTGAAGCAGCAGTCCAAGCTGTATCTGAGGCTCTTTGAGCAGAGGCTAATGCCGGAGCAGCCGGGATGCAGGGGGCAGTGTCCCAAGACTGCACAGAACAGCAGGGCCCTGGACCTGGCCCACAAAACTCTTCAGTCCTACTAGGTCTCAGGGCCTGTGATGAGAGGGGCTGCGGTCTTAGATATCTGATATGCTTCAAGGCTCTTCTACCCTTGTCTTGGCAATTAGCACTTGGCTCCCTTTCAGTTATGAAAATATCTCCGGCAAGGTGTTGCTCCCCAACCTGCTTGAATTCCTCTCCCAAAAAAAGTGTTTTCTTTCTCTACCACAAGGCCAGGCTGTGAATTTTCCACACTCTTAAGCTCTGCTTGCTATTTAAATGTAAATTCCAACTTTAAGTCATTTATTTGCTCCCACTTCTGAGCATAGGCTGTTAGAAGCAGCCAGGTCACAACTTGAACAATACTGCCCAGAAATTCATTCCACCAAATACCCTAGATCATCACTCTGAAGTTAAAGTGTCTATAGATCCCTAGGGCATGAACAGAATGCAGCCAAATTTTTTTCCTAAGGCATAACATGCATAACCTTTACTCCAGCTCCCAGTAAGTTCCTCATTTCCATCTGAGACCTCTTTAGCTTGAACTTCACTGTCCATATCACTATTACCATTTTGGTCACAACAATTTAACCAGTCTTTAAGAAGTTCCAAATTTTCCATCATCTTCCTTCCTTCTTCTGAGCCCTCTAAACTCTTTAAACCTCTGCCTGTTACCCAGTTCCTAAGCTGCTTCCACATTTTCAGGTGAAATACCCCATATTGCTATAGCAATACTGCACTCTCAGAACCAATTTTCTGTGTTAGGCCATTCTTGCATTGCTATAAAGAAATACCTCAGATTGGGTAATTTATAAGAGGTTTAATTGGCTATGGTTCTGAAGGATGTACAGGAAGCATGGCACCAGCATCCGCATCTAGGGAGGTCACAAGAAACTCTTACTCATGGTGGAAGGTGAAGCAAAAGCAGGTGTCTCACATGGCAGAAACAGGAGCAAGAGGGTGAGTGCGGGGGGGAGGTGCCACAATTTACAACAACCAGATCTTTCGAGATGTCACTTACTATTGCAAGGACATCACCAAGCCATGAGGGATGACCCAAATACCTCCCACCAGACCTTAACTCTAACATTGGGGATTACAATTCAACATTATATTTGGCAGGAACATATATTCAAACTATATCATCTTGTATGTTAGCAGATATTTTCCCCATTTTACCAAGTACTGAGGAAGTATATTAAAATCTCACCAGAAATATATGTATTTATCATTGTTCTCTCAATTTTTTGCTGAATATATTTTGAAGTCATGTTATTTCATGACTATATATTTCAAATATATTTGAAGTCATATTATCCCTAGATGCATGGAAGTTTTTTTTCCAAAAGTTTTTTGGAAAACAAGTGTTGTTTGGTTGCACGAATCAGTTCTTTAGTGGTGATTTCTGAGATTTTGGTGCACCCATCACCTGAGCAGAGTACACTGTACCCAATGTGTAGTGTAGTCTTTTATCCCTCACCCTCCTTCTACCCTTTCCCCTGAGTCCCCAAAGTCCATAGTATCATTCTTATGCTTTTGAATCCTCAAAGCTTAGCTCCCACTATGAGTGAGAACATATGATGTTTGGTTTTCCATTGCTGAATTACTTCACTTAGAATAATGTTCTCCACAATGAGAACACTTGGACACAGGAAGGGGAACATCACACACCGGGGCCTGTTGTGGGGTTGGGGGAGGGGGAAGGGATAGCATTAGGAGATATACCTAATGTAAATGACGAGTTAATGGGTGCAGCACACCAACATGGCACATGTATACATATGTAACAAACCTGCACGTTGTGCACATGTACCCTAGAACTTAAAGTATAATAAAAAAATTAATTAATTAAAAAAAAGAATAAGCAAATCCAATATATGATAATAAAAACTGGAAGAGAGGTTGCTTGTGGAGTGAATTAGGGGATTTGAACTGTTGTACTTTTTGGTAGACATTATTATGTCATGTGCTTTTTTGAAATATAGCTTGTAGCACTTTTGTTTTAGTAAAAAAAAAAAAGAATAATGTTCTCCAAATCCATCCAGGTTGCTGTAAATGCCATTATTTCATTCCTCTTTATGGCTGAGTAGTATTCCATGGTATAAATATACTACATTGTCTTCTTTTATTTTTTTTTTCCAGACAGACTCTCACTCTGTCTGGAGTGCAGTGGCGCAATCTTGGCTCACTGCAACTTCCGCCTCTCGAGCTCAAGCAATTCTCCTGTCTCAGCTTCCCGAGTAGCTGGGATTACAGTCATGCGCCACCATGCCCGGCTAATTTTTGTATTTTTAGTAGAGATGAGGTTTCACCATATTAGTCAAGCTGGTCTTGAACTCCTGACCTCATGATCCACCCGCCTCAGCTTCCCAAAGTGCTGGGATTACAGGCGTGAGCTACCATGCCTGGCCTACATTTTCTTTATCCACTCATTGATTGATGGGCATTTGGGCTGTTTCAATATTTTTGCATTTGTGAATTATGCTGCTATAAACATGTGTGGTCAAGTATCTTTTTCATATAATGAATTCTTTTGCTCTGGGTTCATACCCAGTAGTGGGATTGCTGGATCAAATAGTAGATCTACTTTTGGTTCTTTAAGAAATCTCCACACTATTTTCCACAGTGGTTGTATTAGTTTACATTCCCACCAACAGTGTAAAAGTATTCCCTTTTCACCACATCCACACTGACATCTATTATTTTTTTATTTTTTTATTATTGCTGTTCTTGCAGGAGTAAGGTGGTATTGCATTGTGGTTTTGATTTGCATTTCCCTGATCATTAGTGACAGTGAGCATTTTTTCATATGTTTGTTGCCCATTTGTATATCTTCTTTTGAGAATTGTCTATTCATGTCCTTAGCCCACTTTTTGATGGGATTATTTGTTTTTTTCTTGATGATTTATTTGAGTTCCTTGTGGATTCTGGATAATTTGTCCTTTGTCAGAGATATAGATTGTGAAGATTTTCTCCCACTCGGTGAGTTGTCTGTTTACCCTGCTGATTATTTCTTTTGCTGTGCAGAAGCTTTTTAGTTTAATTAAGTCCCATCTATTTATATTTCTTTTTGTTGCATTTGCTTTTGGGTTCTTGGTCATGAAGTCTTTGCCTAAGCCAATGTCTAGAAGGGTTTTTCCAATGTTATCTTCCAGAATTTGTAAAGTTTCAGGTCTTAGATTTAAGTCTTTGATCCATCTTCAGTTGATTTTTATATAAGGTGAAAGAGAAGCATCCAGTTTCATTCTTCTACATGTGGTTTGACATTTATTCCAGCACCATTTGGTGAATAGGGTGTCCTTTCCCCATGTTTTGTTTGCTTTGTTGAAGATCAGTTGGCTGTATATATTTGGCTTTCTTTCTGGGTTCTCTATTCTGCTCCATTGGTCTATGTGCCTATTTTCATACCAGTGCCGTGCTGTTTTGGTGACTATGGCCTTGTAGTATAGCTTGAAGTCAGGTAATAGGATGCCTCCAGATTTGTTCTTTTTGCTAAGTCTTGCTTTGGCTATGTGGGCTTTTTTATGGTTTCATATAAGTTTTAGGATTGTTTTTTCTAGTTCTAAGAATGATGGTGGTATGTTGATGGGAATTGCATTAAATCAGTAGATTGCTTTTGGCAGTATGGTCATTTTCACAGTATTGATTCTACCCATCCATAAGCCTGGAATGTGTTTCCATTTGTTTGTGTTTTCTGTAATTTCTTTCAGCAGTGTTTTGTTATTTTCCTTGCAGAGGTCCTTTACTTCCTTAGTTAGGTATATTCCTAAATTGGTTTTTTTTCCAGCTATTGTAACAGGGGTTGAGTTCTTGATTTGATTCTCAGCTTGGTCGCTGTTCATGTATAGCAGAGCTACTGATTTGTGTACATTAATTTTGTATCCTGAAACTTGGCTGAATTTATCAGTTATAGGAGCTTTTTGGATGAGTATTTAGGATTTTCTAGGTGTACAATCATATCATCGGCAAAAAACCACAGTTAGACTTCCTCTTTACCAACATGGATACCCTTTATTTCTTTCTCTTGTCTAATTGCTCTGGCTAGGATTTCCAGTACTATGCTGAATAAAAGTGGTAAAAGTGGGCCGGGCACAGTAGCTGATGCTTGTAATCCCAGCACTTTGGGAAGCCAAGGTGGGCTGATCACCTGAAGTCGGGAGTTCAAGACCAGCCTGGCCAACATGGTGAAACCTCATCTCTACTAAAAATACAAAATTAGCCGGGCATGGTGGCACATGCCTGTAATCTCAGCTACTCGGGAGGCTGAAGCAGGAGAACTGCTTGAACCTGGGAGATGGAGGTTGTACTGAGCCGAGATCGTGGCACTGCCCTGCAGCCTGGGCAAAAGAGTGAGACTCTGTCTCAAAAAAAATAAAGAAGTGGTGAAAGTGGGCATCCTTGTCTTGTTCCCATTCTGAGGAGGAAGGCTTTTGATTTTTCTCCATTCAGTATAATGGTGGCTGTGGGTTTGTCGTAGATGTCTTTTTTTTTTCTTTTTGAGATGGAGTTTCGCTCCTGTTGCCCAGGCTGGAGTGCAATGACGTGATCTCGGCTCACCGCAACCTCTGCCTCCCGGGTTCAAGCAATTCTCCTGCTTTAGCCTCCTGAGTAGCTGGGATTAAGGCACGCACCACCACGCCCAGCTAATTTTGTATTTTCAGTAGAGACGGGATTTCTCCATGTTGGTCAGGCTGGTCTGGAACTCCTGACCTCAGGTGATCAACCCACCCTGGCCTCCCAAAGTGCTGGGATTACAGGCGTGAGCCACTGTGCCTGGCCTAGATGTCCTGTTATTACCTTAATGTATGTCCCTTCTATGGCAATTTTGCTGAGGGTCTTAATCATAAAAGAATGCTGGATTTTGTCAAATGCTTTTTCTGAGTCTATTGAGATAATCATGTGATTTTTGTTTTTAATTCTGTTTATGTGGTGTATCATATTCATTGATTTGCACATGTGAAACCATCCCTGCATCCCTAGTATGAAACCCGCTTGATCATGGTGGATTATCTTTTTGATATGCTGTTGGATTTGGTTAGCTAGTATTTTGTTGAGGAATTTTGCATCTATGTTCATCAAGGATATTGGTCTGTGATTTTCTTTTTTTGGTATGTCTTTTCCTGGTTTGGGTATTAGGGTGATAATGGCTTCATAGAATGATTTAGGGAGGATTCCCTCTTTCTCTAGCTTTTGGAATGGTGTCAATAGGATTGGTGCCAATTCTTCTTTGAATGTCTGATAGAATTCAGCTGTGAATCCATCTGGTCCTGGACTTTTCTTGTTGGCAATTTTTTTTACTACCATTTCAATCTTGCTATTTGTTATTGGTCTGTTCAGAGTTTCTATTTCTTCCTAGTTTAATCTAGGAGGATTGTATAGTTCCAGGAATTTATCCATCTTCTCTAGGTTTTCTAGTTTATGCACATAAAGGTGTTCATAGTAGCCTTGAATGATCTTTTGTATTTCTGTGGTATCAGTTGTAATATCTCCCATTTCATCTCTAATTGAGTTTATTTAGATCATCTCTCTCCATAGCAGCCTTGAATGATCTTTTGTATTTCTGTGGTATCAGTTGTAACATCTCCCATTTCATCTCTAATTGAGCTTATTTGAATCATCTCTCTTCTTTTATTGGTTAATCTCACTATTGGTCTATCAATTTTGTTTATCTTTTCAAAGAAACAGCTTTTTGTTTCATTTACCTTTTTTATTGTTTTTTGTTTTGTTTTGTTCTGTTTCCATTTCATTTCCTTCTGCTCTGATCTTCATTATTCCTTTTCTTCTGCTGGGTTTGGGTTGGTTTGTTCCTGTTTCTCTAGCTCCTTGAGGTGTGACCTTAGATTGTCTATTTGTGCTCTTTCAGACTTTTTGATTTAGGTATTTAATGCTATGAACTTTCCTCTTAGCATTGCCTTTGTTGTATCCCAAAGGTTTTGATAGGTTGTGTCATTATTATCATTCAGTTCAAATAATTTTTTAATTGCCATCTTGGACCAAGCATGGTGGCTCATGCTTAAAATCCCAGCATTTTGGGATGCCAAGCCAGGTGGATCACAAGGTCAGGAGTTTGAGACCAGCCTGGCCAACATGGTGAAACCCTGGCTCTACTAAAAACACAAAAATTAGCTGGGCATGGTCACAGGTGCCTGTAATCCCAGCTACTCAGGAGGCTGAGGCAGAAGAATCGCTTGAACCCAGGAGGTGGAGGTTGCAGTGAGCAGAAATTGAGCCACTGCACTCTAGCCTGGGTGACAGAGCTAAACTCCATCTCAAAAAAAAAAAAAAAAAAAAAATTCCATCTTGATTTCATTGTTGACCCAACAACCATTCAGGTGCAGGTTATTTAATTTCCATGTATTTGCATGGTTTTGAGGCTTGCTTTTGGAGTGGATATCCAATTTTATTCCACTGTGGTCTGAGAGACTACTTGCTATAATTTCAATTTTCTTAAATTTGTTGAGACTTATTTTGTGGCCTATTATATGGTTTATCTTAAAGAATGTCCTATGTGCTGAGTATATTCTCCAGTTATTGGGAAGAATATTCTGTAAATATCTGTTAAGTCTGTTTGTTCTGTTAAGTCTGTTTGTTCTAAGTCCATCTTTTTGTTGTTGACTTTCTGTCTTAATGACCTGTCTAGGTGCTGTCAGTGGAGTATTACAGTCCTCCATTATTATTGTGTTGCCATCTACCTTATTTCTTAGGTCTAGTAGTAATTGTTTTATAAATTTGGGAGCTCCAGTGTCAGGTGCATATATATTTAGAATTGTGACATTTTCCTGTTGGACTAATTCTTTTATCATTGTATAATGTCCCTCTTTGTCTTTTTTAACTGCTGTTGCTTTAAAGTTTGTTTTATCTGATATAACAGTAGCTACTCTTGCTTGCTTTTGGTGTCCATTTGCATAGAATATCTTTTTTCACCCCTTTACCTTAAGTTTATGTGAGTCGTTCTGTGTTAGGTGAGTCTCTTGAAGGCAGGGGATAGTTAGTTTGTGAATTCTTATCATTCTGCCATTCTGTATATTTTAAGTGGAGCATTTAGGCCATTTACATTCAATGTTAGTATTGAGATGTGAGGTACTATTCTATTCATCATGGTATTTGTTGCCTGAATACCTTGGGGGGTTTTGTGTGTGTGTGTGTGTGTGTGTGTGTGTGTGTGTGTGTGTAATTGTTATATATGTCCTGTGAGATTTATGCTTTAAGAAGGTTCTGTTTTGCTGTATTTCAAGGATTTGTTTCAAAATTTAGAGCTCCTTTTAGCAGTTCTTACTGTGCAGGCTTAGTAGTTGTGAATTTTCTCAGCATTTGTTTGTCTGAAAAAGACTGTATCTTTCCTTCATTTATGAAGCTTAGTTTTGCTGGATACAAAATTCTTGCCTGATAATTGTTTTGTTTAAGGAGGCTAAAGATAGGACCCCAATCCCTTCTAGCTTATAGGGTTTCTGCTGACAAATCTGCTGTTAATCTGATAGGCTTTGACCCCAATCCCTTCTAGTTTATAGGGTTTCTGCTGAGAAATCTACTGTTAATCTGATAGGCTTTTCTTTATAGGCTACCTGAAGATGCATATGTAAGTATTTTATCTTTCTGATAAGTTGAGACTTTTTAACCAATTGACCCTCTTTATCTCTAAAAATGCTTTTTGCAATTTAAAGCCTATTTTGTCTTATGTCAAAATTGCCAGCTTCTTTTGGTTTTTAGTCACCTATTTCCCTTTCTATTATTTTACTTTTAAACATTCTGTATCCTTATATTTTAGACACTTTTTTTTTTTTTTGAGACAGAGTCTCACTCTGTCCCCCAGGCTGGAGTACGATAGTGCGATCTCAGCTCACTGCAACCTCCACCTCCCACGTTCAAGCAATTCTCCTACCTCATCCTCCAGAGTAGCTGGGATTACAGATGCATGCCCGGCTAATTTTTGTATTTTTAGTAGAGACGGGGTTTCACCACGTTGGCCGGGCTGGTCTTGAACTCCTGACCTCAGGTGATCTGCCCGCCTCAGCCTCCCAAAGTACAGGGATTACAGGCATGAGACATCACTCCCAGCCTGGACATTTCTGTTATAAGTAGCATATAGCTGAATTCTTCATCCACTCTAACAATCTTTGGTTCCTTTAGATTATGATTAGTGATACAATGGAATTTATTTCAACATCATATTTTGTGCTTGCTATTTGTCTTGCCTATTCTCTACTTTTTTCTCAGCTCCCTTGATTTCCTTGAGGTTATTTTTCTCATTTAATTTTTCTCCATTAGCTAGGAAGTTATCCATTATTTTCCTAATTTTTAGTAGTTGCCCTAGACATTTTAACATGCATACTTTGCTTATCGAAGTCTCAATAATCATTATCTCTAATCTCTTCCCAAACTATACAAGAATTTTAGAGCACATTAACTCCTTTTGCTTCTCCAACTTATGTTACTAGTTCCCACTGAATATATCATTATTACCTTATATAGTCAATACGTGTTTTAACTTAAACTTTCTTTGGTCTTCATTATTTCTTGTTTTTAAGATCCTTTATCTGGAAATAATTTTCTTCTACCTCAAGTGTTACTCTTTTAGTGAAGATCTGCTGGAACAAATTCTTTAGGTTTTTGTGCATCTGAAAGGCCTTTATTGTGTCCCTGTTTTTTAAAGATTGTTTTTTAATGAAAATAGAATCCTAGGGTGACAGTTAATTTCCCACAGTACATGAAAGATAATATTCTATTGTCTTCTGGCTTCTATTGTTACATTGTCAGGATAATTTGTCATGTCTTTGAAGCTAAGCTTAAGATCCTCTCTTTATCTTTTGTGTTCTGCAGTTTAATTATATTTTGTCTATGTGTGGATTTCTTTTTACTTACTCTGTCTGGAATTCATATGACTTCATCAATATGTCAAGTGATGCTTTTTATTGATCCTTGAAAATTCTCAGCCATTATCTCTTTAAATGTTGCCTTTTCCAATTTTCTTTCCTCTCTTCTTTTTCTGTAGCAATAATTAAAATTTTGTTCAGATTCTTTTTTTTTTTTTTTGAGACGGGGTCTTCACCCTGTTGCCCAGGCTGGAGTGCAGTGGTGTGATCTTGGCTCACTGCAACCTCTGCCTCCCAGGTTCAAGTGATTCTCCTGCCTCAGCCTCCTGAGTAGCTGGGATTACAGGCACGCGCCATCCCACCCGGCTAATTTTTTTTCTTTTTTCTTTTTTTTTTTTTTTGTATTTTTAGTAGAGACACGGTTTCACCACGTTGGCCAGGATGGTCTCGAACTCCTGACACTGTAAGCCACCTGCCTCAGCCTCTCAAAGTGCTGGGAATACAGGCGTGAGCCACTGCGCCCGGCTCAAATTCTTTTGATTAATTTTCTATGCAGCTTGGATTTACCTATTCATAAATTCATTCACTCTCTTATTTTTAATTATTACATTTTTATTTTTTCAAGTTGTATTTGGTTATTTTTTAAATGAGCTTGGAAAAATAAAAATAAAAAAATAAAATGAGCTTGGTTAGTCCTCATAGTTTCTTATCTTAAGCTCGTATCTTGTGTTTAGGGGAGGTTTTTTATTCTGTTTTTGGTTTTACAGACATGCTCATTTGCCTTTTAATTTCATTGGCAGAAATTCTCTGTAGTCTGAGATAAAAAATAGATTTCACCAAAAAAGGAAAAAAAAATGGGTTCTGCTCAGTACCAGCAACACTTCCAATGTACGAAATCCTTTTTTTTTTTTTTGAGATGGAGTCTCATTCTTTTGTCCAGGCTGGAGTGCAGTGGCACAATCTCGGCTCACTGCAACCTCCCCCTCCTGGGCTCAAGCGATTCTCCTGCCTCAGCCTCCTGCGTAGCTGAAATTACAAGTGTGTGCCACCACGCCCAGCTAATTTTTGTATTTTTATTAGAGACAGGGTTTCACCATGTTAGCCAGGCTGGTCTCAAACTCCTGACCTCAAGTGATCCGCCCGTCTCGGCCTCCCAAAGTGCTGGGATCACAGGTGTGAGCCACCGAGCCCGGCCCAATGTATGAAATCTTTAAACCAAATCTGCATCTTGAGGTTTTCCTGACTTCATAGGTATTGTAAATTCCAGATGCATACCTGTATTAGAGCTGGTTTACAATCACAAATTCTCAGGACCAAGAAATCAGGCACCTGCTCTACACCAGTGATAGGTGATCTTCCTTACAGACTTCTTAAGTTAGAAAGAAAATACGGTGATTTTGTTTCTTTTTTTTTTTTCTAATTCACACTTACATTAAAGCAGAAGCCTTTTGAAATCCCAGCTTTATAACCAAAAGGCCCCTTCTCAGATGTCTCACTCTCTTGTCCCTTATGCCTTCTGGCAATGAAAACTGAAATTCAAGTTAACCCAGTTTGGCAAATGTCCTCAAGGCAAATCCAGCTTCAGTGCTCAACTGAACCCTCTTCACTGAGCTTTTGGCATGAGTATTCATTACTTTCTTACTGGTTCATTGCATTTAGGAAAATGATTTTTCTATTTTATCCAGAATTTTTAAATGGTATCAGCGGGGGGCGAGGGTGTGTTGCTAAGAAGAGAGCTGACCCCTGGTAATTCATATTCAGAGCCACAGATCCATGCAGTTTGACAGCCAAATCAGGACCTGAGCCAGCCCAAAACATATTAACTCAGGGCCTGCCACTTTGTAATAACTGCTGATATTTTTTTCGCACTTCCTATGGCCAAGTATCATGATAAGCATTTTGCAAGTATTATTTTATTTAGTCCTTTCGACTATCCAAAGGGCTAGGTATAATTATTATCCCTTTTGTTCTGATAGAGAAACTGAAGCACAGTAAGGTTAAGTAATTACCCAAGGTCCCACAACCATCAAGCAACAGCACTAGGATTTGAACTCAAAAAATCTAACTCTAAAGATTTCCTTCTTAAGATATGTGTAATTTTGCTTCCTAACAAATCATGAATAAAACAGAGGGAGAGAGAGAGAAAGACAACAAGACAGAGCCCTACTAAGTATGGCAGAGCCAGTAGTAGATCCAGACTTCCTAACCTCAGTCCTTTCTACCTCCCTATTCTCATATCAGGATGGGCATACTTCCATTTTTATAGATATATATGCCTTCATTTTAAAAGTGGGCACACAATACTGATTGGAAATTAAGACCATATTAAAAAACATCTAAAGGAATGAATATTTGGTAATTAGATTTCAACTCTCAGTGGCCATCAATCTGGAACTCTAGCCCAATGTTAACATATTTGATTGCATCTGAAGATGTTTCTTGATGACATACAAACAGCAGATTTATTTTACAATTCTTATTTAATCAACTTGTGCGTAGGTCTAACATCCAAAAATTCCTTGGCTTATGCTAATTGTCTCTAAACCAGTGATTTCCACACTTTTTAAATAGTGGAAATGGATTTCAGAATATGTCTGCTCACGATTCCTTCATACATAAGGATGTCCAAAATTCAGTCTAAGAAAAGGCATCCCCCAAAGAAGGACAGAGCTGCCAGTCTCCCCAATTCATCTTATCCTCTCTTCTGTCTTCTTCTCCATCCACCAGTGAGTGAAGGGAGCTTATAGCAGGGAATGTGTCCAATTTTCATCTTTGCCTGTCCTCCCTACCCCTTCTACCCAGCAATAAGGAGTGCAGCTCCAAGAGATCTGCCTTGTGATGCCAATCCAAACTCCAAACATCATCTCTCCTCCTTTCAACCACACAGCAGGGTAAGTGGGGGATCTGTGCCCAAAAATACAGAAAAAAGTTCCTGGAGAGTGGGATGTTGCAGCCAGATGTCAAAGGATGAGTAGGTTTAAAAGAGGGAGGAGAATATGGGAGGGTTGCATGGGAAGGACATTTTAGTAGGAAGGAACAGTAGATGCTCAAATCTCTGTTCCTGGTTATAAAAGGAAAATTACTAAAGAATATTATTAATATGCTATCTAAATATAATGTGATATAATAAAGAACATATAAGGAAATTGGGCCAGGCACAGTGGCTCACGCCTGTAATTCCAACACTTTAGGAGGCTGAGGTGGCAGATGGCTTGAGCCCAGCAGTTCAAGACCAGCCTAAGTGACATGGTGAAACCCCATCTCCTCTAGTAAAAATTCAAATGTTATCTGGGCAAGGTGGTGCACACCTTGTAGTTCCAGCTACTCAGGATGGAGTGGGAGGATCACTTGAGCCCAGGAGGCAGAGGTTGCAGTGAGCAAGAGATCATGCCACTGTACTCCCGCGTGGGTGACACAGCAAGACTCCATCTCAAAAAAAAAAAAAAAAGAATGCTTAACCATAAATTATTCAGAATATAAGTCCTGAGAATGGCCTCTCTTTAGAAGGATAATAGTCATAATAAAAATTATAGTTTTATAAAGATTTTAACCTAAGATACTGGTGGTAAAATTAAGAATTAAAGTTTTATTTCTCTAAAGGCAGCAGAGATGGGTTCTTAATCCTCTAACAGGTCAATAAAGAGCCTCTACTATATGAAGATATAAGAATATCAGAAATTACAAGACAGGAATTCAAAAGGTCCTCAAGGAAATAGAGAAGGAGATGGGATATGAAACCTGATTTGTTCATAAGAATTCTCAAGCTCAAAAGAGCATCAAAAATGATTAGTTTTTTTTTTTTCTTTTTTGAGACCGTCTTGCTCTTTCACCCAGGCGGGAGTGCAGTGGGGTAACCTTGGCTCACTACAACCTCCGCCTCCTGGGTTTAAGTGATTCTCATGTCTCAGCCTCCCAAGTAGCTGGGACTACAGGCGCCCGCACCACGCCCAGCTAATTTTCGTATTTTTAGTAGAGACAGGGTTTCACCATGTTGGCCAGGCTGGTCTCGAACTCCTGGCATTGGGTGACCCACCCACCTTGGCCTTCCAAAGTGCTGAGATTACAGGTGTGAGCCACCATGCCCAGCTGCAACCTAATTGTTGATTGATCTGCTTAATTTATAGTATATCCATACAGTGGGAAATATGCAGCCATTAAATAAGTAAACAAATAAAAGAAGAGCGAGATGGCAAAATAAATAACTTCACAAGAGCTAAGGAAACCAGGTAAGAGATCATGAGATCATAGCACCTAAGGGTAGCACAGAAATAAGAAACCACATTGAAAAGGGTAGGAAGGACAGTTTTACATTACCCAGGTCACCCATGCTTTAACCACAGGCAGCACAGTGTGGAGAGATACCCTCTGCTTGGGGGAAGAAGATGGAGGTGAATAATGGACATTGCCTTACACCCTAATGCCAGGCCCAACCCAGTAAAATCCAGAACCAAGAGGGCCTGCACAATTCCAGACTCCAGACCGGTAACCATGGACTGAGCCTCCAGGCCTACCCTGGCACCATGCCAGATCCCACAGCCCTAGGCTCCAGACCTGCCTGGTGGACTTGTTCTCCAGGTTTGCTCCATTGCCAGGTTTACCTCAAAGGCCACAGACTCCAGGCTAGCCAAGTGGCACCAGGATACAGATTTGCTTCCATCCCAGGCCAGCCTCTGCAGACTTAGGCTCTAGGCCAACCCTAGGGCCATGCCAGCCCCCATGGACTTAGGCTCCAGGCCCATCCCGTTGGACCTAGGTACCAGACTCATCACAGCAGCTGGCCAGCACCTGCAGACTCAGGCTCAAGGCCTATTCCAGTGACAGGTCTGCCTCTGTGGATCCAGACTCAAGTCCAATTCCCACAAACAACAAACTCCAAGTCTACCCTCATGCACCTAGGCAGCAGGCTAACCCTCATGGACCCAATCAACAGGTCCACGCCAGTGGATCCAAGCTCCTGGCTCAACCCTGAAGATTCAGATGCAACGTCTGCCCACCTACTGACCCAGGCATCAAGCCAGCCTGCCCATGAACCCCAAGAGCAAGACCACCCACACAGCACACCAGATGGCCTGCCCAGAATCTTTGGAAGGGCTGACTGATAAAAGGCTTTCCCACACAAAGTCAGTCTACAAAGACTGGAATAAATCCCTACTTCTTCAAAAGCACAGGCACCAACCCACAGCCACAAACATCAAGAATAGTCAGGGCAGCCGGATGCTGTGGCTCATGTCTGTAATCCTAGCACTTTAGAAAGTCAAGGCAAGCATATAACTTGAATTCAGGAGTTCAAGAGCAGCCTGGTCAACATGGCAAAACCCCATCTCTGCAGAAAATACAAAAATTAGCCAAGCATGGCGGCACACACCTATAGTCCCAGCTACTTCGAGGGCTGAGGTGGCAGGATCACTTGATCACTTGAGGTTAAGGCTGCAATGAGCCAAGATTGTGCCACTGCACTCTATCCAGCCTGGGTGACAAACAGAGACCCTGTCTCAAAAAAAAAAAAAAAAAAAAAGTCAGGGAAACATGACACCTCCAACTGAACAAAATAAAACACTACTAACCAACTCTAAAGAAAAAAAAGATGTATGAACTGCGTGACAAAGAATACATTATCAATGTTTATAGGAACCTCAACAAACTTCAAGAAAATACATAGAAATAATTCAAAAAAATTAGGAAAACAATAAATGACCAAAACAAGAAAATTAACAAAAATATTAAAAATCATTTTAAAAGTCAAATTCTGGAGCTGAAGGATGCAATGAACCAAATTTAAAAATGCAAGTGTCAACAGCAGAATTGATCAAGAAGAAGAAAGTATCTGTGAACTTGAAGACAGGTTATTTGAAAATATTATATATAGAAAACCCTAAAGACTATTACTAGATACAATTAGAACTAATAGATGAGGCCGGGTGCAGTGGCTCACGCCTGTAATCCCAGCACTTTGGGAGGCCGAGGCGGGTGGATCACGAGGTCAGGAGATCAAGACCATCCTGGCTAACACAGTGAAACCCAGTCTGGAAAAAAAAAAAAAAGAACTAATAAACTAATTCAGTAAAGTTGCAGGATACAAAATCAAAACTAAAAAATCAGTTATGGCTGGGTATGGTGGTTCATGACTGTAATCCTAGCACTTTGGGAAGCTGAGGCAGGCGAATCACCCGAGGTCAGGAGTTTGAGACCAGCCTAGCCAAAGTAATGAAACCCCATCTCCACTAAAAATACAAAAGTTATCTGTGCATGGTGGTGCATGCCTGTAGTCCCAGCTACTCAGGAGGCTGAGGCAGGAGAATCACTTGAATTCAGGAGGTGGATGTTGCAGTGAGCTGAGATTGTACCACTGCACTCCAGCCTGGGTGACAGGGTGAGACTGCATCTCAAAAAAAAAAAAAAAAAAAAAAATCAGTTATGTTTCTAAACACAGAATAAATCCTCTGAGGAAAAAAAATCAAGAAAATAATCCCATTTACAATAGCTACAAAAAAAATACGTAGGAATAAATTTAACCAAGGAGGTGAAAAACTTGCATACTGAAAACCACAAAACACTGATGAAATAAATTAAAGAAAACACGAACAAAGGGAAAGATATCCTGTGTTCATAAATTGGAAGAATTAATATTAAAATGTCCATATTACTCAAAGCAATCTACATATTCAATGTAATTCCTATCAAAATTCCAATGACAGTTTTCACAGAAATAGAAAAAAAGAAAAACACCTAAAATTCATATGGAACCACAAAAGATCCTGAATAGAGAAAGCAATCTTGAACAAATAGAACAAAGCTAGAAGCATCATGCTACCTGATTTCAAAATATACCACACAAAGCTATAGTATTCAAAACAGCATGGTCCCAGCATAAAAACAGACACAGAGAACTATGGAACAGAACAGAGAGCCCAGAAATAAACCTACACCCTTGTGGTCAATTGATTTTCAACAAAGGTGCCATGAACACACAATGGGGAAAGAACAGTCTCTTCGATAAATAGGTTGAGGAAAACTGGATATCCACATGCAGAAGAATAAGATTAGACCATTTTCTCTACCACATACAAAATCAACTCAAAATAGATTAAAGATTTAAATGTAAAACTTGAAACTATAAAACTACTAGAAGTAAACAGGAGAAAAGCTCCATGACATTCTCTGAGCAATGATTTTTTGGATATGACCCCAAAAGCACAATAAACAAAAGCAAAAATAGACAAATGAGATTGCTTCAAACTAAAAAAGAGAATGAATAAAGAGACGACCTGTGGAATGGGAAAAATATTTGCAAACCATACATCTGATAAGGGGTTAATATTCAAAATACAAAAGGAACTCAAAGAACTCAACTGCCAGAAAACAAATAACCTGATCTGAAGATAGGCAAAGGACCTAGATAGATATTTCTTAAAAGACAACATACAAATGGCCAACAGGTATACATATATATATATATATATATATATATATATATATATATATATATGCACTCAACATCACTAGTCATCAGGAAAGTGCAAATTAAAATCACAATGAGATTTCACTTCATATCAGTTAGAATGGCTATTATCAAAAAGACAAAAAGTAAGTGCTGGCAAGGATATGGAAAAAAGGAAATCCTTGTGCACTGCTGGTGAGAATGTAAATTAATACGGCATGGAGGTTCCTCGAAAAATCAAAAATAGGACAGGCACAGTGTCTCATGTTTGTAATCCCAAGACTTCGGGAGGCCAAGGTGGGAGGATCACTTGAGCCCAGGAGTTCAAGATCAGCCCAGGCAACATAGTGAGACCTGGTCTCTATTAAAAATAAAAATAAATAGACAGTCATAGTGGCATGTGCCTGTACTCCCAGCTACTCAGGAGACTGAGGTGGGAGGATTGCTTGAGCCCATGAGGTCAAGACTGCAGTGAGCCATGATCGCACCATTGTACTCCAGACTGGGCAACAGAGTGAGACCCTATCTCAAAATAAAATTAAATTAAATTTTAAGAAATTAAAAATAGAACTACTATATGATCTAGCAATTTCACTACTGGGTATGTATCCAAAGAAAATGAAATCAGTATGTCAAAGAATTATCTTCACTCACATGTTCACTACAGCATTGTTCAGAATAGCGAAGTTATGGAATCTGACCTAAGTGTCCATCAGTAGATGAAGGGATAAAGAAAATGTGGTATATATATATACACACAGTAGCATTCTTTTCTTTTTCTTTTTTTTTTTTTTTTGAGACAGAGTCTCGCTCTGTCGCCCAGGCTGGAGTGCAGTGGTGCAATCTCGGCTCACTGCAACCTCCGCCTCCCAGGTTCACGCCATTCTCCTGCCTCAGCCTCCCCAGTAGCTGGGACTACAGGCACCCGCCACCACGCCCGGCTAATTTTTTTGTATTTTTAGTAGTGACGGGGTTTCACCATATTAGCCAGGATGGTCTCGATCTCCTGACCTTGTGATCCTCCCGCCTTGGCCTCCCAAAGTGCTGGGATTACAGGCGTGAGCCACCGCGCCCAGCCTATACACAGTAGCATTCTATTCACCCTTTAAAAAGAAGGAAATCCTATCATTTGCAACATGGATGAACCTGGAGGACATTATGGTAAATGAAGTAAGTCAGACACAGAAAGACAAATACCACATGATCTCATATGTAAAATCTAAAAAAGTTGAACTCATAGAAGGAAAGAGTAGAATGGTAGTTACCAGGGACTGCGATGTGACTGGGTGGCGGGTGGGGAAGATGCTGGTCAAAGGATACAAAATTTTGGTTAGATAGGGGGAAGAAGTTCAAGAGTCTATTGTACAACATGATGACTATCATTAATAACAATGTATTTTATTCTTAAAAAATTGATAAGGAGCTGGGTGCAGTGGCTCACGCCTGTAATCCCAACACTTTGGGAGGCCAAGGCAGGTGGATCACCTGAGGTCAGGAGTTCGAGACCAGCCTGGCCAACATAGTGAAACCCCATCTCTACTAAAAATACAAAAATTAGCCGGGCGTGGTGGCAGGCACCTGTAATCCCAGCTACTTGGGAGGCTGAGGCAGGAGAATCGCTTGAACCCAGAAGGCAGAGGTTGCAGTGAGCCAAGATCGCACCACTGCACTCCAGCCTGGGTGACAGAGCGAGACTCCATCTCAAAAAAAAAAAAAAAACTGATAAGGGTAGATTTTCAGTGTTCTTACAGCAAAAAAGAAAAAGATAAAAAAAGTATGTGAGGTATTACATAAATTAGCTCGATTTACCCATTCTGCAATGTATACATATTTCAAAACATGTATATAATTTTTGTCAATTAAAGAAAATAAATAGTTTAAGGAAGCTCTTATATGCTGATATATAATGATACACAAAATATGTTACGTCTGAAAAAACACACAAGAAACTAATAACACTTTTCTACGGGAGGAAAAACTGAATGGCTGAGGAACAGAGATGTGGGAGGTAATTTTTCCCTAAACGCCCTTGTAAGCTTCTAAAATGTGTAATCATGAAAATATAAGATCTATCCAGTTATTCTTTCCCAAAGAATAAAATTAATACACTAATGAGAAGAATTCTATGAGAAAACGTACACCTTTAATTTAGTTCACCAGATCGGAAGTGAGGACTTTTCAACAATATGTTGGGAATTGGTCCTGATTCAGGTTTTTGCTTTTGACTGAAACTTGGAAACTAAATAACAGATTTCACATTTCTCTCTTTTGACAAAAGAAAAAGAAGTTAGTAAACAGTTTATGTTCTCTCTCTTCCAAGACTGTATTTTAGTGATTTACCCAGTAAATAGAAAAATACTTTCAATCCAAAACCTATTTAAAAGGAGAAAAGTTGTGGTTTAGAGTAGAACATTTGTGTACAAGCCTTTTCTCTTTTTCCATTTAAGAAGAAAAGATTCCTGTGACATTCACATTCAGACAAGGCTCAGGAAAATTCAGGAATAATCACACTACAGTGATTTCTCTTTGGGGAACAAAAGCAATGGGCAAAAAAATAAGAAAAAGAAACTTTCCAGCCTTCACTCCATAAACACACTGCCTGCAAAAGACAGGTTCAGCTGCTCAGTAGTCAGACGAGTCTGATTCCCACCGGTCCCCTGAGCCAGGTTGCAGCCAATAGTGATGCTTTATGAGAGGAAAGAAAACTATTAAAAATTGCAAAACCTCTCCCGCCCTGTTATCGAAATCCAGAAGACCTTAGAGAACACTAGTTTTAAAAATTATAAAATGCAATGAGGCTTATGAAGAAAGTAAGACAGATAATTGCTTTTCTTTTCTTTAAAATTGCTTCCCAGTCTCCTATTTCTACCAGTTAGGAGCTAAGAGACAGTCGTTTATTTATTCATTTATTATTGAAACCCATATATTCTCTTTTTCTTTCTTTGTTTTTATTTTTTCTTTCATTTTATGTATTAAGTTGAAAGCTTCAAAATTCAAAAGGCATAAAAGAGTATACAGGCCGGGCACAGTGGCTCATGCCTGTAACCTCAGCACTTTGGGAGGCCGAAGCGGCTGGATTGCCTGAGCTCAGGAGTTCGAGACCAGCCTGGGCAACACGGTGAAACCCCGTCTCTACTAAAATACAAAAGAAATTAGCCGGGCGTGGTGGCGCACGTCTGTAGTCCCAGCTACTCCCGAGGCTGAGGCAGGAGAATCGCATGAATCCGGAAAGCGGAGGTTGCAGTGAGCCGAGATCACGCCACTGCACTCCAGCCTGGGTGACAGAGCAAGCCTCCGTCTCAAAAAAAAAAAAAAAAAAGAGTATATGGTGAATTGTTTACCTCTGACTTCTGTCCCTTAGTAATCAACTTCTTAATTCTTGTGTATCCTTCTGAAGATTTTTTTCTTTTTTCTTTGTTGAGACAGGGTCTCAATCTATCACCCAGGCTGGAGTGCAGTGGCAGGATCACAGCTCACTGCAACATCAACCTCCTGGGTTCAAACAATCCTCCCACCTCGGCCTCCCAAAGTGCAGGGATTACAAGCGTGAGCCACCATGCCCTGCCCTCCTAGAGATATTATGTATGTGTAAAAGAAAAGGTGGTTCCCCCTCAAATATAAATTAAAAAATCAGAGGGTCTTCACATAACCCTAACTCCTTATATTAACACATTACTGTTCTATGAAGCAATCTCTTCTTTAAAAAATAAATTTTCAATACCTCCTATATCACTCAAAGATAAGAAAGAGCTATTTGGCAAAAAGAAATAGGATGTCTGGAGAACTACATTGCATATGATTTTATAGCAAATCAACTCACTGAATTTCTGGTCCAGGATTCTGACCTGAAAAACCTGTGTAGATCTTCCAAGTTCCCAGCAGAAATAATTCTGCAGAAGTTTTATTAGCACTCCATGCAGATCTAAGGTCCAGAAGCCTCTTCAACTTAATTGAAGAGGGAGAGAAGAGGGAAGTGGGAAGCTGAATTCAAATGTTTGGTTCTTGTGGACTAGCAACAAGGAAGTGAAGACAGATGAAAGAGAAACCTTGAGTGCCTTGGATCAGTTAATCAGTAACTCACTGACGCTGGCACTAAACTAGATCCCGCTGACATCCAGTGGCAATTGACCGGGTAAGGCTAGACAAGTTTGTAAGTCTCTTGCTCAGTGCAAAAGAACCAGCCACAGAGAGAAGAGGCTGCTTGGAGAATAAGCTACAGAAAACAACTAAAGAGCAAAACCCAGAGAGCCCTCCAGGGACCTGTGTGGTGTCTGAGGCAGAGGCTGAATTCCAAGACAGAGTCCAGCACCCACTTTTTTTGAAACCCTTAGCATTTTCTTCTAGCCTGGAGTCAGGTACTAGGGAAGAAAGAAGACCCAGAAGAAGGGTGTGCTTTTTAAGGTGTGGTGCGCTATTAAGAATGCTGGACTGCCGGGAGTAGTGGCTCGTGCCTGTAATCTCAACACTTTGGGAGGTAGAGGTCGGAGGATTGCTTGAGCACAGGAGTTCGAGACCAGCCTGGAAATATAGTGAGACCCTGTCTCTACAAAATTTCTTTTAAAAATTAGCGGGGCGGGGCGCAGTGGCTCACGCCTGTAATTCCAGCACTGCGGGAGGCCGAGGCAGGCGGGTCACGAGGTCAGGAGATCAAGACCAGCCTGGCTAACACGGTGAAACCCTGTCTCTACTAAAAATACAAAAAAAAAATTAGTTGGGCGTGCTGGCGGGTGCCTATAATGCCAGCTACTAGGGAGGTTGAGGCAGGAGAATCGCTTGAAACCGGGAGGCGGAGGTTGCAGTGAGCCGAGATCCCCCCACTGCACTCCAGCCTGGACAACAGAGCGAGACTCCACCTCCAAAAAAAAAAAAAAATAGCATAACATGGTGGCACACGCCCGTAGTCCCAGCTACTCAGGAGGCTGAGGGGCAAGGACCTCTTGAGCCCTGGAGGTGGAGGCTGCAGTGAACCAAGATCGTGCCAGTGACAGAGGGAGACCCTGTCTCAAAAAAATATACAAAAATAAAAGCATGCTAGACTTAGGTGTCTTAGGTATCCATCGCAACTCAGCCACCAATTGGCTGTGTGAACGATGACATTCCTGAGCCCAGTTTCTTTATGCTGAAACCAGCTCAAAAATACTGCAAATCTAAAACCAGCTCAGTACAAGCCAGTTGCAACTTCCCAGTACCACAGCAGTTTTAGGAGCACCAAAACTCCAGCTTCTGGAATAACTTAAGACATTTTCAGCAACTGTCCAAGGCAATTCTCATCTCCAGTTTGAAAAACATTGCAAAACACTACCCGGTCCATTCTAGCAGTAAATCTATCAATACTACCTCAAGAAAAATAATCGGGCAACATTTAGATAAAACCAACATCTAAATCTTAGGATGTCAGAAAGCACACATTAAAATCATGAGGAATCCTCTTAGACCCACCACAAGATGGCAACAATCCAGAAGTGGTAAGTGAGCAAGTCGATGTGGAAAAATCTCTACAGCACATAACCTAAACACCACTTCCAAAAACATAGCCCACATCGTTTATAAACAAAGTCGTGAATGTTTTCTGGAACCAGACCTGAATTTACAACCTCCTAAACTCCATGTAGGGAATGCAGTTTCTTTACTCTCCAGACAGCTTATCAGAAACTCTCTACCTGTCTATACTTTGCATAAATGGTGAATTTGAAAATAAAAGTAACCCAGCGTTTGTCACAAATTTCCCGCCTATTACCACTGCATTCCTGAGTAGTAATAGGATGTAACAGAACATGGAGGCAGACAGACGTGGGTTCAAATTCCAAGTCTGTTCCACGTTCGTCTGTCCCATGTTACATCTTAGGCAAGAAACTAACCTCTCTGAACCTCATCAGTAACATAGGATAAGAATTCCTGCCTCTCTTGATTATTGTGTATTATAAAAAGACATAAAATAAGTGCCATCACGTTAGGAATACATTAATGTTCACTTCCTCCTTTTCTTCCAGAATCCTTTAAAATATTTACAGAACAATAAATAACCAGAAAAACTATCCCCCCTTATGGTAAATCCCAATCATGCCAAAATTCCTCAGACCAAAATAGATACCAAATGAAAAACAGCTTTTTTGTACTTAGACATAGCGTGTGTACCATATGTGTTCTCATGATACACACATGCTTATAAAAAGATATTGTCAGAAGGTAACCACTGTTGGCTAGGTGCGATGACTCAGGCCTGTAATCCCAGCACTTTGGGAGGCCAAGGCAGGCGGATCATCTGAGGTCAGGAGTTCGAGACCAGTCTGGCCAACATGGCAAAACCCCATCTCTACTAAAAATACAAAAATTAGCCGGGCATGATGGCGGGCGCCTGTAATCCCAGTTACTCAGGAGGCTGAGGCAGGAGAATCACTTGAACCCAGGAGGTAGAGGTTGCAGTGAGCCAAGATCTACTGCACTCTAGCCTGGGTGATAGAGAGAGACTCTGTCTCAAAAAAAAAAAAAAAAAAGAAGAAGAAGAAGGTAACCACTGTTAATTCTACCCAACAATATTAGGTTAAATCATATGACATTGCTGATGTTTGACCACCTTATATTTACAACTATAGCAGTTTCATATAGTTGGAAATAGCAAATCTAGGGCAAGGATTCGAGGCCAGGAGCAGTGGTTCATAACTGTAATCCCAGCACCTTGAGAGGCCGAGGAGGGAGGATCACTTGAGCCCAGGAGTTCAAAACTACCCTGAGCAACATAGTGAGACCTCATGTCTAAAATTAAAAATCGTATTTAAAAAATAAAGCAAGGATTCAATATCTGTCTGCCCTCCCTAGATTTCCTGAAAACAACAAGATCATTAGAAATCAGTAACTCTGCGTTGTCATCCCCATTCTGCCATTTATTAGCTGTGTGACTTTTAAGAAAATCATTTAGCAACTTTGGGCCCTGGCTTCCAGATTTATACGATACATATGGTAGATTTATCTTTTTCTGCTCTGTAATTTAATGACTATAATAAGGCATAGGCACTTAGGTTAGTGCCACCAAAATACATAGCTGGTAAGAACATTTTAAACTTAGCTATCCACGTTATCTTGGTTGTCCCTTCTGCATCTATCCTGCCCTCTTCCACTACGAAGCACAGAAGACAGAGATCTTGATGATAATAAAATAAAGCTGTGTAAACTTCTTCACAGGCTTCTTAAAATGCACTTCTAATTTGGCACACCCTACCACAGCAGTACTGGATTTCTCCTTAAACAAAAATGGTCACGGGTGTCAAAGAGATGTGAGTGAGTGTCCACTGAACTGTGTCTAAATGATTTTCCTTGTGACCAAAGCCAGCCTGGAATAAGCCCCTGCTAGTGAGAAGAGAGAACATGCTTCCCAGGCCGAGGAGGCATTGTTCAAAGTAATGAGTTCTGCACCACTTGGTCCACAATTCACAGCTGAGTCTGATTTTCCTAGACAAAGAGCAATAACCAAATGGAGGATGCTCTTCAGCAAGCTTCCCTGGGTTTATCATTGTTTTTAGACTCATGAGGTGGTGAAGGAAAGATGAGAGTTTCCCTAACCGTCTATGTCCTAGGAATGACAAGAGGAGATGTTTGTCAACCCTGGTCAACATTATGCCAGGATTTTGTCATGGCTGTAATGGATTTCAAGAGTTTAAATTCACTAAAAATGTCTAGAAATTATTCCATCTCAAAAGTTAAATGTTTAAATACTCTATTGTATTCCTTTTATCCTTTTATCATAATTTTATATCCTCTTTTTTTTTTTTTTTTTTTTGTTCAGGGAAAAAATAGTTATGATCCTTCAGGCATGCAGACCAACATTCTTAGAAGGAAGCTGCAGAAGGTTCATTATGTCATGAAACACAGAGCCAGAACAAAGGATTACTGAATCACTCACCTTATCTTCATCTAAGAAACCTGAGAATTACAAGGTTTCTGTTTCTTCTAAACTCTGTGCTGCACTTGCCAAGACTACAAGTTTTAGAGTAGAGTTTGTACTTCAAAAATGTAAGCAAATAGGTGCACATAATGCTTCCTATCCTAGATGTACAGCCTTATCTAAATTACTCAGTTTCAGCATTTGTTTCTGAATCTGCAAGTCTGAGTGATTAGCACCAAATCAATCGTTCTCCTTAAGAGTACCAAAGGTAGTATCTTCACTCTGAACGTCTGAAGTGGTATTAGAATTATTTCAGGACTCACAGCTCTTAGTTCATTCAGAACAGAAATCTGGATTTATTCATCTTGCCTTATATATAATACGTTCTCAATAAACATTTGTTGACTAAGTGAATAAATTAAGTAAAAAACATTTCGTTAAGAATTTTCACAGTATTTTACATTATGGCACCCTAACAAGGAGCACTTTTATCATATTCTATGTTTATAATACTAGCCCTATATCTGAAAGACTGATTTTTAAAATAAATTTAATTGAAGTTGATGATGTGGGAAAATATATCAAACGGAAGCAATAACTTTAAACAGATTTTATTGCAAATCTGGTGCCACTATAAATCCTCGCTCTGCCCATCAACCTTCCCTCTCTTTGTCTCCTTCCCATTGCCTCTCCCCAGCCTCCCCCAGGTACTCCCAGTCTCATTATCCCATGATCTGTTAAAACTGCAGTTTACCTCCTGGAACCAGCAGAAACACATGTCACTGAGAATTAGGGAATTGGAGCCAGTTACAAGCCACCAAATAGGGTCACAAAGTATCTGAACCTGAAAATTAAGAGTTTTTCTATTTTGCTAAACATGAGAAAAGGGGAAAAACTCAGTTGGACTTATTTTTAAACATTTGAGCTAGATGGATTGCACAATGTTAAGAATTTATGACAAATGAGATGGGAGACAACTTTAACAGCATGTTACTCGCTAATCATTTGAAAAGTGGTATGTTTGATTTCATTTGCTGATGGTGGGAGGATATTATCTTAAAACATCTACCACAAATAAACACTTGCTATTCTTGAAAACAAATTGCTTGAAACTGGTATGTAGCGAGACAGTACTCACGTATTACTTCATCCAAGGTATTTTATGCCACACTTTATCCCAAGAAGAATAACTCCATTTTAAATTTGTATTAGCATTTATGTTAATTCTAACCAATGTTAAATAGCAACTAGGTACCAATCATGCTGCCAAATATTGATGCAGTTTAAGAAAAATAAGCAAGAAGCTACCGCTCCTTCTACATACCCCTTAAGATGTGTACTTTTGCCAAATGCTAGGCTGTATGTAAACAAACGGATTTTAAAAGAGGGGATAGGGCTGTCAAGATTCACAATTTTATGAAAATGAAAATGATTCTCATCTGCTGGGCGCGGTGGCTCACGCCTGTGATCCCCACACTTTGGGAGGCAGAGGTGGGTGGATCACCTGAGGTCAGGAGTTCCAGACCAGCCTGGCCAATATGGTGAAACCCCGTCTCTACTAAAAATACAAAAAATAGCTGGGCGTGGTGGCGGGAGCCTGTAATCCCAGATACTCGGGAGGCTGAGGCAAGAGAATAGCTTGAACCCAGGAGGCGGAGGTTGCAGTGAGCCGAGATCGCACCACTGCACTCCAGCCTGGGCGACAGAGCCAGACTCCGTCTCAAAAAAGAAAAAAAGAAAAAGAAAATGACCAGCTTGAGAAAACTGGCTTCTGTTAAGGCTTCTTGAAGCATTCTCTGCAGAAGACTTTAACCCCAAAGGTGACCAAAACGCTGAGGCAACTGAAAAAAACTACCGCCTCTTCTGGGAAATCCTTTGTTTCTTTTCATTGGCATTATACTCTGGTCCCTTTTGCAGAGCATCTCCTTGTCATAAACATGCCAATAAACAGGACATGGGTGCTGCTGGGTTGTACAAGCTCTGCTCTTCACCTGGGTTAGGAGGCACAGATTTGTTCTTGTAACGCTCGAGAACAATCACTTCACTGAATTTTCTAACTCCTTACCAGGAAGTAAATGTTTTATTCGTCTCCCCTTTTCGGGACAGAGGGGGATTTCAATTGCTGCCCTAATAACTAATCTCTCACCATTTTCTTCTGTCCGTGATCAAAACGGTAACAAGGGAAGGGAAAAGTTGGGTTTTTTTTTTTAATTTAGTTGGTTATTGCTTTAATGCTGAACTCTCAACGTCAAAATGTGATCACAAATTGATTCGCAGAAGGAAACAAATAGAAAAAGCCTCGGGAAGGAGGGGAGAGGGCGTCGCAGACGCTCAACAGGGAACTGGGTTTAGGGGCTCGCGGGGTGGCGTCTCGGACCCGCAGCTCAGTCGCCAAGGAAACGCCGCGCAGGCGCAGAGCGTGCCGCCGCGGGGCCGGGGTTTGCCTCCACCACCCCGCGCCGCTCGGGCGCTCTTGGTTCTTCCCAGGAAAGGGCAATGGAGTATATCCTCCTCGCGCTGAGCACACCTAGTCTCTAAGAGGTCCTGAGCAGGGTCACCGGGCGCAGGAAAAGCTGTGAGACTCCCCAAGTGTAACGGACGCTGCACTCCCCTTGCTGGGAAACGCGGACCTGCTCTCCTGGCGGCGTCTGGCGGTCAGAGAGAGGGTCCCGGGACCCCGCGTGAGGGTGAAGCATCCTGCAGCGAGGCTGGACCTTCCACCGGGCGAAACGCCACCCACCACCACCGCAAGGGACCCGAGAGTTACATTATTTCGCGGACACACACACCCACCCTCATCCTTCTGAATTATGGGACCCTGAAGAGCGGCCGTGGCCAGTTCCCCGCACGGGGCCTTAGGGGATCCCCACGCACAGCACTCACAGTCCTAAACAGGCGTGTGCCGGCTGTGGCTGCCGAGAAAGGAACTTGGGCCACCTGCTCACTCGCTCATCGGACTGGCGTACCAGTTCTCTTTTTCCTGCACACCCCCTTCTCTCCTGGGCCCCTTCTTCCCCCGAAAGCACTGACCTCCTCAGCTTTGAGTGTTCAGTAGCTGAAGGACTCCTCGGAGTCCGTGGCACAAGGAGCCACCTCCGAAGTGCTGGGGTGATGAGTTATTGGCCCCTGTGACTCCAACTCCAAACCCCTGCCAAGGGCCAGAAAAGCCCCCCTAGAAGAGCACTTCTCCCCACTAGCCAGCAGAAGCCCCAGACGAGCGGGGAAGAGCAGGGCGCCGCCGCCACAACCTGCTTTCTCATTCAAATCCTCACGCTCACACAGGAGCCCCCCTCCCTCTCGGCCCCGCAGCTTCCGAGGAAATCAGGAACTGGAGTTGCGGAGAGCGGACTGGAGCGCCTGCTGCCTCCTCTGGCCCGGGCGGGATGGGTGTACGGAACCCTAGGGCTGCACGTGGAACCCCAAGGCTGCACCTGGAACCCTTGGCTTACACTCTCCTGCGGGGCTCCCCGCTTGGCAAGGGCCAGAAGCACTGGGAATGAAGTACTTTTACTCCCCCGCAAGTTTCAAAAGTTTCGAAACCCAGGGTAACCCCTCGGGGCTGTAGCCAGAGGGCCTCGGTGGTGGGGGGTAAAGGAGTTGGAGAAACAAAGTTGGAAGTGAAGGGCGCAGGGAATGGGAACTGCGTGCAACTTGCACCAAAGTGAAAAGTGTTCTCAAACGTCCGTCTTACCTCCTTTAAAAAAAAAAAATTTCTAAGAATATAGCATCTGTCGATGCCGCAAATTAAAGAGATCTACTCTGAGTGAATGGGAACTGCGTGCAACTTGCACCAAAGTAAAAAGTGTTCTCAAACGCCCGTCTTACCTCCTTTAAAAAAAAAAAATTTCTAAGAATATAGCATCTGTCGATGCCGCAAATTAAAGAGATCTACTCTGAGTGAAGTGCAACTAAAATTGAGAGCGTGTAAATGGTAACACTTTGCTTTTATTTACCCCCAGTCTCTTCATTTGGAAATGCTACTCCTTGGCATTAACAGGCCACTTATTCACTTAGATCCGTTTAGTGGCTGGTTGACTCAAGCGGGCAACCTGCCGGGAGTAAGAAGGCGGCGGTGGCAGAGGAAAGCTTGCACGAAGCAGGCACTCAAGTGTTGATGAAACGATGAAATCTACTGAATGCACTGAAAGGATGAGTGACCAGCTTGGGGCGGATGCTGGAACCGCCGCTGGCCTAGACGGCCGCGGTGTGATCCGGCTTCTGGATTCCAGGATTTACATTTATCAGCCTTCATTCAACCTGCCCTATTGTTAGTTCAAAGCCTGGCTGGGAAGGAGTGGGGACGCAGCTCTTCACTCACCTTTCAGTTTAAAATAATCCTCCAATAAGAATGTCCTAGGAAAGCTGGCAGCATGGGGTTGGCAGGGATTTTCTGGGCTTAGTGACAACATAAACTAAAGTCATTTTCTTTTTTCATGCGTGAATTTGCCCAGGAAGTTACAAACGAGTAAGTTACAAATGAGTGCCTGAGATTGGAGCTCAGGGCCTTGGCTGCCTGTTCTCTTTGACAGACAGTGTGGAGGGTGGTAGCACTGTGACCTCTCAGCGCAAGATCTAGGGTTTCACCTTTTCATCCCACTTAGCCGATACCATAGAAACAACCCATTTGTATTATTCAATTCAACAGAGGCAATTACAATGTCACAGCAAAGCACCATGGGCAAGAAGAAACTTTGTCCTGAAAACAATCCTAGACTCTCAGAAAAAAGAAAAAAGCCACCAGAATACCCACTTGAATTTCTTCCTGCCAATAGTACCAGGAAGAAATCAATTTGGAAAAAATGTAGGTAAGGTCCTTTGCCTCTATAGAAAGAAACCTCCCCAAATTTACTTGTTTTTGTTTTTGTTTTTTTGCATGCCCATACACAAGCCTCAATTTATAAGAAATTAAGTCATTAACCCTCTGCCTCCAA
The DNA here is from genome assembly GCF_000001405.40 of Homo sapiens. Classification (NCBI taxonomy): domain Eukaryota; kingdom Metazoa; phylum Chordata; class Mammalia; order Primates; family Hominidae; genus Homo; species Homo sapiens. Next base: position 155,746,741 of record NC_000003.12, read on the forward strand.
ACTGCTTTATATTTTGTAAACAAGCTTGTTGGAGATTTGTTTTGCTGGTAACCTCCATGGTGAATAGAAAAGCCAAAAAAAAAAAAAAAAAAAAAAAAACCACCAAGATAATCCCTCAACAGCAGCAGTTCACCCCCTAACCTCCGGTGTTTGTCTTTCTTGAGTCTGAAAAAATGCAGATGCACATGTTGAAATAAACTCAGACACAAAGTTCATAATAAGAGCACTTGTTTGCTATGCATTCTTTATTTTGATAGTTTTAATCAACTCCCATAATTTTGTAAACTTTTAAATTTTTAAATTGTGTGATATTTCAAACCTACCAAAAACAGGATATATACCATGTAATACTCCTGCTCCCCCCAGCCCTTCTTTTTTAAATAAAGCATTACAGATATAGCTAAACCCCAACTCCTGACTCGTTACCCCCACCCCTTCCCAAAGGTAATAATTCTGAAGTTGGTATGAATCATAATTATGCATGTTCTTAAATGTTTAGGACATTTATACATCCATAATCTTTTAATGTAGCTTTTCTCTCCAAGTCGTTTTAACATTATTTATCTGAGAAAAATCACTAAAACAATTAATTAATTAATTGGAGAAAATCACTAAAAACAAGAAAATGTGTTACATTGCTAAGTTTTTAGAAGCAGGACAGAACTATTTTTCCTGCTTGTGACAATCAGAGTATGGAATAATAACAAAGGGATTAGACAGTGGGTAATAAGCAGCCTCTCTAGGTTACACAAACTCTTCCATGGTTACCAAAGAATAAATAGAAAAACAAAACAAATAATACCCTCCTCTTTCACTGGTTAAAGGGGAACTGGAGAAAATGAGATCTTCATTAAAACTTCTTTGGGCAGGTAAGACAAACATCCTACATGGTAGTAAAGTACCTTTTCTAGAGGATCTCTTGGTCATGCAAGCTATGATCTTTTAGTAAGGATTTACCACTTTTCCAAGTATAAAGAACTCCTGCTGGTAGCTCAATACAAGGTTGAAATCCGCCTGGCTGAAAAGTCTGGGGTTGAATTAGCCCTGCCTCTTCAAGCACAGGGACATCCATCTGTACAGTAGTTACAAAAATCTTTTGCTGTGATTCTTTGACTTAATGTCCTCCCAGCATTAAAAGTGCTAAGAAAGCATCAATTTTTCTTAAATGCCATTGAATGGTGAAAGGCATCCTTCCCAACCCCCACCCTCTTCATTTCCTAAGCGATGACTCTCATTAATTATACTGGCACACCACTGCCCAGCCTCCCTTCTAAATAGCTGCCAGATTTCTACATATCATCTCTGCCTTGATACAGAATGTGCACTGACACCAGGATCACAGAAAATCCTGTAAGAGGTGCCTGATACACAGTAAAATGATTGATGTGCCTTGTGGTGAGCCTGCTGTGCTGCGTATCGTAGGGGGTTTCTTAGAAAACTGCACTGGGAATTTCTGTGTTGGAAAAAGATTTTTCTAGCTGTGCAAAAATTGTGCTTCCAGTTGCAAAAAGAGCCATTTATTTAAGGTGTTCAAATTTAAACAGCAACCATCTTGAGTTATATCCACGAGCAAGAGAGGAAAGGAGATAAATGTTCCCTATTTTAATCAATGCACCAAGTTAAGAAAACCATTGACCAAAAAAGCGTATCAAGGAAGAGGCACTCCTCTTTCAACACATATTTCTTTAGTACTTGCCATGTACCAGGCACTGCTCTAGGTGGTAAGCCTTAGCTGGAATATAGATAGCACTCCTGAAGTAGAGCGTAGTACCTGTCTTTATGGCCCTACTCTACAAATTGGTCACGGCTTTTAGGTACAAATAACAAAACCCCTTATCAAACCAGCTTGAGTAAAAAAAGCTGATGTATTGACTCCCACTTTAAGATAGGGGGAAGGATAAGGACTTCAGAAACGGTGGGAGTCTAGCAATTCAGAATCAGCATTTCTCTTGTTAAAGAAAAAATTAGTCAGTGTTAAAGCATGGTAAGGAAGGCTTTATCCAGCACGATCGAAATCGGCACAGGGACTACTGCAAGGAGCTCATGCAGAATACAGCATAGGCAGCTTGGAATTTATAGACAAAGAACAGATGGGGTTGCTGGATGAAAAATCACTAAGAGGAAACATCAGGAATATGAGGAACTCTAGCTAACCCGACATAACTGGATTCTTGCTGAACACAGGCCAGGGAGATCAGACATGACCTGGGCAATAGTGGAGGATGAGGGATCTGATCAGATATTGAGAATGATCAGATATGGAGAGTGGGGGTTCTTGCTAAACTGACTTGGCAGAACTCTTTTCTAAAACTGAGTTTTACAAGAAAACGCACATATGGGCCCAGGAGAAGGCTCAGAAGCATGACTAATGTTTGTTTGGCCAAGCAAGGAATTTTTGTCACTCTCACACTTTCACCTTTGCTCCTACTATTTCCCTGTCTCTGCTTTTCTCAGTGTTTTGATCCTATTCTCTCCTATTCCATATGAGCTTTCTGTACAAGCTGGGGGTGGGGAGAGCATGACTAGAGACAGCTCCAGGTTTCAATCGTCTCAGCTAGAGAGGCCTTTTTGCTTTTACCATCTGTAAATAAGATGGTAGGAAAGGATTCGAACTGACCTGACTTAGGTCATGTGTCCATCCATAGGTCAATTACTGTGGACAACAATAAGTAGAGTATATGTGTGGCCAGATCCTGATTATACACACACCCTTATGGCCAGGAAGGCGGGGTATTATAAGTAGCAGCCCATCAGAACTGCTTGGAACCAGGGAGGATTTGTTCCCAAGATGAAAGGGGCTGGTCCTACCAAGTGAAGGCAGGAAGAGATTCTGGCAAATAAAAAGAATAGATATGGGCTGGGCACGGTGGCTCACACCTGTAATACCAGCACTCTGGGAGGCTGAGGCGGGTGGATCATGAGGTCAGGAGTTCGAGACCAGCCTGGCTAATATGGTAAAACCCCGTCTCTACTAAAAATACAAAAATTAGCCAAGCATGGTGGCAGGCACCTGTAATCCCAGCTACTCGGGAGGCTGTGGCAGAGAATTGCTTGAACCCGGGAGGCAGAGGTTGCAGTGAGCCAAGATCGCGCCACTGCACTCCAGCCTGGGTGACAGAGCGAGACTCCGTCTCAAAAAAAAAAAAAAGAATAGATGTTCCCTAGGCTGCCCTCTCTTAAATCTGCTGCCAAAGAAAGAAACACCTTTATACTGATTCATATGTATATGACTTAATCTACAAAGTAGATCAGAAGAGGAATTTCCTAAATCCATCATGGGAGACTGAGGAGAGAGGAGTAGTAATGGCCAACTGTAAGTTCTACCAATCTTTCCCTCCCCAGCTGAAGAAGCATGTGTCCCCATGTGGGGCCAACTGACAGGAGCTGGAGATGGGGAGGAAGGAACATAACCAGGATAGCTGATCTCTGAAAGAGTTGTTTTGTTTTGTGTTTTTGATTTTTTTTATCATGGAAGTGTTTATATATACACGAAAGTAGAATAGTATAATAAAACCCTATGTATTAGTCGCTGTGTTTCAACAATTGTTAATATTTTGACAACTTTATCCAGGAATATGGAGATTCTCTGAAATACTTAAATTCATAAACTAACACATTTTTGCAGTACTATGATGCTGGTTACTGAAAGAAATGCATGCCTCTTATGGTAAATTATATAAGACCAGTGTATGCAAAGCCCTTAGCAAAATGCCTGCTACAAAATGAGCTCTCAAATATGCCAATTATTTTTACTGTTAACATTTGAAACCTATTTAAACTTTTATTTATTTATTTATTTATTTATTATTTTGTGTGTGAGACGGAGTTTTGCTCTTGTTCCCTAGGCTGGAGTGCAACTGCGCGATCTCCACTCACTGCAACCTTCCCCTCACGGGTTAAAGTGATTCTCCTGCATCAGCCTCCCAAGTAGCTGGGATTACAGGCATGCGCCACCATGCCTGGCTAATTTTGTATTTTTAGTAGAGACGGGGTTTCACCATGTTGGCCAGGTGAACTCCTGACCTCAGGTGATCTGCTCACCTTGGCCTCCCAAAGTCCTGGGATTACAGGCCTGAGCCACAAGTCTACAAATGGAAATGTTTTGGCATACAGAGGAAAATAATGTTGGGTTTTTTTTGTTTTGTTTTGTTTTGTTTTGAGACAGAGTCTTGCTCTGTCACCCAGGCTGGAGTGCAGTGGTGCGATCTTGGTTCACTGCAACCTCTGCCTCCCAGGCTCAAGCAATTCTCCTGCCTCAGCCTTCAGAGTAGCTGGGATTACAGGCGCCCGCCACCGTGCCTGGCTAATTTTTGTGTTTTTTAGTAGAGACGGGGTTTCACCATGTTGGTCAGGCTGGTCTCGAACTCCTGACCTCAGGTGATCCACCCACCTCGGCCTCCCAAAGTACTGGGATCATAGGCATGAGCTACGGCATCCAGCCGAAAATAATGTTTTTTAAGAGATGGGGCTCTCACTATGTTGCCCAGGCTGGACTCTTAACTGCTGGGCTCAAGGAATCCTCCTGCCTCAGCTTCCTGAGTAGCTGAAACTACAGGTGTTCTGCTGGAAAATAACTTTTTAAGGCTAAACTCTGATTTTTCATTTCTTACCAACAGACTATAACTTTTTTTTAATGACTTATTTTTAAATGGCAGCTGTTTACATTTTTTCTATAACAAGCCTATATAGCTGGGCGCGGTGGCTCACACCTATAATCCCAGCACTTTGGGAGGCCAAGGCGGGCGGATCACGAGGTCAGGAGATCGAGACCCTCCTGGCTAACATGGTGAAACCCTGTCTCTACTAAAAATACAAAAAAAAAATTAGCCGGGTGTGGTGGCACATGCCTGTAATCCCAGCTACTCGGGAGGCTGAGGCAGGAGAATCGCTTGAACCTGGGAGGCGGAGGTTGCGGTGAGCCAAGATGGTGCCATTGCACTCCAGCCTGGGCAACAAGAGTGAAACTCCATCTCAAAAAAAAAAAAAAGCCTATGTAACTGTTTTCCCCTTTTATCTGGAAAGGTCAAAAATATTATAAGCAATAAGCAAATGCACATTTCACCTTACAAATAAGGAGAAAACATGAGCTAAATTGTTAAACTGAGGAATGAGCCTGGACTACATATCAGAATTCTAAATAATAGGTCCCCACTTTACTGCCTTGGCAAAATACTTCATCCTGTGAATGCTGGGTGAAGGGAAAATAGCATAGCTGTGCCTAAGTTAATTTTATTCAACAAAGATTTTCTTAACTTCAGTTATACTTTTTGGGAGATTTTAGTTCGCAAAATCGGGTGAACACTTTCTAAAAGGCAGTAAGTGTGCTAATTAAAGTGAACTTTCCCCATTTTCTATTTTTCTCCAACTTGTTTGATTGTTTATTTCTCCTGTGGTGGGAAGGGGAATGAAGTAGTTGGAGGAAACAATAGTGTCAGAGAAGGAGAGAGCCCCTTTTCCTCCTTCCTAAGAGCTTCACAACTCAGCTCTGTGCATTTTGTTTCCAGAAAGACCTCCCACAGAGCCAATATCTGCAACTTTCAAGATGGTCAAAGCTTGCTCACCAAGACAGACCTTTAATTGAAGTTTCTTTATTCAGCCTTAGAAGTAATACTGAAACTATGAGGCTACATATTTCCCTCATGGAATATACTGGGTTCCCCCTCCAATACTATTGTTAAAAAATTCTGTAGAATTCAATAATATAATTAAAAGAATCTGAAGCACCATTTTTATAGACATTGAACAAAAGTTTAGAAAGACAAGCAAACTGAATTGTAGACAGAAAATGAGGAAAGACACTGGTGAAAGAGTTACAGTGCAAATTCTAAAGTTTTGAAAGACGGGGGACATTGTGGGGGGAGGCAATTTACACCACCAGGAAAACTCTTCTATTTCCCTACCAGTTGGAATTCTAATGGGGTGTGCACTCTCTTACTAACACCTGTTTATTTTTAACCAGAAAACAAATGGTTGGATTTTTCTGTACAAACAGAGCAAAAGTTTTTCTGCACCTCAAAATTTGTATTTAGTTTTTGTTTCACTTATTTGCATAATTAAACTAGCTACATATTAAGAGGGCTTGCTTTGTCCAAAATAAATGTCTCCCTTTTTAAACTTGACAAGTTTACAAAATGTTCTCTCAGATCATTTCAGCAAATTAATCTTCACGGTGTAGGCTGATGGGATGCATGGGGGAAATTCTGACTGAAAAAAAAAGGTCCTGGTCAAAATGACAAGGCAGCACTGTGATGGGCCATTCATTTATTCTTTCATTCATTTATTTAACAAATATTTAGAGAGTTCCCTATATGAGCAAGAAACAGGGCTAAATCCTGCTGTGGAAGGAGCAGAAATGATCCAAAATTCAGTAAGTATGGTTTGAATTATAAAGTCTAATATACCTTGGACTAGAGAGAAGAGACATGTAAATAAATAATTACAATACAATGTAACAAGGGCTAAAATAGATAGGTGTACGGTGTTGCAGAACAGAAGAGGGCGCTAATTACTCAATTTCATTGCTAGTTACACAGAAATAAAGTGTTTTGATAACCAAAACAAAGCAGAAAATGGAAGTAATGATCCCAATGCCTGAATTTTTAAAAAACCTCATTTCTGTCTGAATTACTCACTGTCTTCACTTGAGTTCTAGATATCATCAGGCTGGCCGGGCGTGGTTGCTCACGCCTGTAATCCCAGTACTTTGGGAACCCGAAGCAGGCGGATGAGGTCAGGAGTTTGAGACCAGCCCGACCAACATAGTGAAACCCTGTGTCTATTAAAAATTAAAAAATTAGCTGGGTGTGGTGGCGTGCACCTGTGGTTCCAGTTACTAGGAAGGCTGAGGCAAGAGAATGGCTTGAACCCAGGAGACGGAGGTTGCAGTGAGCCGAGATTGCACCACTGCACTCCAGCCTGGGTGACAGAGCAAGATTCTGTCTAAAAAAGTAAAAAAAAAAAAAAAGAAAGAAAGAAAAGAAATCATCAGCCTTCTTCCAAAGAGTGTGCTAGAAAATGAGATCTTCTGTACCGACTTTTAGTAACCGATAATGTCATATTTTTGCATTGCAAACCAGTGCATACATTCATGCATACATTTATGCAGTGCAAACCAGTGCATAAATATATATATTTATAACAAAAAATTAACAAAACAATACTTATCTTTGCTATGTTCAATGCATTCTGATACATTTTATCCTGTTCTGTTCCTTTATCTTAATTGCTGGTGGCAACCCATTAAATTGATATCACATCTCACTAATAGGCAGAGCCTACAATTGAAAAACAGTGTTTGGGCCGGGTGCAATGGCTCACACCTGCAATCCCAGCACTTTGGGAGGCTGAGGCAGGCAGATCATGAGGACAGGGGTTCAAGACCAGCCTGGCCAATATGTTGAAACCCGGTCTTTAATAAAAATACAAAAAAAAAGTAGCCAGGCCTGGTGGCACGCATCTGTAGTATCAGCTACTCGGGAGGCTGAGGCAGGAGAATTGCTTGAATCCAGAAGGCGGAGGTTGCAGTGAGCCGAGATTGTGCCACTGCACTCCAGCCTGGGTGACAGAGTGAGACTCTGTCTCAAAAAAAAGAAAAACAGTGTTTGGTCAGGTGCAGTGGCTCACCTCTGTAATCCCAACATTTTAGGAGGTCAAGGCCAGCAGATCGCTTGAGCCCAGGAATTCAAGACCAGCCTGGACAACATGGCAAAACCCGTGTCTACAAAAAACATAAAAAAAATAGCTGGACATGGTGGTGCTGGTGCTGGTGCGCACCTGTACTCAGCTATTCAGGAGGCTGAGGTGGGAGGATCACTTGAGCCCTGGAGGCAGAGGTTGCAGTGCATTTAGATCATGCCACTGTACTCCAGCTTGGGCAACAGAGCAAGACCCTGCCTCAAAAAAAAAAGGAAAACAATGTTCCAATGTGTTCATTAAAAATGAACAAGAAGCAAAGCAGTAATACTCAGAACAGAACCAAGTGAGATCAGAAGATCCCCAAAGACCTACATCCTGCCCAGTAAATTGGTAAATCTCATAACCATATAAGATTAAGTCTCTGGAAGAATAAAAGTCCTGTGATTCTCAACCCTTTAGCCATCCCTGGGCTTCTCAACCCGTATCAACAGGAAGAGGTGTCCAGATCTCAAAAGGTGGATCTGCTCCAATGGCTATTTTTGAAGAGGCCATGGAGGATAAGGATGATCTTACAGAGAACAGAACTGAGGCACCCAGATGGTATGACCAAGAAACGCACACAACTAGGACCAGGAGCTATCATTATTCCTCTCCAGCAGGATAAGACAGAGCTGTGGACTACTGACATTCTATTTTCCCTTGCATTATATAGTGGATGCATTGACATTTGAACTAAGGCTTCCAGATCATGAGGAACTACCTCTAGACCTGACCAAAAGGGAATACCTCTCAGAGATCCCAAACAAGTGGATGGGCTTTTTGGATTGTAATTGGGTAATCCCACCCACTTACTTACTAGATAAAGCCTACCTTTTTTCCAGAAGTATAATAATGAACTCAAGTCATCAGTATCTCGTTAAAATACCACCTCATCATAATTTGCAAAATGTTAAAATATCTAGCTAATTAATGATACCTTTCCTGATTTTCCATCATTAATATCATTTTTTAATTTTAATATTTAATAGTTTGATGTAATTTTAATGGGAGGAATGCAAGTTAAAGGAATGAGCTCAAATTGCCACCTTGAAAAAGAAAATATAGTTTGTTCATTTAAAAAGCACTTTAACTATTTTACTGTTAAATTTCTGTTCTTAACCTTTTTTTTTTCTTTTTGAGACAAAGTCTTGCTCTGTCGCCCAGGCTGGAGTGCAGTGGCGCAACAATCTCAGCTCACTGCAACCTACGCCTCCTGGGTTCAAGCAATTCTCCTGTCTCAGCCTTGCAAGTAACTGGGATTACAGGCGCCCACCATCATGCCCGGGTAATTTTTGTATTTTTAGTAGAGACAGGGTTTCGCCATGTTGGCCAGGCTGGTCTCGAACTCCTGACCTTAGGTGATCCGCCCGCCTCAGCCTCCCAGAGTGCTGGGATTACAGCTGTGAACCACCTCGCCCAGCTTTGTTCTTAACCCATTTTAGTTTTTTGTTTGTTTGGTTGTTTGTTTTTAGACAGAGTCTCTCTTTCACCCAGGCTGGTGTGCAGTGGCATGATTTCGGCTCACTGCAACCTCCACCTCCCCAGTTCAAGTGATTCTCCTGCTTCAGCCTCCCGAGTAGCTGGGATTACAGGTGCCCGCTACCACATCCGGCTAATTTTTATATTTTTAGTAGAGACAGAGTTTCACCATGTTGGCCAGGCTGGTCTCAAACTCCTGACCTCAGGTGATCCACCCACCTTGACCTCCCAAAGTGCTAGGATTACAGGCATGAGCCACTGTACCCGGCCTTAACCATTTTAATTTTAATCTCGAGGTTTTTTCTTCAGCCTTTTCATATTAATAAATTTGTATTACTTTCTCCCTGTGATTTGCCTTCATAGAAATAGCTGCCTTGGTGGCCGGGCGCGGTGGTTCATGCCTGTAATCCCAGGACTTTGGGAAGCCGAGGTGGGTGGATCACCTGAAGTCAAGAGTTAGAGACCAGCCTGACCAAGATGGAGAAACCCCATCTCTACTAAAAATACAAAATTAGCTAGGCATGGTGGCACATGCCTGTAATCCCAGCTACTCAGGAGGCTGAGTCAGGAGAATCACTTGAACTCGGGAGGCGGAGGTTGAGGTAAGCCGAGATTGTGCCATTGCACTCCAGCCTGGGCAACAAGAGTGAAACTCCGTCTCAAAAAAAAAAAGAAATAGCTGCCTTGGTAGTGACTTTAGAGAAGCTCCATATCATGAAGAAACCATCTCCTAGGAAACCAGCTCCTCCTCAACTATCCCAGCCGTGTAGCCAGTCCCTTAGTATAACTGTCATTTCTTTTTTCTTTTTTTTTTTTTTGAGAAGGAGTCTCCCTCTGTCACCCAGGCTGGAGTGCAGTGGTGCCATCTCAGCTCACTGCAACCTCCGCCTCCTGAATTCAAGCAATTCTCCTGCCTCAGCCTCTGGAGTAGCTGGGACTACAGGCGCCCGCCACCACGCCCAGCTAATTTTTTTATTTTTAGTAGATACGGGGTTTCATCATGTTGGCCAGGCTGGTCTCGAACTCCTGACCTCAAGTGATCTGCCCACCTCGGTCTCCCAAAGTGCTGGGATTACAGGCGTGAGTCGCTATGCCTAGCCCTGTCATCTCTTTTAATGGTGGCTAAGCAATACTGTTTCTGTTGCTGCCCTGAACGTCTGGAACACTGCTGTTTCTTGGCTTCTCGAACCACGTAGTCTCTTTATGTCAATGTGTTACCAGGAAGTGTGGGAATCCTCAGTTCTAGTCTAACTTGGAAGAAATAATTCAGCCAAGATACGCATAGCAAGGGTTAAGTAGCAGAGTTTATTGAAGGAAGATAAAGTATATTCCTAGAAAGGAGTGAAAAACAGCTCTAGGTTGCTTCAGCTGGAAAAACAGTAGTAGTAATGTTTAAGTAAAGAGACAGTACATGCTGAAATAAGAAGCCAGCAGCAGGCCGGGTGCAGTGGTTTACACCTGTAATCCCAGCACTCTGGGAGGCCGAGGCAGGTGGACCACTTGAGGTCAGGAGTTCAAGACCAGCCTGGCCAACATGGTGAAACCCTGCTTCTACTAAAAATACAAAAATGTAGCTGGGTGTGGTGGTACGTGCCTGAGGTCCCAGCTACTCGGGAGGCTGACGCAGGAGAATCAGTTGAACCCAGTAGGCAGAGTTTGTAGGGAACTAAAATTGTGCCACTGCACTCCAGCCTGAGTGACAGAGCAAGACTCTGTGTAAAACAACAACAACAACAACAAAAAAAAGCCAGCAGCAGCTAGTGCTGGAGGATTCTCTTTACGCGAATCTTACATGATTATTCACAAAGGGGCATGAGGGGAATGTTACTCGCAAGCATGTTTCAGGAGGTCTCCTTGGGCATGCACGCTCTGTGGTTGTACATGCTGGTACACATGTCGCATGTCTCATTAGCATTTAAAATCTCCACCCAGGGGTGTGTTTTTTACTATTATAATGAACAAAAGGCTACTCTAGGGTGAGTTTTTGGAGGAGTGCACATGCTCATCAGCAGGGAAAGTTTCTACCATGGTTATCTCTGGCTTGGGCCTTATACGTACCCTTTAGGAACGGAGGAGACCAACCATAAGGCCAGAAGTAGCCAGTGTAGCCACTGGGTTTTTTTTGTTGTTGTTGTTTTTGTTTTGTTTTTGCTGACTGTGAGTGGGCAGTGCTGATTATTAGTGGGCAGCATCTCCAGGACTTCTTTTCTCAGAGGAGCTCCATTGCCTGCTCATTTCTGGCTATCTGCCTACTTTAACAAATGGTAGCCAGCACATATAACCACTGGATTTGGGACAAACTGTGTCAACAATATGCCCCTTGACAGCACATACAGTTTAATTACCCAAGGGAGGGTCTTATAGCTCAAAGATGCAGTCCTTACATTGTTGAGGAGCCAAATGATGCTGGAGCAATTCAGAAGAGGATAAAACTCTTGCATAACATTATCTGCCTGCCTCAGGTGCAGTTAATTCTTTTTTCCTTTTTTTTGAGATGGAATCTTGCTCTGTCACCCAGGCTGGAGTGCAATGGCACCATCTTGGCTCATTGCAACCTCCACCTCCCAGGTTCAAGCAGTTCTCTGCCTCAGTCTCCCAAGTAGCTGGGACTACAGGCACCTGCCACCACGCCCGGCTAATTTTTGTATTTTTATTAGAGACAGGGTTTTACCATGTTGGCAAGGCTGGTCTCGAACTCCTAACCTCAAGTGATCTGCCTGCCTCAGCCTCCCAAAGTGCTGGGATTACAGGCATGAGCCACCATGCCCGGCACAGTTAATTCTCTAAAAGCAGGTTTGCAAGTGTATTAGGTTGGTGTGAGGTACTGACTGGGATCTCTACTAGACTCTAGGAGTTACCAGATATAGCAGGCATAACAGCAGCACTGTTGGGATCCATGGCTCTAATTTTCCTTTGAGCCAAGTTTTAAGAAGACAGTATTTCAGGCAGCAGTATCCTCAGATTTCCCAGTGGCGGGAAAAGTCAAGCTGATTTAGGTTTCACAAGTACCAGCTATGAGAAGAGGTCTGGGAGTAAGGAGGAGTGGAAAAGTTAGAGTCTACAGAGCAGCAAGCATCCCTTCCCTTTCCTGTTCAAATGGGGGAGGAGATTTGACATTAACACTTCCCTTCCATTTTTACAAGGCGAGGGCATTACATATCCCACTATCCTGGGAAATCATGATTGTCTCTCCTGAAATTTGCTAAGCTACTGGACCTGCCAGCACTTCATTTTCCTGAGACAAGAAGAAAGAGGCATCATTTAAGAAGTGAGGCAAGAGAGAGGAAGTGCCTGGATAAGAGCCGACATTCCCATCACTTAGTGTAAGAGTACATATGTTTCCGGCCAGGTGCAGTGGCTCATGCCTGTAATCCCAGCATTTTGGGAGGCTCAGGTGGGCAGATCCCCTGAGGTTAGGAGTTCAAGACCAGCCTGGCCAACATGGTGAAAACCCATCTCTACTAAAACTAAAAAAAATTAGCCAGGTGTGGTGGCACGCACCTGTAATCCCAGCTGCTCGGGAGGTTGAGGCAGGAGAAACACTTGAACCCGGGAGGTAAAGGTTGCAGTGAGCCGAGATCGTGCCACTGCACTCCTGCCTGGGTGACAGAGTGAGACTCCACCTCGAGGAAAAAAAAAAGTATGAATGGAAAATGAAAAACCCCAAAAAAGGAAACATAAATTAAAAAGAGACTGAAAAGGACCAAAAAATCCAATCCTTTAGAAATAAAGAACTAAATTCATTTGATAGAAACATATTTTAAAAGCAAGGAAGTCTAGATACCCAAGGTACCAAAAGAAAAGAAGCCCGAAAGGAAAACAAAGTGGCCATGGACCCTGTTGTTTTAAAGACAAGATTGTAGGGGAAAATTGTAATGTATTTTCCTCACTCATTGCAAGGTTCATGACTGACATCCCTCATAAAAGACAGATTAACAAGAGAAAAACCTATAAAAAATTTATTTAATATAAATTTTACATGACACAAGAGCCATCAGAAATGAGGACTCAAAAACCCAGGGAAAACTATGTATATTTATGGACGATCATGCAGAGGACAAATGAGTATGACCTAATGGTATTAAACTTGGGGGAGCTGGCTGGGCACGGTGGCTCACACCTGTAATCCTAGCACTTTGGGAGGCAGAGGCAGGCAGATCACCTGAGGTCAGGGGTTCGAGCAGCCTGGCCAACATGGCAAAACCCTGTCTCTACTAAAAATACAAAAATTAGCCAGGCATGGTGGCACATGCCTGTAATCCCAGCTATTTGGGAGGCTGAAGAAGGAGAATCGCTTGAACCCAGGAGGCGGAGGTTGCAGTGAACCAGGATTGCGCCATTGCACTCCAGCCTGGGTGACACAGCAAGATCCCATCTCAAAAATAAAAATACATAAATAAATAAAGTTGGGGGAGCAAGGCCTATTTGTTCAGATTCTTCTTGGCCTCTGGGGATAGAACAGGCTCCCTCTGAAATGACAGTCTTTTGATCTACTTTCAAGAGAGGCAGGTCAGAGAATTCTTTTATGGCCAGCTTCAGGAAAGAAAGGTGGCAGAAGGTCAGAGAGTGACTTTCCTGCTTCTGCAGTGTTCTCAATTTCCTTCAACTTAAAATACTCAGTATGCCAAGGTGCCACATTTTGGGGTGTCATGTTCTGAGCCCCAATAAGACCAAGAAGTAGTAAATCCTCTATTTAAGAAAGGCAAAGAGCATGGGCTTTGGTCTGATATCCAGCCTAACAGGGACGTTTTACTTTTTCAGATGGCCCTGTTATAACCATCCCAGTGACAAAGATCTAGCTTTTCTAAAATTACCCAGTTCAGCTTGCCCTTGGGTTATCCAACAAGCTGGTCTACAATACTAACCAGAGACAAGCTGAAAAAGTGAGTGCTGGCCCAGAAAAAAGCTGCCAACCAATGGAAATTCTCCACCCAAGAATACATGACCTTCACGTAGGTGTTAATACTGCCACCGTCTAAGTGGAGTACAAGAATAGTCAGCAATGGTGACTGCGCATGAGAGGAGACCCCTTGATCTGCATTTCTTATTGCTCATCTTGTCCACAAAATCAGGGTTCCCTACTACATCATCAAGGGAAAAGTTAGATGAAGTCACAGGATGACCTACATCAGTCTCACTTTTATACGGCTTAACTGGAAAGATAGTAGTATGCTGGCTGAGCTGGTAGAGGCCATCAGAACTAACTACAGTGATAACTATTGTAAGATCTGACATCACTGGAAGACAATTACTTAGGCCCAAATTCTGTAATTCACAATGCCAAGTTGGAAAAGAAAAAGGCTCAAGAGCTTGCCACAAAACTAGTTTAAATATACTCTGTTAACTTCATGTAAATAAAAATAAAACATCCCCTTAAAACAAAAAGCTATTGAGGCATAGAAATCAGGAAATAAAAACTAGGATGTGACTTCCTATCCTATCCCAAAGAAAGGTAATGAAATAAAACCATATTCACACAAAAAATCTTTGGAATATTTGGGACCTCACTGAAAATGAATGTTTAATTTCTAAAGGTTGCAAAATCCATTTTCTTATGTTCTAAGAAGGAGTCAGGGCCGGGCACAGTTGCTCATGCCTATAATCCCAGCACTTTGGGAGGCCGAGGCAGGCGGATCACGACGTCAAGAGTATGGAGACCATCCTGGCCAACATGGTGAAACCTCGTCTCTACTAAAAATACAAACATTAGCTAGGCATGGTGGCTTGTGCCTGTAGTCCCAGCTACTTGGGAGGCTGAGGCAGGAGAATTGCTTGAATCTGGGAAGGGAGAGGTTGCAGTGAGACAAGATTGTGACCCTGTACTCCAGCCTGGCAACAGGGCAAGACTCCATCTCAAAAAAAAAAAAAAAAAAAAAGGAGTCAGGCAGCAGCAGCATTATACTTCTCATTCTGTGCTATTGACTCTAACAGGAGTCAACTATCTGGACTAGATGATAAGTCTGACTTTTCTTAGTATCATAAACCATTAAAAATAACTTGTATAGACTTTGTGGGTGTAAGTGGATTACTGCTGGCCTGGCGAAAGAAGCTTACACTGTCAAGATGATTTTATCAGCAAGTTTGTGTGTGTCAAATCCTAGAGCCAACTTAAATTGGCTTTAAATGTTTTTTTTAATTGCTATCTCAAATAACAAGAAATTGGAAAGCAGGGCAGTTCAAGCATTGGCTACTTCAAGGGCTCAACAATGACAGGCATCTCAGTTTTTTCTATCCTCTGTGCTGCCATCCTCAGTACATTGTTTGTTTGTTTGTTTTGTTTGTTTTTGAGACAGAGGCTCACTGTCACCCAGGCAGGAGTGCAGTGGCACGATCTTGGCTCACTGCAAACTCCACCTCCCAGATTGAAGCGATTCTCCTGCCTCAGCCTCCCAAGTAGCTGGGATTACAGGTGTGACCCACCACATCTGGTTAATTTTGTATTTTTAGTAGAGACGGGGTTTCACCATGTTGGCCAGGCTGGTCATTGGTCTCGAACTCCTGACTTCAAGTGATCCACCCGCCTCAGCCTCCCAAAGTGCTGGGATTACAGACTTGAGCCACCATACCCAGCTAGTACATTGTTTTTGTCCTCCAGATTAGCCCCCTCATCTAACAACAGGTAGAAATTAGCCATTCTTTATTACAAGGAATGGTCTAAGAGACCCTGTCCCCAAATTCACAAGCAATTAGAAAGCAATTAGGAGAAAAAAGCTACTTTGGACATAAAGCATAAAGAATTCCTTTATTATAAATAGTGAAAGGTAATAAAACTGGAAACATAAACACATATCTTTTCTAAACAAAAATTCAATATGGCAATACAAAACTTAGCCAGGCTTGGTGGGAGCTCCTGTAATCCCAGGTACTTGGGAGGCTCAGGCAGGAGAATCACTTGAATCCAGGAGGCGGAGGTTGCAGTGAACCAAGATAACGCCACTGCACTCCTGCCTGGGTGACAAGAGCGAAACTCCATGTCAAAACAAAAAAAGCCGGGCTTGGTAGCTCACGCCTGTAATCCCAGCACTTTAGGATGCCAAGGTGGGTAGATCATCTGAAGTCAAGAGTTTGAGACCAGCCTGACCAACATGGAGAAACCCCGTCTCTACTAAAAATGCAAAATTAGCCGGGCATGGTGGTGCATGCCTGTAATCCCAGCTACTCAGGAGGCTGAGGCAGGAGAATCGCTTGAACCCAGGAAGCAGGAGGTTGCAGTGAGCCAAGATCACGCCATTGCACTCCAGCCTGGGCAACAAGAGCGAAACGCCTTCTCAAAACAAACAAACAAAAAATTCAATATGGCAGCCCAAAATAACTAAAAACAACATAGTGGGTGAAGAGTTAAACTTTCTCTTCACACATTAGCACTATATATGTAAATCATTCAGCCTGGTAACTTCTCATAAAGTGTTTCATCCTTCCTAAAATCATATTACATTAATTATAATTTGTTTAAATTAATTCTGACATTATGCTTATAATAATCATCTCTTTTTAATATTTAAATACCATTGGACTAACACTTTGATCATTTGGCAAAACTTCCATTTTGATTCAATGAAAAACGTCCATATATTTACATATTTCACTCTTTGGAGAAGGTTACCTCTAGATTTCTTGACCGTTTCACCCTTTTCTACGAAAGTTTATGCGACTTATAAGTTCTCTGAACTTCAGTATTAAGGAGCAGTTGTTCATGTTGTCTTTCCATATTTCATAAGTCCTTTTAAGTTTTTCATAATAACTTTCTTTTTTCAAGCTGAAATCTGATCCTGTTGTTTTTAAAAAACTGTCCTTTTTCCATATTTCTCTCCAGGAATCTTTGAATTTTTCTAAGTAACTTTCTTTTTCAGAGTCTTCCTTCCATATTCCTTCTCCTTTTTTTAAGGCTGTTAATTCAGCTTTAAGTAAGTTTCTGTGAACTGTCCAGTAGATTTTAGAATCATATTTAAGCCCTTTAACAAGAACAGTTTTGCCAAGGCCTCTTCTCAAAATTTCTTCATTCAGATTCACGCTGAAATATCCACCCTTGAATTTAAAAATAATACAAACCAATTATTTAAGATAATTGTTGTTATACCCATCACATCTTATTTACCTTAAAAATCAGTCATTCAACAATTTTAGTCCTCCAAAGAAAAGGCAAAAATGGTCCCCAAGGCTCCCCCAAAACAGCTCTTGCGAAATCCAAGGATTTTTATTACTAGAAGAGACCCTTGCTCAAAATCAGTTGATTCTTTTATAACATGGAATTCTCCACAGACTCACTGTTCTCCTAATCCGAAGAGGTGAGGAAGCAATAAAGTATGAAAAATGTGTTTTTGGTCTGTTGGTGGTTCTGTGGAGGGGAAGTGGGACACCCAAGATAGGCAGAGTGACAGTAGGACCAGCAAAAGAAACTAAGAGATGAAGAGAAACTAAACTAAAAGTAGCCAAATGCAAAATGAACTGAATCATCACTGAACTGTTAAATTAGGTTCAGAATTCCAGTGTTTTGGACAGCACTGGCAAGTAAATACATTTTTAAAAGACTTCCCTCAAAATAATTAACATAAAAATAGTCTTGGCCATTGAGTCTTCATCCTACAGGAAATTTTATTCATGGAATACCTCACCTCCTAATGAAACTGGATAAATGGGATTTTTTTTTTTCATTAATTTACGGTATAAAGGAGATCCTGGCGGGGCGCGGTGGCTCATGCCTGTAATCCTAACACTTTGGGAGGCCGAGGCGGGCAGATCACAAGGTCAGGAGTTCGAGACCAGCCTGGCCAACATGGTGAAACACCACCTCTGCTAAAAAAAAAACACAAAAATTAGCCGGGTGCGATGGCAGGTGCCTGTAATCCCAGCCACTCAGAAGGCTGAGGCAGGAGAATTGCTTGAACCCAGGAGGCAGAGGTTGCAGTGAGCCGAGATCACACCACTGCACTCAAGCCTGGGTGACAGAGCAAGACTCCATCTCGGGAAAATAAATAAATAAATAAAAGGAGATCCTGCCTAGATATTTCTACAATCCTTGTGGGATTTTAATCTTAACAAAGTGTTAATAAAATTTTGTTCCTTCAAATTGAGAAATTTTTAGTACATGATAACAGTTATAAAGCAATTATCATATTTTTCTAAATCTTTCAAATCTTATAAGCTCATTCCCTTGAACCAAACTCAGTATAATTAAAATTCCACCTCACACGTTAGCAAAATTCAAACAGGAGAAGTAAATTATCACTCTATGTGTATAGCATAGTTTGGTCACCCAGGAAGCAAGATAAAATAAAGATATGCTTATAAGATGAAGTAAATGTAGGCTCAGGAGCCAGGAAGAGTTGGGTTTGGATACAGGCTTTTCTTCCAGGTTACCCTGACCAAGACAATCAGTTTCCCTAAAAGTCCTACCTGAAAGTGGGAATAAAAGCAACAACCTGTAGAGTGGTTCTGAAGATAAGTAACATAATATAAGCATGGCACCTTAACTCAGTGTCTGACACATGTTGACCCTCAAAATATACATAATTGATTGCTACCTTTATCATCGTCATAATCATCTCCTTTTTTTTGGTAATTATACTCTTTAACTTAAAAGCTAATATTTTTGTAAGGCCTTTAGGATGTTTTATACAACTTTGTATTATTAACTTACTTTTTTTGTTTTGTATTGTTTTGTTTTGTTTTTTTGAAGCGGAGTCTCACTCTGTCACCCAGGCTGGAGTGCAGTGGCACGATCTCGGCTTACTGTAACCTCCGCCTCCAGGGTTCAAGTGATTCTCTTGCCTCAACCTCCTGAGTAGCTGGGATTCCAGGCACCCGGCACCATGCCCAGCTTATTTTTGTATTTTTAGTAGTGATGGGGTTTCACCAAATTGGCCAGGCTGGTCTCAAACTCCTCACCTCAAGTGAACTGCTGGCCTCGGCCTCCCAAAGTGCTGGGATTACAGGCATGAGCCACTATGCCCAGCCTTTATTAACTTACTTTTAAACTTACTTTTAAAATACAAGATACTTCAATCAATTAGTTTTAGATAATTCTTATTTTGAAAGTACTGAATATCATCTGGACATGCAAAAATTAATGAATTTCATTAAGCTTTCTATTAATATTTCAAAAAGCTTTTAAGAATTAAAATGGTTAAAATTCTAATCATCTTATTTTATTTACAAGAAGGGGTCTCTCTCTATCGCCCAGGTTGGAGTACATTGGTGCGATCATAGCTCATTGCAGTCTCGACTGCGTAGGCTGAAGCGTTCCTCCCACCTCAGCCTCCTGAGTTGCTGGGATTATAGGCACAAGCGACTGTACCCTCATAATTATAATTTTAAAAGCTGAATATCATAGTATGATCAAGGTATGAAAACCTATCTGATGGCCCACCAAAAAAATCTGGAGTAAGGCACATGCACATCCTGGGATGCAGGACAGTGATTCAGCAACAAAGATGAAACTGTCACTTCCAGTTATACAATGGCTATGGCCAATCATAAAGGTAAGAAAACTCTGAGGCAACATCTTTAGATGACTCATCACTGATCAGAACTAGTACTTAAGAATGTTCAACTTTACAGTTCAAAGATTTATACACTTAGACCTATCAACAACATATTGGACCAGACTAAGCAAACCGTCAGAAAACACCCTGGCTGTTTGTAGTTTCCAGCTAACAAGCCTCACTCAGCAAGTGGTTTATAGTAACAAGCATGATGTAATATACCCATACATAAATAAATATATAATGATACTGCCTAAATTAGCAATGCCCAGAGTCATTAGTAATTTGAAGTTTATGGCCACAGTGGCTCATGCCTGTAATGCCAGCACTTTGGGAGGCTGAGGCAGGCAGATCACCTGAGGTCAGGAGTTCGAGACCTGCCTGGCCAACATGGCAAAACCTCATCTCTACTAAAAATACAAAAAATTAGCCAGGTGTGGTGGTGTGCACCTGTAGTCCCAGCTACTTGGGAGGCTGAAGCAGGAGAATTGCTTAAACCTGGGAGGCAGAGATTGCAGTGAGCCAAGATCATGCCGCTGCACTCCAGCCTGGGCAACAGAGTGAGACTCTGTTTCAAAAAATAATAATCATAAACAATAGGCCAGGCGCAGTGGCTCATGCCTGAATCCCAGCACTTTGGGAGGCCAAGGTGGGCAGATCACAAGGTCAAGAGATCGAGACCATCCTGGCCAACATGGTGAAACCCCATCTCTACTAAAAATACAAAAATTAGCTGGGTGTGGCGGCGCCCATGTGTAGTCCCAGCTACTCAGGAGGCTGAGGCAGAAGAATCACTTGAACCTGAGAGGCAGAGGTTGCAGTGGCCGAGATCGTGCCACTGCACTCCAGCCTGGCAACAGAGAGAGACTCCATCTAAAAAATAATAATAATAAATAATAATTTGAAGTTTTTCTTTTTTCTTAATTTTATTTTTTCTATATTAAACATATATTACATATGTAACTAAAATAAAATTTGTATACAAGACACCTATGCATAATCACTATCAGTAGCAGTTTAAAAGGCAAAAAAAAGTCAGTCCCATTATATATCCAAAGTTCTAATTAAATAAGTGTTTACATATAAGTAATAAGAAGAATAAGATATTGCTAGTTATTTCTTCACATTGCTTACCTTACTCACCAGAAGATAGCAAAAGAGTGCTGAATTCTCCTTTCCAAGAAGTTGGAACCATAGTAATTGGGAAGGTTTTAGCTCTTTTTGTAACCATGCCTTCCCAGTTTCAGCGAGTTCTACTCCAGCCAACTTAACCAGCAAAGCACCACGTGGCTCTTCTAAAAAGGTTAGGTAGAAAAGAGTTTAGCTTTAACAGCATGTTGCAAAAGCAAATTCCAGTCAGTTGGCCTCCAACAAACAAACAAATATATTATGTTTATTTATAAATACCCAGTCTCTCTAACTGTAGACCCATTTATTTCTATATTCAAGTTTTCTTTTAAAACAATACAAGTATATATAACACAGTAATTTCAAAAACTCATTTTTTTTTCTTTTTTCTTTTTGAAACAGGGTCTCACTCTGTCACCTAGGCTGGAGTACAGTGGCGCAATCTCAGTTCACTGCAATCTCTGCCTCCCAGGTTCAAGCGATTCTCGTGCCTCAACCTCCTGAGTAGCTGGGATTACAGGCATGCACCACCATGCCCAGCTGATTGTTGCATTTTTAGTAGAGACAGGGTCTCGTTATGTTGGCCAAGCTGGTCTCGAACCCCTAGCCTCAAGTGATCCACCCACCTCGGCCTCCCAAAGTGCTGGGATTACAGGCGTGAGTCACCACGCCCAGCCTTCAAAAACCCATTTCAGTAAGCTTCAGAACAAGTAGTGAGATTTAACCAATTTAACCTTCTTTTTTCAACCTCCCATGCTTATTTTTACACATACACACATAAAGCTATAGGCCTTCAGTTTAATAATATGGGCTATTACCACCAAAAGAACCACAGAAACTGCTTTTTCACTTAACTTATTGAAGATATCTTCCAATCTCAACAAATATTGATCTACATCAACACTGTTATGCTTATACATTTTGCAAAACTGACTTCTAGACAGGATTTTATCAATTGATATTCTAAGTAGCATAATATGAAGAAGACCTGTTTACCCAAACCCTTGATAGAATTTTAACCAATGTAATTTTAATAACAAGATTTTACTTTAGATAAAATTTATAACTTTCCAAAAAGGGATAACAGCTGACAAAAAAAACTTAATGTCTTTAAAAAAATTATACACTTAACATACATTAAGCTCTTACATAATGGTTGAAAATATAAAGTTACATCCATCTATTCTCCAGGAAAGAAATAATACTTTAGTTCAAGAAGATATCCTAGAACACTGTTATATTATTTGATAAAAAAATAAATTTTATTAGGATATGGGCTTCTTAAAACCTGTCCTAGAATTTTAGTTTGAGAAGCACCAAAAGCTATAAGCAATTGTACTACTGCACTCCAGCCTAGGCTACAGGGCAAGAACTTATCTCAAAATAAAGAAGGTCAGGTGCAGTGCCTCACTCCTGTAATCCCAGCACTTTGGGAGGCCAAGGTGGGTGGATCACCTGAGGTCAGGAGTTCAAGATCAGTCTGGCCAACATGGTGAAACCCCATCTCTACTAAAAATACAAAAATTAAGGCCAGGTGTGGTGGCTCACACCTGTAATCCCAGCACTTTGGGAGGCTGAGGCAGGTGGATCACCTGAGGTTAGGAATTCGAGACAAGCCTGACCAACATGGTGAAACCCTGTCTCTACTAAAAATACGAAATTAGCCAGGCATGGTGGCACATGCCTGTAATCTCAGCTACTTTGGAGGCTGAGGCAGGAGACGTGCTTGAATTTGGGAGGCGGAAGTTGCGGTGAGCCAAGATCGTGCCATTGCACTCCAGCCTGGGCAACAAGAGCAAAACTCCCTCTCAAAAAAAAAAAAAAAAAATACAAAAATTAGCTGGGCATGGTGGTGCGTGCCTGTAATCCCAGCTACTCAGGAGGCTGAGGCACGAGAATCACTTCAATCTAGGAGGCAGAAGCTGAAGTGAGCCAAGATCGCACCACTGCACTCCAGCCTGGGCAATAGAGTGAGACTGTTTCAAAAAAAAAAAAAAAAAAGAAGAAGAAGAAAAAGGTATTTGTAGAATGATCATACTTTTACAAAAACTTTGTTACAATAATACACAAATTAGATTAAGGCAGTATATCCAACAAAGATTAAATTATGTCAAATCATTAGTACATAATGAGTTACAGAAAGCCTGAAAATTCTGAGGTCCCTCTCCAATCCTGTAATGTTGCCAACACCACCAATCCTCTTCCAGTAAGACATGCTGATAGCAGCAGGAGGCAGTCAAATTCCCAGGAAAATAGGGGCAGGTGCCCGGTGAAACCTGACCTTCAAACCAAAGACAGTTTAAAGCCCAAAAACCAAGCTGCAAGTCTCAGATAAATCCATGGAGTGGATAGAGAGCCTCTCTTCTTATTTGGTGCTCTTTCCTCTGATTGATCCCCAACCTCCACCTATTTTACATATAGCTACCCTTCCCTAATTGGTTTTTGCACTGTCATGCCCATCTTTTAGTGGTGCACATTTTTAGCCTTTTTTGCATACTCACAAACCAATCAGCGTGCACTCACCCATTCTGAGCCTAAAAAGCCCCAAACTCAACCACACTTTGAAACTGCCCGTCTTTGGGCAGGAGACTACCTGACTTCAGGTGGCGGGGGTTGGGTTGCACAACTCAGGTTCCCTCTCTGCTGAGAGCTGTTTTATCACTCAACAAAACTCTTTGCCTTGCTCACCCACCAGTGATCAGCTAACCTCATTCTTCTTGGATGTGGGACAAGAATTGAGACCCACTGAACAGCACGTGCAAATGAGCACAGGGTCCAGACCAGGGTGCAAGCCAAGTGCAGCCCACCAGGCCAAGTGGGCAGAATACCTCCTGTAGCAAGCCCGGGGCCAAGCAAGGTCCAGGCAGGGGCATCACCAGCTGTGGATGTCTCTGGCGAAGCAGAGCCAAAAAAATCCTGTGTCAACCCCATAGTCTTTGAGACCAAAGCTTTTGGGACCAAAAACTTGAAGTGGATGGTCCATTAATCTAATGAAACACTATCAACCTAAATATTAATATCCTAATTATTTACTTGACAAAGGTCATTGCATTCCTTTAAATTAGCAAATTCCCCATTGAGTATTTAAAATATAATATGATCAACAAGAATTTAAAAATAAATCTTCCAGAAACAAATTGATTTTTTGAAAAAGCAAGTGTTACCTTTATTTTTTATCTTTTTGAGATGCAGTTTCTTTCTTGTCACCCAGGCTGAAGTGCAATGGTGCAATCTTGGCTCACTACAACCTCTGCCTCAAGTGATTCTCCTGCCTCAGCCTCCTGAGTAGCTGGAATTACAAGCGCATGCCACCACACTCCCGCCACCACACCCAGCTAATTTTGTATTTTTAGTAGAAAGGGGGTTTTGCCGTATTTGCCAGGCTGGTCTTGAACTCCTGACCTCAAGTTATCTGCCCACCTCGGTCTCCCAAAGTGCTGGGATTACAGGCATGAACCACTGTGTGTGTGTGTGTGTGTGTGTGTGTGTGTTGAGACATAGTTTTGCTCTGCCACTGTGTGTGTGTGTGTGTGTGTGTGTGTGTGTGTGTGTGTTGAGACATAGTTTTGCTCTGCCACCCAGGCTGGAGGACAGTGTGTGTGTGTGTGTATGTGGTGTGTGGAGACATGGTTTTGCTCTGCCACCCAGGCTGGAGTGCAGTGGCATGATCATGGCTCACTGTAGCCTCAACCTCCCAGGCTCAAGCGATCCTCCCATATCAGCCTCGCAAGTAACCAGGGCAACAGGCACACGCCATCGGGCCCAGCTAATTTTGTTGTTTATTTGTTTGTTTTTTGAAATCAGCTCTCACTTCTGTCACCAAGGCTGGAGTGCAGTGTCACAATCTTGACTCACTGCAACCTCTGCTTCCTGGGCTTAAGCAATGCTCTCGCCTCAGCCTCCCAAGTATCTGTGACTACAGGCCTGCATCACCACACTCAGCTAATCTTTGTATTTTTTGTAGAGACAGGGTTTCACCATGTAGGCCAGGCTGGACTCAAGCGATCCACCTGCTTCAGCCTCCCAAAGTGCTGGATTACAGGTATGAGCCATTGCTAATTTAAATTTTTTGTGTGTGGAGACAGGGTTTCACAATGTTGCCAGGGCTGGTCTCAAATTCTTGGGCTCAAGGGATCCTCCTGCTACAGCCTCTCAAAGTGTTGGAAATACAGGCATGAGCCACCACACCTGGTCTTTGATTTCTAATCTATGAATTTTTTAGTTTTGTGTTACTGTGACGTGAATCCCTCTATCTTCTGAGCCCTTCAATAAATCTTTTATACAAACATCAAAAATAAATAAGTAAATAAAACCCAATTCATAACAGATGGGATGACACAGTACATGCTGGTTAGGAGGGGAGAACAACTTAGGCTCCAGTGGAGTACTCCAAGAGTACTCTATCAAAAAGGTAGAACTTGGCCAGGTGCAGTGGCTCAGCCTTTAATCCCAGCACTTTGGAAGGTAGAGGTGGGCCGATGTCTTAAACCCAGAAGTTCAAGAAGGGCAAGGGCAACACAGCAAGACCCCCTTTCTACAAAAAAAACTTAAAAATTAGTGGACATGATGGTGCACTTCTGTAGTCCTAACTGCTTAGGAGGCTGAGGCAAGAGGATAGCTTCAGCTTGAAAGGAGGAGGCTGCAATGAACCATGATCGCACCACTGCACTCCAGCCTGGGTGACAGAGCAAGACCCAGTCTCAAAATCAATCAATAAATACAAAGTGGGACTTGGATGTTTCAAATAAACAGAGAAGCAGAAGGCAGTAGAGAGTGACTATGTCAAGTAAGGGAAGGATCATGATTATCTAGAAAACCTACAGACATGAGATGAAAACTGAAGCAAACCCCAACTAGGGATACTGTTATATTTGTGCCTCATGAGATGGGTGGGAAACTCTGTGGCTAAATATTTTTGAGGTTTTTAGAGAGATAGGATATAATACAAAAACTGATTTTTTTGTAAACAACTCTAGATCTACAAAATACTATCAGTGGATTCATGACAATGTACAACTTCATGAGACACATGAAGTTGTATGACAGCAGAATCATCTACACCTGTGTCAAAAACTTTTTTTTTTTTTTTACCATCAGGGATGAGAAGCTTTGAATAATTTCCTCACTAGACTGCAGGTTTTATGACTACCGTAGGCATGTGCCCATTTTCTTTGCTGCTGTACTGAGACAGTAGCAATAGCACAGGCATTCAGTAATAATTGGAGGAATGAAGTATTCTAAATGTTTCAGTTCATAAAATTTTTAGGCTCTGTGTGTGTGTGTGTGTGTGTGTGTGTGTGTGTGTGTGTGCCTCCTCATTCATACATACCAAAAATAAGACAGCCGAAGGGATAGGTGGCACAGAATTGTCATTAGGAAGGAGTCTTAGAAATCATAACTTTCTTGTTTGATGGTGGTGGGAACCACAGACCAAAAGTAGAAACAGAACACAGCTCCACACACCAATCTGTGTTCTACTACACCATGCAGCCTCTACTACTATGTTGAGTCATTTGAACCAAACCTTCTTAGTAAGAGTGAGCTCCATTTTTAGGACCTGGATCTTAGCCCTCCTCAGAAATAGAATAAACATCTATTTCTATTACATAAACCAAGAAGTAAAAATAGTGAGAGGAACACAGGAGCTTTTAATTAACTATTTTAAAATGAAGACTATGCTCTAGCAACTTATTGTAACATTCAAAATGGTGTTTGGTTAGCAACTTTCTAGCTCTAAAACAATTTTACAGGTAAATAGGTTTCATGTCTGAAAGTGCAAAATGATCTTTTTCACATAAGCAGTTTATGTTAGTCATAAAACAGGCATTAGCACTATCATGACATTTGTAGCGGTTAATATCTGTTGAGAGGTATAAGACATTTAACATCTGTTTCTTTAACTTCTACATGTCTATAGAACATGCAGTTCTGAACTAAGTGATGGAAAATCTGTTTTCTAGCTTTGATTTCATCATCATTAGCTAGATGGCATTTAATCTCTATAGAAAATATTAAAATAACTGGAGGAGAAAAGTGGGAATTTAAGGACTTCTAAGGCTCCCTTAGGCTCTAAAATTCAGATTCTATGTACCAAATTACATAAATACTTTATTATTTGTGTGAGATCCCTTAATATAAAAATCATACATGGCAATTACAGTGCTGTGGCATTGCATGATTTCAGGAGGCAGATTTCTATGGAATATCACCCCTGTAGACATGCAATGCATAGCCTGGACAACCACAGGTGATGATCTGGCTGGCTAAGCTCTAACGAGTCATTACTATCAGATAGGAGAGATTTAAATTATTACAGCAACTGAGAAGCTAAAGGACCTGTGAAGTGTAAATCCTGCTTAGAGCTGAGATGGCCAAAGGCCATCCTTGGTAATCTCTCTTCAGGGAGCAACACTCATTAAAACTGTATAAGTTCTCTTTGGTTTATTAAAAGAATTAATGGTATCAAGTATGTTTGGGGGGGAAAATCAATCTTGTTCCTTTACAGTTGTACATTATTGAACAGAGTGATATTCGTTCAACTCGGGATTTTAAAAAAGCAAGAACTCCTTTCTTCATAAAATCAGAATATTAAGAAGGGCCATAAATAGAATTAAATTAATTCATTTGACAAATTTTACCAAGTCTCTATTGGCTAATAAGTCTTTTTCTAGGGACTTTGAATACCAAAATAAAAAGGAAAAACTCCTTGCCCATCAGGGGCTCACAGTTCAGTAAGGAATATAAACCTAAATACATAATAGCAGAAAAAGGTGAATAAGTACTATAATTGCAGTGTATTATAAATTGTTGTGGGGTATAGCAAAGAAAGAGGCTAATGCAGCTTGGCAGTTAAGGAGGCTTCACAGAAGAGCTGACAGTTGAGCCAGATTCTGAAGAATCAATTGATGTTCAACAGAGGCCAAGATACTCCAAGCAAAGAACCAGGCCCAGGGTTATGAGAATGCATATAAGCAGCAGGAAGGTCTGTGTGTCTGGGTGCTTTGATGTGAAGCAAGGAGAAATGGGAATTGCAGCAGGAAAGTGGCATCTTACACCAAACCTGTCCAGTCTGCAGCCTGTGGGCCACATGCAGCCCAGGATGGCTTTGAATATGTCCCAACACAAATTTGTAAACTTTCTTAAAACGTTATGATATTGTTTTGCTTTTTTTTTTTTTTTTTTTTTAGCTCATCAGCTATCATTAGTGTATTTAATGTGTGGCCCAAGAAAATTTTTCTTCTTCCAATGTGGCCCAGGGAAGCCAAAAGATTGGATACCCCTGTCTTACACCCTTCCTCCCTGTGCCTCAATCACAGGAGTCTTGGTATGTCTTGTCAAAAGCATCATGCTCTTTCTCACCTATCCTCTTTCTAGCTAGCCTCCTCTTAATTCTTCAGGTCCCTGATTAAATAACAACTCCTCAATGAGGCCTTCTCTGACTACTCTATATGTATAGATTCCATACTGCCATCCCCAAGACCACCCAGAATTATCCTAGTATCCTGCTCCTTTTCTTCATAGCTCTTAGGACAACTTTTCATTTGTTTGTTGTCTATCTCGCACCTAGACTATAAGCTTCAAGGGTTAAAAGAGCTTTGTTTTACCCAACATTGTACAATTAGCTTAGGTTCTAGACCATAATAGGTGCTCAACATTTGTGAAATGAATGAATGATTGAATAGTTCAATTTAAAAAGCAGTGAAGGGGCAGGGTGTGGTGGCTCAGGCCTGTAATCCCAGCACTTTTGGAGGCCGAGGTGGGCGGATCACCTGAAGTCAGAAGTCCAAGACCAGCCTGACCAACATGGAGAAACCCCATCTCTACTAAAAATACAAAATTAGCTGGGCGTGGTGGTGCATGACTGTAATCCTAGCTACTCAGGAGGCTGAGGCAGGAGAATTGCTTGAACCTGGGAGGCGGAGGTTGCAGTGAGCCGAAATTGCACCATTGCACTCCAGCCTGGCAACAAAAGTGAAACTCTGTCTCAAAAAAAAAAAAAAGGAACGAAAGAAGAAAGGAAATCTGAGCCAAATTAAGCACCTCCCACCTCCTTATATATAAAGCCAAGAATTGAGACTTTCTCATGGACAATGGAGAGTTATTAGGAATTAAAATGACTTTTTTTTGCTATTTTATAAATAACTTCTAATAAAAGAAGACCACAATAGTTAGTTTCATTAATCTTGTACCTTACTTACTTCTCAATGAAGCTATAATAGGTAAAGTAATAGGTATATGTTCAATTTCTAAACCATTCTCAGTTATTCGGCGTAATCGTCCACGTAGTTTAACATTTCTTCTTATAAATTCTACTGGAATATCCGAAGAGCTTGTAAATTTTGATGTCTATTGATTTACAGGGAGAAAAATATAACCACTTATTATTATTGTCATCTCAAAATTTAAAATGTCAAATTATCAAAACATTTCACAAGAGTACATAACCATGAACATTTTAAAATTTAGTTCCTAATTTTATATTACTTTAATATGATTTAATCAAAAGTGTTTATGGAAACATTATTTACAAATCATTATTCACCATTTTCAAGCCAACCACATAAAGACATTAAACAGACTCCTAACTTCTAAAAGCTTATAACCTCAAAATATGACACAATTCATCAAAAGACATTGAGTATCTATCTATGCCTGGCACCACACAAATCTGGTTAAACAGTCTCTAGCTTGTTCCACATAAGTACAATCTATTCATGCATATACTGACGGGAAAACTTAAACAAAGCTCAGTCAAATTAAGTTAGAACCTTAACCAACCAGGTTTTTTTACTATCATTTTTTTATCTTGTAGGAGAAAAGGCACATTTAAAAAAGAAAAACGAAAAAAAGGCCAACATTAGGACTGTACTACAATCCCTAACACTTAGGTGATATCCTGGAATCAATCAACACTTTATGCCTATTTTTTCCACGTTAACAATACCATAAGCTTTGTTCATAATTATGGCTAGTTAAGAGGCTCACATAACAGAAGGAAAAGCCAGGCACGATGGCTTATGCCTATAATCCCAGCACTTTGGGAGGCTTAGGTTGGAGGGTTACTTGAGGCCAGAAGTTTGAGACCAGCCTGGGCAACAATAGCAAGATACCATCTCCACAAAAAAATGTAAAAATCAGCTGGGCATGGTAACACAGAACAGGAGGGTCACTTGAGCCCAGGAGTTTAAGGTTACAGTGAGCCATAATAGCACCACTACACTCCAGCCTGGGTGACAGAGCGAGAACCTGACTCTGTCAAAAAAAAAAAAAAAAAAAAAAAAAGAATAAATTAGTACCCAACTTCCTATGACAGTAAGGTTGAACTGAAGATTTTTATAACCAAGAATAGTGTAGGAGACAAACCCAGAATGTGGAATATACTATAGAATAAATCACTTGGTTTTCCCAACAAATCAATGGCATTGGAAAAAAAGGGTGGCAAGATACTATAAAATAAATGAGATTTAAGAAATAAATAAAATATATAGACTATTTGAATAGATCATCTATTTTTAAAAATCATAGTGACAATTGGCCGGGCATGGTGGCTCATGCCTGTAATCCTAGCACTTTTGGAGGCCGAGGCGGGAGGATCACCTGAGGTCAGGAGTTCGAGACCAGCCTCAACATGGAGAAACCTCATCTCTACTAAAAATACAAAATTAGTCGGGCGTGGTGGTGCATGCCTGTAATCCCAGCTACTTGGGAGGCTGAGGCAGGAGAACTGCTTGAGCCTGGGAGGCGGAGGTTGCAGTGAGCCAAGATCGCACCATTGCACTCCAGCCTGGGCAACAAGAGCGAAACTCTGTCTAAAAAAAAAATTAAAAAAAAAATCATAGTGACAATCAAGATCTGAATACAGACTGGGTATTAGATGATTCTAAGAGATTATTGTTAATTTTATTAGCTGTGATAATATTAAAGGACAAACTAACATTACAGATCTTTTTTTTTTTTAGACAGGGTCTCGCTCTGTGGCCCAGGCTGCAGCTCAGTGGCATAATCCTGGCTCACTGTAGCCTCGACCTCCTGGGCTCAAGTAATCCTCCGGCCTCAGCCCCCCAAGTAGGACTACAGGTGTGCACCACTACACCTGGTTAATTTTTAAATTTTTTGTATAGATGGGGTCTTTATTTGTCACCCAGGCTGATCTCAAATTCCTGGGCTCAAACAATCCTCCTGCCTCATGAATTTTGATGTCATAAACTAGGAAGTACATATCATCACCTTCTTGCCAAAATGCTTAGGCTGAATCTCACAAGGCAAGAAACAAATTCAGATTATAGAACATATTACAAGACAACTGGCTTGGACTCTAAAAATGTCAGCATCATGAAAGAAAAAAATTGTTTTTAAGTAGGGGTAATGGCCAGATGCGATGGTTCATACCTGTAATCCCAGCATTTTGGGAGGCCGAGGAGGACAGATCATGAGGTCAATAGATGGAGACCATCCTGGCCAACATGGTGAAACTCCATTTCTACTAAAAATACAAAAATTAGCTGGGCATGGTGGTGCGTACTTGTAGTCCCAGCTACACAGGAGGCTCAGGCAGGAGAATCGCTTGAACCTGGGAGGTGGAGGTTGCAGTGAGCTGAGATCGTGCCACTGCACTCCAGCCTGAGTGAAACTCCATTTCAAAAAAAAAAAAAAAAAAAAAACAAGTAGGGGTAATATTCTTGATTAAAGGAGTCTAATGAGACATAACAAGTAAATATAATGCATGATCCTTGTTTGAATGTTGGATTGGGAAAAAAACAATAAAGGACCTTTTTTAGAAAATACATCTGAATATGAACTTTATTTTATGTAAGATTGGTGCAGAAATGTTAAATTTATTAGATGTGCTAATATTAATGTGGGTATGTAGGAAAAATCCTTGCTCTTAGGAAGTACGCTATGAAGTATTTATGGATGATGTCTCATGATGTCTGCAACTTGCTTTGAATTGGTTTCACAAAGGAAGAGAGAATACAACTGTAGCAAAATGTTAACAACTGGTGAATCTAGGTGAAAGGAAAATGAATGTGACAAAATTTTTTAGGAGAAAAAGTTGGGAGGAAAAAGATTCTGGATCTACTGTCAATATTCACTCAAGAATGTGAAATATGCAGAATATAAATGAAAGAGAGGAGAAATGCTAAATCAAACCACAAAGAATTTGAATCACAGGACAAAGTTGCTTATGACAAGTTTATGGGAAAAACAGAGAAATACAGATTAAATATGCACATAGTCAGATGGTTCCCAACATGGTTTACTGAAAACACTAAGGGAATACCAATGAATTAATCAATGTCAATAGAAAGTGGTACTCTAGGGGTAATCTATGGAACTCTGACCTCCAGTTTAATATGATCATGAATGACTTGAATGATAGCATGAGGAACAAACATCAGAATGGCTGGTTGTTTGGAAGGATATGACTGCTGGAAGTCAGGATAAGTATTCAAAAAGATTCTGACAACCAGAATAATGAACTAAATTGTAAAGACTCCTCCTGTACTCCCCAAAACTAATGAAGGATGGGAGAGAACAAATTAATACCTATAGTGCTTATATGGGTGATATTTAGAGATTTTAGGGAACTGTGAACTCAAAATGAGTAAAAGTATAACATTGCTGCTAAAAACAAACACACAAAAACAGAAAAAGTGCAACCTGGTCTCCTCACCACCAAAAAAAGTTCAACCTAAGGTAACGCTTTTAGGAACAAAATCTAGAGCAAGAGAAGTGAGAGACAGATTGTCCTAAAGCAGGACCTAAGGAGAATATATTGCACTACTCTGGGATCTTTTTTCTTTTTTTTTGAGACAGAGTCTCGCTCTGTTGCCCAGGCTGGAGTGCAGTGGCATGATCTCGGCTCACTACAATCTCTGCCTCCCGGGTTCAGGCAATTCTCCTGCTGCAGCCTCCTGAGTAGCTGGGATTACAGGCATGTGTCACCACACCCAGCTAATTTTTATATTTTAAGTAGAGACAAGGTTTCGCCATGTTGGCCAGGCTGGTCTCAAACTCCTGACCTCATGTGATCCGCCTGCCTCAGCCTCCCAAAGCGCTGGGATTACAGGCGTGAGCCACCGTGCCCAGCCATGAGATCATATTTCATAAAAGGCTTTAACAAACTGGAGCAAAGCCAGAAGAAGGGCAAAAAAAAAATAGGCACCTGGAAACCATATCACCCAGGAGAACTGACAGTACTTTGCCCAGGGAAAGAAAGAGTTAAAAGAAGTAGGATGGCCAATAAAGATGTCTTCAACTACTAAAAGTGCATCCTTTTTAATTCTGGTGTGTTTTCTTACAATATATGCAAGAAGGTCAAAGAGTGCCTTAATGTTTGGAGTTTTATAAATTATTAAGAAGCTGAAGGAGAAAATCAAAGGAGCACCAATGTTCCTGCTCTCAAGGAGCTCACAGTGTATGTGAGAAAGATTCCATTGCATCCATTTATTTTATATCCCACAACAACACAAAGCTCAAAGCTGTGCTTCTGTAACACAGCAGGGACTATTTGGAAGACGAACAAAAAATATACATAAAACAACCAGAATATAAGTGTAGAGCAATACATGAATAGGTTTAAAATAAATTATATATCAAAGGGGACAGAAAGGGATAGATCCAAAGGATAAGAACAGATAAGGAGGCTGTCTTTACAGGAAGTAAATCCCGAGCTTGTGACAAACACAACCTACACTCTAGGAGAGGCAGAAAGATGATGCTGCTACAAGGATGCTGTGTCTAAGCTTCAGACGGTGAAGAAGATGTCCTAAAGGCAAAAAAATAAATGCTGGAAGCATCCTGGTAAAGACAAAGAAAATAAGGGTTTCAAATTCAAGACATAAATTTGAAATCCAGCTCTGCCATTTACTAGCTGGATGATCTTGTGAAAATTGTTTACCTCCTTTAAGTATCTACTTTGTCATCTATAAAAATCAACCTTGATCAAAAGATTATTATAAGCATTAAATGAAATTATGTTTATAAAGTGCTGGCACAATGCCAAACTCAATAATCTTCTTTTATTTTTTAAATATAAAATTTGCAATTATCAACCAGTAACTGAAGGAATATAAGAACTTGATAAATAAACTCTCAGAGGGAAGAAAATCAGCAATACAAAAAGAACACTGAAGCATGACTAACACAATATCCATTGCTAAATCCCTTCTTCTTTGCCACCATGCATTTTAGGGATGGGAAAGCTAAATGGTCACTCTCCCTGCATCCTTTCCAGGTAGAGGTGGCTATGTGACAGAGGATGTAAACAAAATTCTGCTGAAGGCTTCTGGGAAAAACGCTTTCCTGACAAAGGAAAAGTTGTGGTTGGTACTGTCCTTTTCCTCCATTTCCTGCCTTGATCATGAATATGGTATTTGG
Source organism: Homo sapiens (assembly GCF_000001405.40). Lineage (NCBI taxonomy): Eukaryota > Metazoa > Chordata > Mammalia > Primates > Hominidae > Homo > Homo sapiens. The sequence continues at coordinate 155,780,883 of NC_000003.12, forward strand.
AGCTACAAAAGGCATCCTATGCAATAAGAAAAGTCCAAAAAACTACATAGACTTAAGCCCTTATGTCACTGAGGCAAGGAACCACTGCCAGCAGCCTACCTCTAGACTTCTTTTTTTTTTTTTTTTGAGACGGAGTCTCGCTCTGTCGCCCAGGTGGGACTGCGGACTGCAGTGGCGCAATCTCGGCTCACTGCAAGCTCCGCTTCCCGGGTTCACGCCATTCTCCTGCCTCAGCCTCCCGAGTAGCTGGGACTACAGGCGTCCGCCACCGCGCCCGGCTAATTTTTTTTTTTGTATTTTTTTTTAGTAGAGACGGGGTTTCACCTTGTTAGCCAGGATGGTCTCGATCTCCTGACCTCATGATCCACCCGCCTCGGCCTCCCAATAGACTTCTTATGACTTGAGAAAAATAAACCCCTTACATGGTGAAGCTGCTGTTACTTGGGGTTTCTCTTACTTGCAGCCAAACTCATCTGTAACACAACAAATATTTTTGTTTGCTTGTTTTTGTTTTAATCACTTAATGTTTCAATGTTCTCTTCCTAGCACCTAGCTTGCCCTTCTCATCACTAGTAAGTCACTATTACTTAAAAATAGTGGGCCAGGGCTGGGCGCAGTGGCTCACACCTGTAATCCCAGCACTTTGGGAGGCCAAGGCAGGCAGATCACAAGATCAGGAGATCGAGACTATCCTGGCTAACACGGTGAAACCCCATCTCTACTAAAAATACAAAAAATTAGCCGGGTGTGGTGGCACATGCCTGTAGTCCCAGCTACTTGGGAGGCTGAGGCAGGAGAATTGTTTGAACCCAGGAGCCAGAGTTTGCAGTGAGCCAAAATCGCACCACTGCACTCCAGCCTGGGTGACAGAGTGAGACTCTATCTCAAAAAAAAAAAAAAAAAAAAAATAGTGGGCCGGGTGCGGTGGCTCATGCCTGTAATCCCAGCACTTTGGGAGGCTGAGACAGGCAGATCACCAGGTCAGGGATCAAGACCATCCTGGCTAACACGGTGAAACCCCGTCTCTACTAAAAATACAAAAAATTAGCCGGGTGTGGTGGCATGTGCTTGTAGTCCCAGCTACTCAGGAGGCTGAGGCAGGAGAACTGCTTGAACCCAGGAGCCAGAGGTTGCAGTGAGCCAACATGGCGAAACCCCATCTCTACTAAAAATACAAAATTAGCCAGGTGTGGTGGTGGACTCATGTAATCCCAGCTACTCAGCAGGCTGAGCCGAGATCATGCCAATGCACTCCAGCCTGGGCGACAAAGCAAGACTCCGTCTAAAAAAAAAAAAAAAAGATAAATTATTGAGTCTGCGGAACAGAAAGAAAAAAAAAGATTGAAGAAAAGGGAACAGGGCCTAAGGAATCTATGGAACACCATTAAATGAACCAACATATGCACTAGAGGAGTCCCAGAAGAAAAAGAGAAACAAGCAGGAGAGAAACTATTTGAAAAAAAAAACCATGACTGAAAACTTCCCAAGTTTGATGAAACAGACAAATATAAACATCCAAAAAGCTCAACAAACTCCAAGTAGGATGCACTCAAAAAGACTCAGGCCAAGATATTAGCAAACTGAATAAAGACAAAGAAAAAACTTTGAAAGCAGCAAGAAAGAAGCAATTTGTCACATAAAAGGATCCTTAATAAGATTATCTGCAGATCTCTCATCAGAAACTTTGGAGGCTATAAGGTAGTGGACTGATATATTCAAAGTGCTAAAAGCAAGAAAACTATAAACCAAGAATATTATATCCAGCAAAACTGACCCTCAGAAGTGAAGAATTCAAGACATTTCCGGATAAATACAAGCCAAGAAAGTTTGTTACCACAGACTTGCCCTGCAAGAAATGCTAAAACTAGTGCTACAGGTTGCAATGAAAGGACACTAGACAGTAACTTGAAGCCATATGAAGAGATAAAGATCTTGGTAAAAGTAAATACATGAGCAATTATAAACACTAATATTATTGTAACAACAGTTTGTAACTCCACTTTTTGTTTTCCACATAATTTAAGAGACTACAGGTTGAGCATCCCTAAACCACAAATCTGAAATCTGAACTGCTCCAAAATCTGAAACTTTTTGAGTGCCAACCTGACACCAAAAGTGGAAAATTCCACACCAGAAAAATAAAAAAATCTGCCATTATTTGTTATTGTTCTTGTTTAACAGCCAATACTGGTATCCTGATGATGCTACTGTCCTGCTCAGTTAAATGCTTTTGGTCCCAAGCATCTTGGATAAGGGATACTCAACCCATTCTACATTTTTTTTTTTTTTTGAGATGGAGTCTCGTTCTGTCACCCAGGCTGGAATGCAGTGGCACAATCTCGGCTCACTGCAACCTCCGTCTCCTGGGTTCAAGCAGTTCTCCTGCCTCAGCCTCCCGAGTAGCTGGGATTACAGGCGTGTGCCACCACACTCAGCTACTTTTTGTATTTTTAGTAGAGACACGTTTTCGCCATGTTGGCCAGGCTGGTCTTGAACTCCTGACCTCAGGTGATCCACCCACCTCATCCACCCAAAGGGTTGGGATTACAGGCATGAGCCACCGCACCCAGCAAACCTGTACTACATTTTTTTTTTTTTTTTGGAGATGGAGTCTCGCTCTGTTGCCCAGGCTGGAGTGCAGTGGCACGATCTTGGCTCACTGAAATTTCTGCTTCCCAGGTTCAAGGGATTCTCCTGCCTCAGCCTACCAAGTAGCTGGGACTACAGGCACACGCTGCCACGCCTGGCTAAGTTTTTGTATTGTAGTAGAGACAGGGTTTCACTGTGTTGCCCAGGCAGGTCTCAAACTCCTGAGCTCAGGCAATCTGCCCGCTTTGGCCTCCCAAAGTGCTAGCATTACAGGCATAAGCCACCTCACCAGGCCTGTACTACATTTTTAAAAGAGACAATAATTAGTTTAAAACTTAGTATTATTGTAACTTTGGTTTTTAAGTCCATATTTTGTTTTCTACATAATTTTAAAGACTCAGATATTTTAAAAATTATTAGTTTATGGGTTTTTTTGTTTTGTTTTGTTTTGTTTGGGGTTTTTTTTTTGTTTTTTTTGAGACAGAGTTTCGCTCTTGTTGCCCAGGCTGGAGTGCAATGGCACAGTCTTGGCTCACCACAACCTCCGCCTCCCGGGTTCAACCGATTCTCCTGCCTCAGCCTCCCAAGTAGCTGGGATTACAGGCATGTGCCACCAGGCCCAGCTAATTTTGTATTTTTAGTAGAGATGGGTTTCTCCTTGTTGGTCAAGCTGGTCAAGAACTCCCAACCTCAGGTGATCCTCCTGCCTCAGCCTCCCAAAGTGCTGGGATTACAGGTGTGAGCCACCGCGCCCAGCCTAGTTTATGCTTTTTTTATATCCACAATGTACAAAAATGCGATTCTGTGATATCAAGAACTGAAAGGAGTGGGGATGATGTTCAAAAGGAGTAGTTTTTGTATTTTATTGAGGTTAAGTTGGTATGAATTTAAATTAGAGTGTTATAACTTTAGGATGTTAATGGTAACCTAGAACAAATAGTTATGCAATACACAGAAAAGGAAATAATATAAAATTAAAACACTTCAGCTGGGCGTGGTGGCTCATGTCTGTAATCCCAGCACTTTGGCAGGCCAAGGCAGGTGGATCACTTGAGGCCAGGAGTTCGAGACCAGCCTGGCCAACATGGTGAAACCCTGTCTCTACAAATCAAACAAAAATTAGCTAGGTGTGGCAGTGAGTACCTGTAATCCCAGGTACTTCGGAGGCTGAGGCAGGAGAATCACCTGAATCCGGGAGGTGCCGAGATGGCACCACTGCACTCCAGCCTGGGTGAGAGAGTAAGACTCTGTCTCAAAAAAAATAAAATAAAATAAAATAATTAATTAAATAAATAAAATAAAAAATTATACAAAATACAAAAACACAGTAATGCAGGAAATGAGGGACAAAAAAACCTATAAGGCATATAGAAAACAGATGGCAAAATGACAGAAGTCCCTCCTTATCATTAATTACTTTAAATGGTAATGAGTTAAAGTCTCCAATAGAAAGAGAGAGATCAGCCTAATTTATTTAAAAATTATCATTCAACCATATGCAGTCTACAGGGGATACACTTTAAATCCAAACAAATAGGTTGAAAGTGAAAGGATGGAAAAAAATATTCCATGCAAATAATAACCAAACAAGAGCAGGGGTACCTAAACCAATATCAGAAAAACTAGACTTTAAATCAAAAAAAGTTACAACAGAAAAAAAAGGACATTATATATTAATAAAATATTCAAAAAAAGCAAGAAGCCATAATAATTATAAATATTTATGTACCAAATAACAGACCAGCAAAAATGGTGAGAGTTGAAGGGAGAAATAGATAATTTTGCAATAACAGAGACAACACCCCACTCTCATAATGAATAGAATAGCCAGACAGAAGATAAGTAAGGAAAAAGAGGACTTAAATAATAAAATAAATCGCTTAGATCTAACAAACATATACAGAATACTCTACCCAATGACAACAGAATATATATTATTCTCAAATGTACATGGAACAGTCTCCAAGATAGACCATTTGTTAGGCCACAAATTAAGTCTTAGTAAATTATGAAAGACAGATGTCATACAAAGTATCTTCTCTGAACACAACAGGATGAAGTTATAAATAAATAACAGAAGAAAAAATTTGCAAATCTGTGGCAATTAAATGCACTCAAACAGCCAATATATCAAAAAACAATCACAAGGAAAATTTAAAAGTACTTAGAGACCAATAAAAATTAAAACACACCATGCCAAAACTGACAGAATATAGTGAAAGCAGTGCTAAGGGAGAAATGTGTAACTGTAAATGCTTAACTAAGAAAGAAGAAAAAGAAAAATAGTCCAGATGCAGTGGCTCATGCCTGTAATCCCAGCACTTTGGGAGGTCTAGGTGGGCAGATCACTTGAGCTCAGGAGTTTGAGACAATTCTGGGCAACATGCCAAAACCCTGTCTACTAAAAAAATACAAAACATTAGCCAGGTGTGGTGGCACACACCTGTAGTCCTAGCTGCTCAGGAGCCTGAGGTGGGAGAATCACCTGAGACAGAGAAGTCAAGACTGCAGTGAGCCATGGTAGTGCCACTGCACTCCAGCCTGTCTCAGAAAGGAAAAGGGAAAGGAAAGGAAAAAGGAAAAGGAAAGGAAAAAGGGAAGGAAAGGAAAAAGGGAAGGAAAGGAAAAAGGGAAGGGGAAATGGGAAAGGAGAAAGGGAAGGGGAGGGAGAAGGGAAGGGAAAGAAAAGAAGAAGGAAAGATTGATCTCAAATCAAAAACCTAACTTTATAATTTAAGGAAATGGGGGGAAAAGGCCACACTAAACCCAAAGCTAGCAGAAGAAAGGAAATACTAAATATGAGAGTGCAGACAGGAAGGAGAAAAACAATAGAGAAAAATTAATGAAACTAAAAGTTGGTTCTTCAAAAAACAATAAAGCTGACAAATCTTTAGCTAAATGGACTAAAAAAAGAGAGAAAGGACTAAAATTCCTAAGTCAGAAATAAAAGTGGGGACATTACTACAAATTCTACAGAAATGAAAAGAACTATAAAAGAGTACTATGAACCACTGTACGCTAACAAATTGGATAACATAGATGAAATGGATAAATTCATAGAAACAAAAAACCAGGCCAGGCACAGTGGCTCACGTCTGTAATCCCAGCACTTTGGGAGGCCAAGGCAGGCGGATCATCTGAGGTCAGGAGTTTGAGACCAACCTGGCCAACGTGGCGAAACCCCATCTCTACTAAAAATACAAAAAAAAATTAGCTGAGCATGGTGGCAGGTGCCTGTAATCCCAGCTACTCAGGAGGCTGAGGCAGAAGAATCACTTGAACCTGGGAGGCAGAGGTTGCAGTGAGCTGAGATTGTGCCACTGCACTCCAGCCTGGGCAACAGTGCAAGACTCTGTCTCAAAAAAATAAATAAATAAATAACCTTCCAGGATGGAATCATGAAGAAAGTAAAAATCCAAATCCAAGTAGAACTAAAACTGTTAAGAAAGTTAAATCATTAATCAAAAATCTCCCAACAAAAGGAAGCCCTGGATCTGACAGCATCACTGGTCAATTCTACCATGGATTTAAAAGGGGACTAACACCAATCCTTCTCAAACTTTTCCCAAAAATTAAAGAGAAGAGAATACTTCCTAACTCAGTCTATGAGGCCAGCATTACCCTGATACCAAAGCCAGACAAAGACACTGCAAGAAAACTATAGACCAGTATCTGTCATAAACATTGACGAAGAAATTCTCTACTAAATCATAGAAAACCAGATTCAGCCACTCTTTTCTTTGTTGAAACAGGGTCTCACTCTGTTACCCAGACTGGAGTGCGGTGGCTTGATCATGGCTCAATGTAGCCTTGACCTGCTGGGCTCAATCGATCCTCCCACCTCAGCCTCCTGAGCAGCTGAGACCACAGGTATGCTTTTTTTTTTTTTTTTTTTGGAGACAGAGTCTTGCTCTGTCACCCAGGCTGGAGTGCAGTGGCATGATCTCGGCTCACTGTGCAACCTCTGCCTCCCGGGTTCAAGCAATTCTCCTGCCTCAGCCTCCCCCGTAGCTGGGACTACAGGTGCACGCTGCCATGCCCAGCTAAGTTTTTGTATTTTAGTAGAGACGGGGTTTCACTGTGTTGCCCAGGCTGGTCTCAAACTCCTGAGCTCAGGCAATCCGTCTGCCTCAGCCTCCCAAAGTGCTATGATTACAGGCGTGAGCCACTGTGCCCAGCCGTATGCCCAGCTAATTTGTTTTATCTATTTATTTTTTTTTTTTGTAGAGATGGGGTCTCTCTATGTTGCCCAAGCTGGCCTTGAACTCCTGGGTTCAAGTGATCCTCCCACCTCAGCCTCCCAAAGTGCTGGGATTACAAGTTTAAGCCACCACACACAGTCTTTCAGCCACATATTTAAAGGATTATACATTATAACTTAGTGGGATTTATTCCTGAAATGCAAGAATGATCCAACATATAAAAATCAACCAGTATAGGCCGGGCGCGGTGGCTCATGCCTGTAATCCCAGCACTTTGGGAGGCCGAGGCGGGCGGATCATGAGGTCAGCAGATCAAGACCATCCTGGTTAACACGGTGAAACCCCGTCTCTACTAAAAATACAAAAAATTAGCCGGGCGTGGTGGCGGGCGCCTGTAGTCCCAGCTACTGGGGAGGCTGAGCCAGGAGAATGGCGTGAACCTGGGAGGCGGAGCTTACAGTGAGCCGAGATTGTGCCACTGCACTCCAGCCTGGGCGACAGAGCGAGACTCCGTCTCAAAAAAAAAAAGGATAAAATAAAAATAAAAAGATCAACCAGTATAATACACTGCATTAATAGAATAAATTAAAAAAACACATGGTTACCTCAACTGATATAGAAAAAAACCTTTGACAAAATTCAATATTCCTTCATGATAACACTTAAGAAACTAAGAATAGAAGGCAACTACTTCAACATACTAAGGTCACATATGAAAAAACCATATTCGGCTGGGCGCAGTGGCTCATGCCTATAATCCTAGCACTTTGGGAGGCTGAGGCAGGTGGATCACGAGGTCAAGAGATCGAGACCATCCTGGCCAACATAGTGAAACCCTGTCTCTACTAAAAATACAAAAATTAGCTGGCTGTGGTGGCACAGCCTGTAATCCCAGCTACTCAGGAGGCTGAGGCAGGAGAATTGCTTGAACCCGGGATGCAGAGGTTGCAGTGAGCCGAAATCGCAGCCACCACACTCCAGTCTGGGCAACAGTGAGACTCCATCAAAAAAAAAAAAAAGAAAGAAAAAACCATAGTGAACATTATACTCAATGATGAAAAACTGAAAGCTTTTCCTCTAAGATCAGGAACAAGTCAAGGATGTCCACTCTCACCACCTCTATTCAACAGAGTACTACTGGATGTCTTAGCCAGAGCACCAGAGCACATAGACAAGAGAGAAAAAAGGCATCTAAAATAGAATAGAAGAATTTAAATACCTCTGTTCACAGATTATACGATCTTATATGTAGAAAACTCTAGAAAAACTATTAGAACTAACACACAAATTCAACCAAGTAAAAGAATACAAAGTTAACACACAAAAATCAGTTGCATTTCTAACATTAACAACAAACAATCTGAAAAGGACATTATGAAAGCAATTCCATTGGCCAGGTGTGGTGGCTCACGCCTGTAATCCCAGCACTTTGGGAGGCCAAGGTGGGTGGATCACGAGGTCAGGAGTTTGAGACCAGCCTGACCAACATGGTGAAACCCCGTCTCTACTAAAAATACAAAAATTAGCCAGGCGTGGTGGCAGGCGCTTGTAATCCTAGCTACTCAGGAGGCTGAGGCAGGAGAATTGCTTGAATCCAGGAGGTGGAGGTTGCAGTGAGCCAAGATTGCGCCATGGCACTCCAGCCTGGGCAACAGAGTGAGACTCTGTCTCAAAAAAAAAAAAAAAAGCAATTCCATTTATAATAACATCACAAAGAATAAAATAATTAGGAATTAACCAGGACAGTGAAAGACGCATACAATAAAACTACAAAACATTGCTAAAAGAAATTAGAGAAGATGTAAATGAAAAGACATCCCATGTTTATGGACTGGAAAATTTAATATTGTTTAAATGTCAATATTACACAAAGTTATCTATAGATTCAATACAATCCCTATCAAAATCCCAATGACTTTTTTTTTTCAGAAATAGGAAAATCCATCCTCAAATTCATGTGGAATCACAAGGGATCTCAAATACCCAAAATAATTTTGAGAAAGAAGAACAAAATTAGAAGACTCACACTTCCTGATTTCAAAACATATTTAGAAGCTACAGTAATCAAAACAGGGTAGTACTGGCATAAAGATAGACATACAGATCAATGGAACAGAGAGGCCAGGAATAAATGCTCACATATACAATTAAATGATTTTCAACAAGGGTGCCAACACCACTCAATGGGGAAAAGACAGGCTTTTCAAAAATGGTGCTGGGAGGCTGGGCCTGTAATCCCAGCACTTTGGGAGGCCAAGGTGGGTGGATAACTTGAGACCAGGAGTTTGAGACCAGCCTGGCCAACACAGTGAAACCCCATCTGTACCAAAAAATACAAAAATTAGCCGGATGTAGTGGCGCATGCCTGTAGTCCCAGCTACTGGGGAGGCTGAGGCATGAGAATCACTTGAACCCGGGAGGCAGAAGTTGCAGTGAGCCGAGATCATACAACTGCACTCCAGTCTGGGTGACAGAGTGAAACTCTGTCTCAAAAAAAAAAAAAAAAAAAAAAAAAATTGGTGCTGAGAAAACGGAATATTCACATGCAAAAAAGAAAAAAAAAAAAAAGGTCAGGCCCTTATCTAACACTATATAAAAAAATTAACTTGATAGAGCAAAGACCCAAACTCAAGAGCTAAAACTATAAAACTCCTTAAAAAAAAATATAGGGCAAAAGCTTCATGACAGTGGATTTGCCCATGATTTCTTAGATGTGACACCAAAGGCACAGGCAACAATTAAAAAAAGAAAAAGAAAAACAGGGCAGAGAAAAATGGCTGAATCATGGATCATCCTCCCCACAGGAATACCAATTGAACAACTATCCACACAAGAAAGCACCTTCATAAGAACCAAAAATCAGGTGAGCAATCGTTTCTTAACACTGAATAGAACAGAAAAGACAGTCTTCAACTGCTGATGCAACCCCTCCCCCATCCCTTTGCAGCAGCTGCGTGGCATGGAGGGAGAATCTATGCACTTGGATGGGGGAGAGTACATTGATTATGGGATTTTGCATTAGAACTCAGTGCTGCCTGTTACAGCAGAAAGCAACATCAGATAAAACTGAGCCGGGGCCCACAGAGGAAGTATTTAGACCAGCCCTAGCCAGAAGGGAATCATTCATGCCAGCAGTCACAACCTGAGGTCCTTCAAGCCTCACCACCACGGGATAATGTATTCTGGGGTCCTAAATAAACTTGAAAGGCAGTCTAGACCACAAGGCCTGCAATTCCTAGGCAAATCCTGGTGCCGTGTTGGCTCAAAGCCAGAGAACTTGGGGAATACATGACCCAGTGAGACATCAATGAGGGTGGCCAAGTGAATACTTGTGCCCCACCTCTCTCCTAACCCCAGGTAGCATGGCTCACAGCCCCAGGAGAGATTCCTTCCTTCTACCTGAGGAGAGGAAAAGGAAGAGTAAACAGAATTCTGTCTTGCAACTTGGAAACCAGCTCAGCTATAGTAGGATAAGGCACTAGGCAGAGGACGAAGACTCCCATTTCAGGCCCTAGCTCATAGATGACATTTCTAGATACACCCTGGGCCACAAAGCAACCCACTACCTTGAAGAGAAGAACCCAGTCCTGGCAGGATTCATCACTTCCTGACTCTAGAGCCCTTGGGTCTTGAATAACCAACAGCAATACTCACGCAATACCCGCTGTGGGCCTTGGGTAAGATTGAGAGATGTGCTGACTTCAGGTGTGACTCAGCACATTACCAGCTGTGATGGCTATGGTGAGGGACTCCTTCTACTTGAGAAAAGGAGGAGGAAGACTAAGGGGACATTGTTATGCAGCTTAGGTATCAGCTTTGCCACAATGGGGTAAAGCACCACATGGCCTCTTGGGGTCCCCAAGTCCAGGCTTAGGCTCTTGGACACCATTTCTGGATCTGCCCTGGGCCAGTGGGGAGACCACTTCCCTGATGGGAGAGTCCCAGGACTGGCAGCATTCACTACAAGCTGACTGAAGAACCCTCAGGCCTTGAATGAATATCAGTGGTAGCCAGGCAGTATTTGCCGCAGGCCTGGGATGGTGGTGGCCCCAGGGAGAGACTCTTCTGCTTGTGGAAAGGGGAGGGAAGAGTGGAAAGGACTGTCTTGTGGCTTAGGTCCCAGCTCAGCCACAGTAGCATATAGCAGCACCAGGTAGATTTTGAAGATTCACTACTCCAGGCCCTGGCTCCCGGATGACACCTCTGGACCTATCTGAGACTGGGAGAAGTCACCACCCAGAAGAGAAGGACACAAGCCTGGTTGGCTTCACCACCTACTGATTCTGGAGCCCTAGGATCTTCAGCAAACACAGGTAGTGACAAGGCAGCGGTTACCATGGGCCCTGGGAGAGACGCAGTGCTGTGTTGGCTTCAGGTCTGACCAAATACAATCCCAGTGTTGGCCACAGTGGTGATTATGTCACCCCTCCTCCAGCTCCAGGCACCTTGACACAGACAGAGAGACTCTACTTTTCTGGGAGAAAGAAAGGGGAAGAACAAGAGTCTCTGCCTGGTAATCCAGAGAATTTTTGCAGATCTTATCCAAGATGGTACATCTATTAGACTGTAAGAGCCACAGCGTTACTGGGCTTGGGATGCCCCCTAATACAAATATGGCTGCAGTGACCAAAAACTTAGATGACAACACCCAAGTGCATTCAAATACCTGGAAATCCTTCCAGAGAAGGACAGGTCCACACAAATCCAGACTATGAAGACTATAATAAATACCGAAATCTTCAATGCCCAGACCTCAATATCCACAAGCATCAAGAATATACATGAAAACATGACCTCACCAAAAAAAACTAAATAAGGTACCAGTCACCAATCCTGCAGAGACAGAGATATGTGACCTTTTGAAGAGAATATTCGAAATGGCTGTTTTGAGGAAACCTAATAAAATTCAAGACAACACAGTGAAAGAACTCAGAATCCTACCAGATAAACTTAACAAAGAGAGAAACAGTTAAAAAGAATCAACCAGAAACTCTGGAGCTGAAAAATGCAATTGACATATTGAAGAATGCATCAGAGTCTCTAAACAGCAGAACTGATCAAGCAGAAGAAAGAATTAGCAAGTCTGAGGACAGGCTATTTGAAAATACACAGTCAGAGGAGAAAAAAATAAAAAAGAATCAAACACTCTTACAGGATCTAGAAAATAGCCTCAAAGGGGCTAATCTAAGAGTTATTGGCCTTGAAAAAGAGGCAGAGAGATAGGGGTAGAAAGTTTAGTCAAAGGGATAATAACAGAGAACGTACAAAATCTAGAGAAAGATACTGATATTCAAGTACAAGAAGGTTATGGAACACCAAGCAGATTTAACCGAAAGACGATCACTACAACACAGTTAATAATCAAACTCTTAAAGGTCAAGGATAAAAAGAATCCTAAAAGCAGCAAGAGAAAAGAAACAAATAGCATACAATGGCACTCCAATACATCTGGCAGCAGACTTTTCAGTGAAATCCTTACAAGCCAGGCGAGAGTGACATGGCATAAAGTGCTGAAGAAAAGAAAATATATATGTGGCAAAAAAAAAAAAACCTGTAATTACTTTTGCACCAACCTAACAAAATAGTATAGCCAGTCAAACACGAAGGAGAAATACTCTCCTAGACAAACAAAAGCTGAGGGACTTCCTCAACACCAGACATGTCCTGCAAGAAATGTTAAAGTGAGTGCTTCAATCTGATTAAAAAAAAAAGAAAGAAAAAAAACGGATGTTAATGAGCAATAAGAAATCACCTGAAGGTACAAAACTCACTGGTAACAGAAAGTACAAAGAAAAACATGGGATATTATAACACTGTAATTGTGGTATGTAAACTACTGTATCTTGAGTAGAAAGGCCAGGCGCAGTGACTCACACCTGTAATCTCAGCACTTTGGGAGGCCGAGGAGGGCAGATAACTGAAGGTTAGGGGTCCAAGACCAGCCTGGCCAACATAGCGAAACCCCGTCTCTACTAAAAATACAAAAATTAGCCGGGCATGGTGGTGCCTGCCTGTAGTCCCAGCTACTCGGGAGGCTAAGGCAGGAGAATCTCTTGAACCTGAGAGGCAGAGTTTGCAGTGAGCCGAGATCGCACCACTGCACTCCACCCTGGGAGACAGAGTGAGACTCTGACTCAAAAAAAAAAAAAAAAAACTAAAAAAACTAAAAAAACTAAAACAGCTTTTCTAGACATAGACAGTATAATAAGATATAAATAGAGACATAAAGTTTAAAAGTCAGAGACAAAGTATAGAGTTTTTTTATTAATTTTGTCTTTGCTTCAGTGTTAGTTTGCTTGGTGGTGTTTTGTTTTTTTGTTTTTTTTGAGACAGAGTCTCACTCAGTCTGGCCCAGGCTGGAGTGCAGTGGTGCAACCTCAGCTCACTGCAGCAGCTGCCTCCTGGGTTCAAGTGATTCTCCTGTTAGCCTCCCAAGTAGCTGGGATTACAGGTGTGCCCCATCACACCTAGCTAATTTTGTATTTTTAGTAGAAACAGAGTTTCACCATGTTGGCCAGGCTGGTCTCAAACTCCTGACCTCAGGTGATCCACCTGCCTCGGCCTCCCAAAGTGCTGGGATTATAGGTGTGAGCCACTGCACCCGGCCTAGTTTGCTTGTTTATGCAATCAATGTTGTCATCGGTTTAAAATAACAGGTGATAAGATATTTGCAAGCCTCATGGTAACCTCCAATCAAAGAACATATAACTGATATACAAAAAATAAAAAGCAAAAAACTGAAACATCACAAGAGAAAATCATCTTTAGTAAGAGGAAGATAGGAAGGATGGAAAAAAGGAAGAGAAGACCACAAAACTAACAGAAAAAAAAAATTTTTTAATGACAGGAGTAAGTCATTACTTATCAATAATAACAATGTAAATGAACTAAACTCTCCAAAAGACATAGAGTAGCTGAATGGATTAAAAAAACAAGACCCAACAATCTTTTGCCTACAGGAAACATACTTCTCTTAATAAAGATACACATAGATTGAAAATAAAGAAATAGAAAAAGATACTCCATGCAAACAGAAACTGCAGAAGAGCAGCAGTAGCTATATTTATGGCAGATTTACAGACAAAATAGATTTTAAGATAAAATAGATTTCAAGACAAAAATTATAAAAAGAGACAAAGAAGGTCATTATATAATGATAAAGGGGTCAATTCAGCAAGAGGATACAACAATTATAAATATATATGCAGCCAACACTGCAGCACCAAGATATACAGAGCAATTAATATTAGAGCTAGAGCTAAAGAGATAGGTCCCAATATAATAATAGCTGGAGACGTGAACACCCCACTTTCATCTTCCAGATAGAAAATCAACAAAGAAACATCAAACTTAATCTGCACGATAGACCAAATGGACGTAGGATATTCATAGAACATTTCATCCAATGGCTGAAGAATATACATTCTTCTCCTTAGCACATGGATCATTCTCAAGGATAGACTATATGTTAGGTCAAAAAACAAGTCTTAAAAAATTTCAAGCCGTGTGCGGTGGCTCACACCTGTAATCCCAGCACTTTGGGAGGCCGAGGTGGATAGACCACCTGAGTTCGGGAATTCAAGACCAGGTTGGCCAACATGGCAAAACCCTGTCTCTACTAAAAATACAAAAATTAGCCAGACGTGGTGGTGCATGCCTGTAATCCCAGCTGATCAGGAGGCTGAGGCAGGAAAATTGCTTGAACCCAGGAGGCGGAGGTTGGAGTGAGCCGAGAGCGTGCCACTGCACTCCAGCCTGGGTAACAGAGCAAGACTTCATCTCAAAAATAAATAATTAAAAATAAAAATTTCAAAAAAATCAAAATTATATCAAATATCTTCTCTGACTACAATGGAATACAACTAGAAATCTATAACAAGAGGAATCTTGGAAACTATACAAACACATGGAAATTAAACAATGTGCTCCTGAATGACCACTGAGTCAACAAAAAGATTAAGAAAGAAATTTAAAAATTTCTTGAATCAAATGGTAATGAAGGCTGGGAGCGGTGGCTTACACCTGTAATTCCAGCACTTTAGGAGGCCAAGGCGGGCAGATCACCTGAGGTCAGGAATTCAAGACCAGCCTGGCCAACACAGTGAAACCCTGTCTCTACTAAAAATACAAAAATTAGCCAGATGTGGTGGTGCATGCCTGTAATCCCAGCTAATCAGGAGGCTGAGGCAGAAGAATTGCTTGAACCCAGGAAGCAAAGGTTGCAGTGAGCCAAGATCATGCCACTGCACTCCAGCCTGGGCAACAAAGCAAGACTCCATCTAAAAAAATAATAATAATAATAATGAAAACACAACATATCAACACCCATGGGATACAGCAAAAGCAATATTAAAAGGAAATTTTATAGCTATAAGCACCTACATCAAAAAAGTAGAAAAGCAAACAGGAATCCATTTAAAAGAATTAGAAAAGCAAGAGCAAACCAAACCCAAAATTAGTAGAAGAAAAAAATAATAAAGATTGGAGCAAAAATAAATGAAATTGCAGTGAAGGAATACAAAAGATTAGGGATATGAAAAGTTGCTTTTTTGAAAAGATAAACAAAGCCGACAAACCTTTAGCCAGACTAAGAAAAGAAGAGAGGAGACTCAAATAAATAAAATCAGAAATGAAAAAGGAGACATTACAACCAATACCACAAAAATTCAAAAGATTATTAGAGGCTACTATGAACAACTATATGCCAATAAGTTGGAAAACCTAGAGAAATAGATAATTCCTAGACATGTACAACCTACCAATATTGTAACATGAAGAAATCCAAAACCTGAACAGATCAACAAGTAATGAAAACAAAGCCATAATAAAAAGTAATGATATCAAAGCTGTAATAAAAACTCTGCCAGCAATGAACAGCCCAAGACTCAATGACTTCATTGCTGAATTTTACCAAACGTTTAAGAGAAAAATAAATACCAATCCTACTCAAATGATTCAAAAAATAGAGGAAGAGGGAATACTTCCAAACTCATTCTACAAGGCTAGTATTACCCTGATACCAAAACCAGACAAAGACACATCAAAAAAGAAAACTACAAGTCAATATCCCTGATGAACATTAATGCAAAAATCCTCAAAGAAATACCTACAAATCAAATTCAACAACATATTAAAAAGATCTTTGACCAAGTGGGATTTATCCCAGGGATGCAAGGATGGTTCAACATACATAAATCAATCGATGTGATACATCATATTGACAAAATGAAGGACAGGCCTGGCATGGTGGCTCATGACTGTAATCCCAGTACTTTGGGAGGCCAAGGCAGGCAGATCACCTGAAGTCAGGAGTTCGAGACTAGCCTGGTCAACATGGCAAAACCCCGCCTCTACTAAAAATACAAAAATTAGCCAGGCGTGGTGGTGGGTGCCTGTAATTCCAGCTACTTGGGAGGCTGAAGAGAATTGCTTGAACCTGGAGGTGGAGGTTGCAGTAGCCGGGGTCACACCACTGCACTCTAGCCTGGGTGACAGAGAGAGACTCCATCTCAAAGAAAAGACAAAAGCCATACAAACATGAACATTTCAATAGATGCTGAAAAAGCATTGGATAAAATCAACATTCCTTCATGATAAAACCCTCACAAAATGCTACAGAAGGAACATACGTCAACACAATAAAAGCCATACACAACAGACCCGCAGCCCTAGTATCACACTGAATGGGGAAAAACTGAAAGCCTTTCCTCTATGATCTAGACTATGACAAGGATGCCCACTTTCACCACTGTTATTCAATATAGTATTAGAAGTCCTAGCTAGAGCACTCAGACAAAAGAAAGAAATAAAGAGCATCTGAACTGCAAAAAAAGAAGTTAAATTTTTCTTGTTTGCAGATGATATGATCTGTATTCGAAAAAACCTAAAGACTCCACCAAAAGACTATTGGAACTGATAAATAAATTCAGTACAGTTGCAGGATACAATATCAATATATAAAAATCAGTGGCATTTCTACATGCCAACAGTGAACAATCTGAAAAAGAAATCAAGAAAGTAATCCCGTTTACAATATCTGGAAATAAAATTAAATACCTAGGAATTAATTTACCCAAAGAAGTGAAAGATTTCTACATCGAAAACTATAATACACTGGCTGGGCACAGTGGCTCATGCCTGTAATCCCAGCACTTTGGGAGGCCGAGGTGGGCAGATCACTTGAGACCAGGAGTTCAAGACCAGCCTGGCCAATATAGTGAAACCCTGTCTCTACTAAAAATACAAAAATTAGCCGGGCATGGTGGCACATGCCTGTAATCCCAGCTACTTGGGAGGCTGAGGCATGAGAATTGCTTGAACCTAGGAGGTGGAGGTTTCAGTGAGCCAAGATTGTACCACTGCACTCCAGCTTGAGTGACAGGGCAAGTGTCTGTCTCAAAGAAAAAAAAAAAAAAGGCTATAAAACACTAATGAAATAAATTGAAAAGGGTACAAACAATGAGAAAATTTTCCATGTTCATGGGTGGATTGGAAGAATCAATATTGTTAACATGCCCATATTACCCAAAGCAATCTACAGATTCAATGCAATCCCTATCAAAATACCAATGGCATTCTTCACAGAAACAGAAAAAACAATCCTCAAATTTCTATGGAGCCATAAAAGACCCAGAATAGCCAAAGTTATCCTGAGTATAATGAACAAAACTGGAACAATCACATTACTTGACTTCAAATTATAAGAGCTATAGTAACTAAAATGGCATGGTACTGGCATAAAAACAGACACATAGACCAATGGAACAGAATAGAGAACCCACAAACAAATCCATACATCTACAGTGAACTCATTTTCAACAAAGGTGCCAAGAACATAAGTTGGAGAAAGGGCAGTCTCTTTGATAACTGATGCTGGGAATACTGGATATCCATACGCAAAAGAATGAAGCTAGACCTCTCTCTCTCATCATATACAAAAATAAAATCAAAATGCATTAAAGACTTAAATCTAAGACCTCAAACTATAACTCTCCTACAAGAAAACATTGGGGAAACTCTCCAGGACATTGGACTGAGCAAAGATTTCTTGAAAAATACCCCATAAGCACAGGCAACCAAAGAAAAAATAGACAAACAGGATCATATCAAGTTAAAAAGCTTCTGCACCACAAAGGAAACGATTACCAAAGTGAAGAGACAACCCACAGAACAGGAGAAAATATGTGCAAACCATCCATCTGACAAGGAATTAATAACCAGATTATATAAAGAGCTCAAGCAACTCTACAGGAAAAAAAATCTAACGATCTCATTTAAAAATGGTCACGAGATGTCAATAGGCATTTCTCAAAAGAAGACATACAAATGGCAAACAGGTACATGAAAAGGTGCTCAACATCACTGATCATCAGAGAAATGCAAATCAAAACTACAATAGGATATCATCTCATCCCAATTAAAATGGCTTTTATCCAAAAGATAGGCAATAACAAACGCTGGCAAGGATGAAAAGGAAACCTTCGTACACTGTTGGTGAAAAATGTAAATTATTACAACCGTTATGGAGAACAGTTTGGAGGCCCCACAAAAAACTAAAAATAGAAGTACCATATGATCCAGCAATTCCACTATTAGATATATACCAAAAGAAAGGAAATCCGTATATCAAAGAGATACCTTTAATCCCATGCTTATCACAGCACTATTCACAATAGCCATGATTTGGAAGCAACCTAAGTGTCCATCAACAGACGAATGGATAAAGAAAATGTGGGCTGGGTGCAGTGGACCATGTCTGTAATCCCAGCACTTTGGGAGGCCAAGGCAGGCAGATCACTTGAGCCCAGGAGCTGGAGATCAGCCTGGGTAACATGGCAAAACCCTGTCTCTCCAAAAAGTACAAAAATTAGCTGGGCATGGTGGCTCACACCTGTGGTCCCAGCTACTCAGGAGGCTGACATGAGAGGATCGCTTGAGCCCGCAAGACCAAGGCTGCAGTGAGTCATGATCACACCACTGCACTCAACCTGGGTGACAGAGTGAGACCTTGTCTCAAAAAAGAAAAAAGAAAATATGGTACATATACATGGTAGAATACTATTCATCCTTAAACAGAACTGTTGTTTCCAACACCATGGATGGAATGGAGGTCATTATGTTAAGTGAAGTAAGCCAAGCAGAGAGAGACAAACTTTGCATGTTCTCACTTATTTGAGGGAACTAAAAAATTTAAAAATTGAATTCATGGAGACAGAGAGTAGAATAATGGTTGCCAGAACCTGGGAAGGGTAGCTGGGGATGAGCAAGAAGTGGGGTTGGTTAATGGGTATGAAAATATAATTAAATAGAATGAATAAGATCTAGTATTTGGTAGCACAACAGGGTGACTACAGTCAACAATAATTTATTGTACATTTTAAAATAACTAAAGGAACATAATTGGATTGTTTGCAACACGAAAGAAGAAATGCTTGAGGTGATGAATACCCTATTTACTCTGATGTGATTATTATGGACTGTATGCCTGTATCAAAATATCTCATGTACCCCATGAATATATACACCTAGTATGTACTCACAAAAATTAAAATGAAAAAAGGAAAACATAGACAAATTGGACTTCATAAAAATTTAAAACTTGCACATCAATGAGCACTCTCAACAGAGATTAGAAAAAGTAAACACATAGGTGGGGTGCAGTGGCTCATGTCTGTAATCCCAGCACTCTGGGAGGCTAAGATGGGAGAACTGCTTGAGGACAAGAGTTCAAGACCAGCCTGGGCAGCACAAAGAGGCGCCATTGCTACAGAAAAATTAAAAATTAGCCAGGCATGGTGGCAGGTGCCTTTAGTCCTAACTACTCAGGAAGCTGAGGCATGAGGATGAGGATCACTTGAGGCTAAGAGGTTGAGGCTGCAATGAGCCATGATCATGCCAGTGCACTCTAGCCTGGTCAACAGAGTGAGACCTTATCTCCAAAAAAAAAAAAAAAAAAAAAAAAAAAAAAAGGCAACATACAGAATGGATGTGAGAAAATATTTGCAAATCATTTATCTAATCAGGGACTCAGAATGTACAGAACTCCTAAAATTCAACAACAAAAAAACAAACAACCCCATTCAAAAAGGGGCAAAAGAGCTGAACAGATATTTACACAAAAGCATATATGAAGGGCCAATAACCACATGAAAAGATGCTCAACATCACTAATCATTAGAAAAATGCAAATCAAAACCACAATAAGATACTACCTCAAACTCATTAGGATGACTACTAACAAAAAACCAGAAAATAATAACTGTTAGTAAGGATGTGCTGAAATTGAAACTCTTGTGCATTGTTAGTGGTAACATAAAATAGTACAGCCACTGTAAAAAACAGTATGGCAGTTACTCAAAAAATTAAAAATAGGACGGGTGTTGTTATCCCAGCACTTTGGAAGACCAAGGCCGGTGTATCACTTGAGGTCAAGAGTTCGAGACCAGCCTGACCAACATGGTAAAACCCTGTCTCTACCAAAAATACAAAACAATTAGGTGTGGTGGCAGGCGCCTGTAATCTCAGCTACTCAGGAGGCTGAGGCAGGAGAATTGCTTGAACCCAGGAGGTGGAAGTTACAGTGAGCCAAGATCACACCACTTCACTCCTTCCTGGGCGACAGAGTGAGACTCTGTCCAAAAAAAAAAAAAAAAAAAATTAAAAACACAATGACCATCTAATCCACTTCTGGGTATATAACTGAATCTCAAAATAACTAAAAGTAGGATCTCAAAGAGATATTTGTATATGCATGTTCATAGCAGCATTATTCACGACAGCTAAAACATGGAAGCAACCCAAGTGTCCATCAACAAATGAACAGAAAAGCAAAATGTGATATACACTTACAATGGAATATTGTCAGTCTTAAAAAGGACAAAAATTATGATATATGCAACAACATGGATGAATCTTAGTAATACCAGGCTAAGTGAAAAAAGCCAGTCACAAAAAAATACCATATAATGCCACTTACATGAGATATCTAGAATGGTCAAAATCATGGAGACAGAAAATGGAACGATAGATGCCAGGGGATGAGGGGAAAGGGAAGTTGGAGTTATTGTTTTTTTGTTTTGTTTTGTTTTGTTGTTTGAGACAGAGTTTCACTCTTGTTGCCCAGGCTGGAATGCAGTGACACGGTTTCAGCTCACTGCAACCTCTGCCTCCCAGGTTCAAGTGATTCTCGTGCCTCAGCCTCCTGAGTAGCTGGGATTACAGGTGCCTGCCACCACACCTGGCTAATTGTTTGTATTTTTAGTAGAGACAGGGTTTCATCATGTTGGCCAGGCTGGTCTCGAACTCCTGACCTCAGGTGATCCACTCGCCTCAGCCTCCTGAAGTGCTGGGATTACAGGCATAAGCCACCGCCCCGCCCCCTGGAGTTGTTTAATGGGCATAGAAAAAATATTATGTCTTATGCTACCAATAAAACATTATTGAAAGAAATAAGAAAATGTGCTAACTGGAAGCATAAATTATTGAGTGCTAAGGGACATAATTCAACTGTGGTCTAAATCAAAAAGCACCACAAGAAAACACTTTAAGATATTCTACAGTGTTTGAAATGCAAATTTAGTGATTATAACATTCTAGCAAACTAAATCCTTTTCAGATTCCTTTTTAAGCATGAAAAAAAGTGATTATGGAAATATAAACCACGCAATTACTTTCTGTAAAATCCTGTGGATGTGTTATATTTAAACCAAGACCTTAAAATATGTTCATTGTTCTAAAATACTATTTAAAAGCTACCAATACGAGTAACAATATGATACACTGTTTGAGATAAAAATTGTCTGAAATGGAAATAAACTACCTACGGCTTGTTGTAATGTCTTTTTCATTTTTTAACTTACCAGTCGAATGCTTCTCAAAAGTAACATTATTCCAGCTATGGCCATTCCAGTGCTGATGTTCTACAGAAAGAGATTTAAGGGTTAACCCTCACTAATTATTAGTCACAATAATGAAAGCACTAATTAGAAGGTAGAAAAAAAGAAGACTGTCCTCTCTATATCTAATGTGTATAAACAATGTATGTCTTTCAAATAAAGGCCCACTTCTTCAAAAACTGTCCACTCGTTCATTATGATGAATTCTTTTAACTTTTATAGTACTCAAATTCTTTCCCAATCTGGCACACAGAGACATTTATATATATATTTAAACATATATACATACATGTATATGTAAACATATACACACACATATACACACCCACCCACCCCAATACACAGATACATATATGTATATAGTATTGGATTGTTCTCTACTGATCGTATTATTTAACTATCAGTTCCATCAATATATGAACTGGTCTAGTACTTCCTATACAGTACCCATAGTAATTAGTATAACCTTGCATCCATAGTAGGAATTTAAGTATTTAGTAGAAAATTTTATCACTAAACCTTAATATACAGCACTTGGCAGATGTGGGTAAATGGCTAGGGAATATTAAGCGATGTTTTTAAAGTGTTTCATTTAAACTGGGGTAGGCCTAAAGGAGTTAATGAAAAATTAAGAATCCTGCAACTCTCTCAAAAAGAGTAATAATCTAACACACTTTCCTTCCATCAATACAACTAGGTATATAAGAAATGAGATTGGCTGGGCATGGTGGCTCACACCTGTAATCCCAACACTTTGGGAGGCCGAGGCAGGCAGATCACAAGGCCAGGAGATCGAGACCATCCTGACTAAAACGGTGAAACCTCGTCTCTACTAAAAATACAAAAAATTAGCCGGGCGTGGTGGTGGGCGCCTGTAGTCCCAGCTACTCAGGAGGCTAAGGCAGGAGAATCGTTTGAATCGGGGAGGCAGAGGTTGCAGTGAGCCGAGATCGTGCCACTGCACTCCAGCCTGGGTAACAGAGTGAGACTCAGTCTCAAAAAAAAAAAAAAAAAAAAAGAAATGAGATTGAGGCCAGGTGTGGTGCCTCACGCCTGTAATCTCAGCACTTGGGGAGGCCGAGGCGGGTGGATCACTTGAGGTCAGGAGTTTGAGACCAGCCTGGCCAACATGGTGAAACCTCGTCTCTACTAAAAATACAAAAAACTAGCTGGACGTGGTAGCACACATCTGTAATTCCAGCCACTCAGGAGGCTGAGGCACGAGAATCGCTAGAACCCAGGAGGTGGAGGTTGCAGTGAGCCGAGATTGTGCCACTGCACTCCAGCCTGGGCGACAGAGTGAGACTCTGTCTCAAAGGAAAAAAGAGGCCGGCGCAGTGGCTCATGCCTGTAATTCCAGCACTTTGGGAGGCCAAGGCGGGCAGATCACCTGAGGTCAGGAGTTCGAGACCAGCCTGGCCAACATGGTGAAACCCCATCTCTACTAAAAATACAAAAATTAGCCAGGCTTGGTGGCAGGCACCTGTAATCCCAGCTACTCAGGAGGGTGAGGCAGGACAATCACTTGAACCTGGGAGGCAGAGGTTGCAGTGAGCCGAGATCACACCATTGCACTCCAGCCTGGGGGACAAGTGCAAGACTTGGTCTAAAAAAAAAGAAAAAGGAAATGAGATTGAAAATATGCACAAAGGTACATACTCTGGGTTCTGTGATTGGATTATTTGTAATATTATAACTATGTTCTAATTTACACAACTTCCTCCCATAATCCTTCTGAAGTCATTTTTTAATTTGAAATAACCCATGCATCTATTACTGCTTAACTGGAAGAAATGAGTTTTCACCAATTAACACATATATTATTTACCATTCAATGATGCTACAAATATTTATCTAGCACTTACTAAGTAGCAGGCATTACTCTAAGAACTGGGGCTACAATGATGAGTGAAAACAGGCATGGCTTTGGACTTTGTGCTGCTTGGCTGTAGAGCATTTGCAAAGTTATCTTACTCAACTTTCCAGTATTATTTTTTAAAGTTAATGATTCCTTCTGAAAACATTTTCTTCACTTGGCTTCTAGAACACCTGGCTGTCTTGACTTTTTTACTACCTCACTGTCTGCTTCTTCTTAGTCTTTGCTGACCTCCTCTTTACTCCCCAGATTCTCAATGTTATAATCCCCCAAATTCTAGGGCTTCTTCAGTAGCTTTTCTCACTTGCTCTGAGATGTTATTCAAGCCCACGGCTTTAAATGCTACTTAAGGTTTATGCAGGTCATTCCCAATGTTCTATGTCAGGTTCTGATCTCCCTTCAACACCGGACCCCATATCCAGTTGCCAAGGACAGCATCTACAATTCTGCTTAGAAGTCTAATAATGATCTCCAAATTTGCACATCTCCATGTACGTGTCCAAAAAGTTCTCTAGATTTTCCCCAATAAATCATTTATTCCAACTCCTTCTCCTTATCAGCAACTATTACCAGCCTCCTTGGACCTCTTTCTTTGTACCTCACACCCAAACAATTCATATCACCACAATTCTGTGTCTTAGCCACAACCCTCTCTTGCCTGGTGGCCTAACATGTCCCTCTCTTGCTTCAACTCCAGAGGCTTAGTGCTTCACTTAAAAAAAAAAAAAAAAAAAAAGGCAGGGCACCAGTGGCTGATGCCTACAATCCCAGTGCTTTGGGAGGCCGAGGCGGGCAGATCTCTTGAGACCAGGAGTTCAAGGCCAGCCTGGGCAACACAGGAAGACCTTGCCTCTACAAACAAAAAACAAATTAGCCTGGTGTGGTGACAAGTGCCTGTAGCCCTAGCTACTCGGGAGCCTGAGGTGGGAGGATTGCTTAAGCCCAGGAAGTGGAGACTGCAACGAGACATAATGGTGCCACTGCACTCCAGGCGTGACAGAGGGAGACCCTGTCTCAAAAAAAAGAAATCTATTCGGGAGGCTGAGGTGGGAGATCACTTGAGGCCAGGAGTTGGAGGACAGCCTG
The DNA here is from genome assembly GCF_000001405.40 of Homo sapiens. Classification (NCBI taxonomy): domain Eukaryota; kingdom Metazoa; phylum Chordata; class Mammalia; order Primates; family Hominidae; genus Homo; species Homo sapiens. Next base: position 155,805,530 of record NC_000003.12, read on the forward strand.
GACAACATAGCAAGACTCCCAGTCTCTAACTCTAAAAGAAAGTAGTCGATGGGGTAGCGCACGCAACCTGTGGTTCCAGCTACTCGGGAGGCTGAAGTGGGAGGATCTTTTCGGCCGAAGTGGGTGGAGCAGCAGCAGTGAGCTATGATCGTGCCACTGCACTCCAGCTTGGGCCAGAGAGGAATACCGTGTCCCTAAAAAATAAAATTAAAAATAAATAAAAATTAGAAATGCTCTCTCCCAAGGCGTACAGGACTTCCCTGCTCTTCCTCGGTCTCCTCTCTGGGCCCTCCCCAAATGCTCTAATGGACCAGGTGGCATCCCCGAGCTGGGCTGCGTCTCACCCTTTGAGGTGCCCCCTACAGCCCAGCAAGGATCCAGAACAGTCCTTGTAATAATGAGGCCGAACTGGCCCCCTGGCCCGCCCCCGGCCCTCTGCAGCCCCGCACACACGACACTCGCGATGTCGCCCTCTCGAGCTCATTCCCCCGCAGTTTTCTGTCGCTCCCCGGCCCCGGCGGGATCCACGCCTGAGGCCTCACGTTGTTCTCAGGGTCGCTCTGTGCCGCCCCGCGCCCACCACCCGCCCAGACTGCGTGGCCCCAGTACCCGGACTAGGCGCAGGTGGTCGTCTGCCCACTGCGAGATCCGAGCCACGACGTTGGGCTCCATTCCGTCCTTGTCGGCAGACGGCGAGCCGGTGGCCGCGGGCTGCCCCGCCATGTTCCCGGCCTCCTGCGAGCGGCCCTGAGCTCCTCCGGCTGGCGGCAGGGGGCGCCGCTCACCTCGGGAAGGCGGCGGGGTCCCCTTCCCCGCGGACCGGGGTGGCCCCGCGACCTGCAGTCGCCAGTGGGCGGGCCCCAGATATCAGACGTCTTAACAGTGCCCCAACCGCTTTTATGCAGGGTGATTCCACGATGCAGGAGATCTCTGAGCAGCACTGTGGGGGCTGAAGCATTCCCTATCAAGCTAGTAGGATGATTGTCAGCTGGTGACTTCAATTCACTCAGCTGCAACGTGGTTTTCGCAGGTGCCACACAAGGAAGGAAATTGAAGTAATTCATTCCTTCCACCTGCTCCCAAGGAACAGCATATGCATATTTTTTAACCAAATACGACCTGTCCTTGAAACCTATGCATATTTCTTATATTCAAATTGTGCTTTAAAGTTTTAAGAGCTGCTCTGAAAGCCTAATATCACATGCTCTAAATCTTTGAGCTGTTAGAAAACAGTAGTTAATACATTTTAAATAAAACAAAAATTAGATACAGAGCAGTGCAAATAATATGGTAACATTTATGTAATAAAAATATATATTGAGGCCGGGTGTGGTGGCTCCTGCCTGTAATACCAACACTTTGGGAGGCCGAGGCGGGCGGATTACTTGAGGTCAGGGGTTCGAGACCAGCCTGGCCCACATGGCGAAATTCCGTCTCTACTGAAAATACAAAAATTAGCTGAACCTGGTGGTATGCGCCTATAATCCCAGCTACTCAAGAGGCTGAGGCAGGAGAATCGCTTGAACCTGGGAAGCGGAGGTTGCAGTGAGCCAAGATCGTGCCACTACACTCCAGCCTGGGTAACAGAGCAAGACTCCATCTAAAAAAATAAATAAATACTAAATACTATACAAGAAACTAGTAACAGTGACTACCCCGGGAAACGGAAGGTAGGAAAGGGCAAGAGGTTTCACAATCTGCCACCTCTAATAAACATTTTTCAGTGATAGAAATGTCCTGTAGCTTCATGTGGGTATTGCCTGCATGAAATGTGGCTACTGAAATCAAGGAACTGAATTTTTAACTTTATTAATTTTAATTAATTTAGTCACATATGGCTAGTGGCTATTATATTGGAGAGTGCAATTATACTACTGGAGTTTTTTTTTTTTTTTTACTTTATGCAAATATTACCTTTAAAAGTCAAAACAGACTATGTTGTATTCCTAACAATACATATTATGAGTGGTGGCTTCAAGGAGTGTATTGTCTCTGTGTTATAGCCAATAGAAAGTAAATAACAGCCGGGCGTGGTGGCTTACGCCTGTAATCCCAGCACTTTGGGAGGCTGAGGAGGTTGAATCATGAGATCAGGAGATCGAGACCATCCTGGCTAACACAGTGAAACCCCATCTCTACTAAAAATACAAAAAATTAGCCAGTCGTGGTGGCATGCGCCTGTAGTCCCAGCTACTCAGGAGACTGAGGCAGAAGAATCGCTTGAACCCAGGAGGCAGAGGTTGCAGTGAACCAAGATCGCACCACTGCACTCCAGCCTGGGCCACAGAGCAAGACTCTTGTCTCAATAAAAAGAAAAGACAAGAAAGTAAGTAAATAAGAATCGTTGACACTTGGGTCTTGCTTGCTATGCGCCAGGTATTGTTCTAGGTGCTTCTCAGACATTAACTCCCTTCATCCTCCCAGCAACTCATGAGGTAGGCACTATTATTAATCCCAGTTTTACAGAGCAAGTATGCACAGAATGATTAAGGCAGTAGCTAAGGTCACCTAGCCAAGAAGTGATAAACTGGGATGTTGTGCAGGCATTCAACTCAGCCAGTTGGCTCACTCTGTGCAGTTAACCACAACACTGTCTCTTATACAGGCAATTGGCCAAATCACAAAAATACCTACAAATTTCCATCAAGGGTGGAACACAAATGATATTGGGGAAAATCCATCTACAAAGATACATATTAATCCATAATCACTATTTCAAATAAAAATATCTCTGTGTTACTAGATTTAAAATAAATTTAGTTAATAAAAGGAAAGGAAGTGTGGATTTCTTAGGCAATCATTTGCCTAACATTACTCCTTTTGGTTTTCCAATGTCCCATACCTCTTCTCTCCTATCTGCTAGCATTTTCAGTGTCCTAGTTGAAGACAGGTTAGTCCATTCTGCCTACTTTCCATCCCAAAGTCTTTCTTAATATTTCAGATGTCAGCCACCTGGACATCTCTAAGTCCTCTAAATGTCTTTAAGTCTCCTTCAATAATGTTTCAGCATCACCTCACTATGCATTGATGTGAGAAATCTAGTGCTTGTTCCAGGACTTCTGCAGATTAATCAGAGACTTATGCTCCTGAGTTAGATCCACCAAGGCACACTGTTCCTTTTCCTGCTGGTAATTTCTGAAAACTCACTGAATAAGATGATTACATGACCTCAACAGAGAGATATACATGAAAAGCCACACTTAGATTCACTGCCCCATCCCTTAATTTCCTACAATACCATGAACATATCTGTAATAGACTCTTACTGAATGTTTGAAATTAATGAGGTGGAATTATCATTTAAAAAATTGATTGGAGGGCTGGGCATGGTGGCTCATGCCTGTAATCCCAGCACGTTAGGAGGCCAAGGCTGGCAGATCACCTGAGGTCAGGAGTTCGAGACCAGCCTGACCAATATGGAGAAATCCCATCTCTACTAAAAAATACAAAAAAATTAGCCAAGTGTGGTGGCGCATGCCTGTAATCCCAGCTACTCAGGAGGCTGTGGCAGGATAATTGCTTGAACCCGGGAGTCAGAGGTTGCAGTGAGCTGAGATCGCACCATTACATTCCAGCCTGGGCAACAAGAACAAAACTCCGTCTCAAAAAAAAAAAAAATGATTGGATACTAATGTAAGTGTTCCCAGAGACCAAAGAAAAAGAAAAAAGTTGAATATTTCATGAGAATCTCACCCCAGTTTCTAGCCTTGGTTCCCAGTTTCAAAGTCAACCATTCTATTTTTCTTACACAACATACCTCAGGATCAGATGAGGTCATGATTTCCTTGCTCTTCAAACTATTATCATTTTTTCATCCTCTTCAGGATTTCATTGGGGCTGTGATCTTGTGATTTCCTATGACTCCCTCTTATTCACTGAAGATTTTACATCTGACTTAAAGACTTTATCTTCATCTGAATTCCTCTCATTGTTCTCATCTCTTAGTTGTTTGACTGTCATGCCCAGTGACCTTTTCTTCTTCCCCACTTCAGCCATCCACTTCTATAGTCACACCTTGGAACTTTTCCTCACTAGAAATTACCATATCCACAATCACAGTGCTAACACCTCACTCTCCTGAAACAACTTTCAGTTCTTCTGGCTCACTTGTAAAAATACCCATTACAAATAATCCTTTGAGTTAATTGAGATGCCAGTCCACTGAACCACCATGATCTATTCATCACCTCCCTCTAGAATTCAGTTGCTGTATTACCCAGCTTAGACTCAATAGTTTATCCTTACAATTACTCCTTTGAAAGCTTTCTGACCTCTCATCTTCCTCTGCCTCTTTTGCACTTGCCTGGCAAAACCCCAACATGGGACTATACCCAACTTCTACCAGTTAGAGTAAGATATGGTGAGATCTTCAGCTTTTTAAAAGAGAAGCTGGGGCTGGGAGCGCTGGCTCACGCCTGTAATCCCAGCAATTTGGGAGGCCGAGGAGGGCAGATCACCTGAGGTCAGGAGTTAGAGACCAGCCTGACCAACATGGAGAAACCCCACCTCTACTAAAAATACAAAAATTAGCTGGGTATGGTGTGGGGTGCCTATAATCCCGGCTACTTGCGAGGCTGAGGCAGGAGAATCCCTTGCACCTGGGAGGCAGAGGTTGCGGTGAGCCGAGATCGCACCATTGCACTCCAGCCTGGGCAACAAGAGCGAAACTCCGTCTCAAAAAAAAAAAGAAAAGAAAACAAAAGCTGGAAATCTAGATTTTTATATGAAATCTCCCTGTTTTAAAACTAAAATTAAGGGTTGGCACCATACTGCACTAAGTATGGATATGCCCTGAGGCAGAAACTACATTCTTTTAGTCTGTTACCTCTGCTTTAAGGGTACTCCATTGCTCAAGACCGGCCTGACCAACAGGTGAAACCCCAACTTTACTAAAAATACAAAATTATCAGGGCATGGTGGCAAATGCCTGTAGTCCCAGCTACTCAGGAAGCTGAGGCAGGAGAATCGCTTGAACCTGGGAGGCAGAGGTTACAGTGAGCCAAGATGCGCCATTGCACTCCAGCCTGGGCAACAACAGCAAGACTCCCGTCTCAAAATAAATAAATAAATAAATAAAAGTCGGGGGGTACTCCATTGTTCTTTAGGTAAAATCAAAAGTCCTCAGGTTCACACGCAAGGCCCTGCATGATCTAGACCCTGCCTGTCTCTCCAAGCTCATCTTTCCTACTCCCTACTTCATTCATTATGCCTCAAACATACTGACCTTTTCTCTGTTCTTCACAATGTTAGATTCACCCCTGTCTGAAAGCCTTTACACTCACTGGTCCCTCAGCCTAGAATACCCTGATCCTTCTACCTTTACGTTTTCCTACAGCCCCTCACAACCATCACCAAGCTGCCTCATTATCCTTCATATCTCATTTTAAACATCATATCCACAAGAAGTGTTTTCTAGCACTCTCTCAAGTAAGTCTGCACCATCCATAACACAAATTTATAATTTTAGGATTGATTTATGCTTTTTTTCCCCCTTTCTCCCCCACTATAGAACAGGGACTGTGTCTTTTTACTATGTCTCTCTGTCTATGACTTAAGACCCAGTGCTGAGCATAGTTCCTGATACATAGGAGACTCTAAGTATTAGCCGAATGAAAGAGATATTTTCAATTATCTAAACTGCAAAGTGTCTACCATCCTTCCTTCTCTTCTAAGATAAGTCTATTTCTGTCCTCATCCTCTTCCCTTCCATTCCCTTCCATTCTCTACAGCCATTAGAGAGAGCAGAGGTAGTAACTTGAATCCACACTAAGAATTAAAGAGTACCAGTAAAGGTAACTAAACAGATAAATATAAAATACAGTATAAATGTTTTTGTTTATAGTTCTTTCCTTCTCCTATATGATCTAAAGGGCAACTGGAATAAAACCATAATCATAAAACTGTGTAGATGGGCTTATAATAAAGATATAATTTGAATGGCAATAATAGCTCAAAGGATTGGGGGAGGGAACAGCTATATTGGAGCGAAGTTTTTGTATCTATTAAAATTAAGTTGATATTAATCTGAACTAGATTATTTTAAGACAAGGTGTTAATTGCAAACATTAGAGTAACCACTAAGAAAATAACTCACTCTATAATTACCAGAGTAACCACTAAGGAAATAACTCACAAAATTGTCATCACTAGAGCAACCACTAAGAAAACAACTCACAAAACCACTAAGAAAAGGAAAAGAAGGCCGGGCTCGGTGGCTCACGCCTGTAATACCAGCAGTTTGGGAGGCCAAGGCAGATGGATCACGAGGTCAGGAGTTCAAGACCAGCCTGGCCAAGATAGTGAAACCCCATCTCTACTAAAAATACAAAAATTAGCCAGGCCTGGTGGTGGGCACCTGTAATCCCAGCTACTCAGGAGGCTGAGGCAGAGAATTGCTTGAACCCGGGAGGAAGAGGTTGCAGTAAGCGTAGATGGCACCACTGCACTCCGGCCTGGGCAGCAGAGTGAGACTCTGTCTCAATAAAAAAAAAAAAAAAAGGAAAAGAAATAGAAAGGTAATTAATTTGGCCTATTAGAAAATATCTTTTAACACAAAGGAAGGCAATAAGCCACAAACACTGTCCCCCTTGTCAGGGAGCAGAAGTTTATGATCCCTACGAATACTATCGTTAACCTATCTTCAGCAACTCTATTTTTGCCTCACTGGGTATTTCTTATTCTCCTTCCTCTACTAACACATACATGGTTATCTCTCCCATACAACCTTCTAAAAAACTACTGTAAAAATTGATTATATGGATTGGAATAACTTCTGTCACACTCAACTAAATCAGAATCAAGGGACCAGGGGTAAAAAGCCCCAAGGCACAAAGCAGTTCCTCTAGGAAGTGTATGGCAGCCTCTCCTTAGCTTCTGAAACGGCGTATTATAACCTTAAGACTAGTTTTATCTAATAGCTGCCAAAACAACCTGAGACTAAGTAATTGCAGTTTTTGACATTACTTTCAATGGCAATTACTTTTACCTACCGCCCTCACTCACCCATCAGAGCTTGCCAGCTCCCAAAAGACTTCGCCAGCACCAGTTAACTCTTTCAAAACATTTTATGTTTCATTTCTCTTTCCCAATAAAACCTCAACATATTCCTTTTTTTTTTTTTTTGACATTCTGAAGACCATTCTGGTCTGTTCTTATGCCCCAAATTGCAATTCTATTTTTATCTATATTCCCGAATAAAACCTTTTGCTTAGAGATTCATTTCTATATTTTATGTTGACACTATAATTGGTCTAGTCATTGTCATCCCTATCAAGCAAAATTATCATGCCAGACCACCTAATGGGCTGCTAGCTGATCTATAAACTGGCTATCGTCTGTCAGGGGCTCACCCCTCCAGCACAATCAGCTTGGATCACTATGACAAGGCTAAGTGGCCAAGAACATGGCCACTTAATCTTTTTTTTTTTTTTAGACCGCGTTTCGCTCTTGTTGCCCAAGCTGGAATGCAATGGCGCGATCTCAGCTCACTGCAACCTCCGCCTCCTGGGTTCCAGCGATTCTCCTGCCTCAGCCTCCTGAGTAGCTAAGATTACAGGCACACCCCACCACGCCCGGCTAATTTTTTGTATTTTTAGTAGAAACAGGGTTTCACCATGTTAACCAGTTAGCCAGGTTGGTCTTGAACTCCTGACCTCAGATGATCCGCCTGCCTCGGCCTCCCAAAGTGCTGGGATTACAGGTATGAGCCACCACTCCAGGCCAATCTTAAGAAAAGATTAATCTTAATCTTAATCTTAAGAAAAGATTAATCTTAATCTTAATCTTAAGAAAAGATTAATCTTAATCTTAATCTTAAGAAAAGATTAATCTTAATCTTAATCTTAAGAAAAGATTAATCTTAATCTTAATCTTAAGAAAAGATTAATCTTAATCTTAAGAAAAGATTAATCTTAATCTTAAGAAGAGATTGATCTTAATCTTAATCTTAAGAAAAGAATGATCTTAATCTTAATCTTAAGAAAAGATTGATCTTAATCTTAAGAAAAGATTTATCTTAATCTTAATCTTAAGAAAAGATTGATCTTAATCTTAAGAAAAGATTAATCTTAATCTTAATCTTAAGAAAAAGTTAATCTTAAGAAAAAGTTAGAGTTGCTTTGCTCAGCCTGGGGCTCTCAGCACGTCATTTGTCCTCAGAAGTGAGTGTAACACATATATAGAAGATACAACCTCCTTTCCAAGGTCTTCTAGACAAAATTAATCAGTCTCCTTAGTTCTCTCATTGCCCTTTCTTTGCTCAGCAAATTATGAACCTCTAAAGGGCGAAGATATGTGAAGAAATTTATGTTCTTTGTACAACGTGCACTTTACAGAAAAGATAATCAATGTGTTGAATCAAAGTAAGATACAAAGATCTTCCCACCATGGCTTCACAGTGTGTTGAGATTATAGGTGTGAGCCACCATGCCCAGCCTCTATTTCTTTTTTTTTTTTTTTTCAGACGGAGTCTCGCTCTGTTGCCCAGGCTGGAGTGCAGTGGCGCGATCTCGGCTCACTGCAAGCTCCACCCCCTGTGGTTCACGCCATTCTCCTGCCTCAGCCTCCCAAGTAGCTGGGACTACAGGGGCCTGCCACCACGCCCGGCTAATTTTTTGTATTTTTAGTAGAGACGGGGTTTCAGCGTGTTAGCCAGGATGGTCTTGATCTCCTGACCTGGTGATCTGCCCGCCTTGGCCTCCCAAAGTGCTGGGATTACAGGCATGAGCCACAGCGCCCGGCCTCATTTTTCAGGTTTCAAGAGCATCAAATACAAAGAATGACTGGGAAATTCCAGATTAAGGAAAACTAAAGAAACATAAAAACTAAATATAATTTGTAATCCTAGATTAGATTCTATACTTAGCAAGAATCTAATTGGGTCTATCATCAAAATTTGAATGGGGTTTGTAAATTAAATGATAAAAATGTGTGAATACGAATTTCCTAAATCTGGGGGTTGTACTGTGGTTACATAGGAGAGTGTTCTTGTTTTTTGAAAATGCATGGAGTATTAAGGGATAATTAAGAGATTACAGGAGCTCCATTGGTGCAATGTATTCTGAATAATTGTGAAAAATAGTTCTGAAAAAATTATGTGTTTATATGTATGGCTAGATAGATAAAGACAAAAAGAGGATAAGGAATATGGGGTAAAATACAAAAATTAGGATATCCACATGTAGTCTTGATACTATTTTTGCCATTTTATTATGTTTCTAAATTTTTGTTTGTTTGTTTGGAGACAGGGTCTCGCTCTGTCGGTCAGGCTGGAGTGCAGTGGTGCCATCACAGCTCACTGTAGTCGACCTCCTGGGCTCAAGTGATCCTCCCGCCTCCATTTCTCCAGTAGCTGGGACTACAGGGGTGTGCCACCAAACCCGGCTAATTTTTTAATATTTTGTACAGACAATGTCCTGCCATGTTGCTCAGGCTGGTCTCAAATTCTTGGGCTCAAGGAATCTTCCCACATCAGCCTCCCAAAATGCTGGCATTATAGGCGTGAGCCATAGCACCTGGCCTCCACATAGTTTTAATGGAAAACAATATGGAAAGGGAAGGTGGTTGGAGATATACTTATTATTGAAGCTGAGTAATGGGTTATATAACATAGATTTTAAGTCAGGGCTGGCCTTTGCTCTTTCTTTGCCCCTGGTAATCTCTAAACCCTCAGCATATCCTGCCTGATAAGAATGTCCTTTATCTTGAGAATTTGGATCACACAAACTCATTTACAGTGGAGGCTTTGAGTCTTGGGATATCAGTTTGACCTCCAGAGGAGCTAGAGACTGAGTTCAGCTATGTAGTCAGTCAAGCATGATGTCTGAATAAAAACTGTGGACACCAAAGCTTGGGGGAGCTTTCCTGGTTGGCACTGCTCCATGTGTCTTGTCACACATCATTGCTGTGAGGGGTCAATGTTGTCCATGACTCTACAGGGAGAGGACAACTGGAATCTCCACCTTTAGAACCCTTCTGGCCTCTGCCCTATGCATAGATCAAGTCTCCAAATCAGTGCTAGATCCTTTGCAGATTTTAATCTGTATCCTTTCCCTGTAACCCACCATTACCATGAGTATAACAGCTTTAAATGAGTTCTGAGTCGTTTTAACAAATTATCACACCTGAGGGTGGTCTTAGGCTCCCCTGAACTCTGCAGTTTGTGTCAGAAGTATTGGCGGTCTTGCGGACTGTTCTATTTAACTCTTCATGGGCCCATTGTTACCCTACTTTTATATGTTCAAATTTTTCCATAATAAAGTGTTAACAGGCTGGGCACAGTGGCTCACGCCTGTAATCCCAGCACTTTGGGAGGCCGAGGCAGGCAGATCACCTTAGGTCAGGAGTTCAAAACCAGCCTGGCCAACATGGTGAAACCCCCGCCTTCACTAAAAATACAAAAATTAGCTGGGTGTGCTGGCAAGTGCCTGTAATCCTTGCTACTCAGCAGGCTGAGGCAGGAGAATCGCTTGAACCTGGGAGGCGGAGGTTGCAGTGAGCCAAGATCACGCCATTGCACTCCAGCCTGGGCAACAAGAGTGAAACTCCGTCTCAGAAAAAAAAAAAAAAAAAAAAAAAAAAAAAAAAAAAAGTTGGGCCGGGCGCGGTGGCTCACGCCTGTAATCCCAGCACTTTGGGAGGCCGAGGCGGGCGGATCACGAGGTCAGGAGATCAAGACCGTCCTGGCTAACACGGTGAAACCCCGTCTCTACTAAAAATACAAAAAAATTAGCTGGGCGAGGTGGCGGGCGCCTCTAGTCCCAGCTACTCGGGAGGCTGAGGCAGGAGAATGGCGTGAACCCCAGGGGGCAGAGCCTGCAGTGAGCCGAGATCATGCCACTGCGCTCCAGCCTGGGCGACAGCGAGACTCCGTCTCAAAAAAAAAAAGTTAACAAATAATTTTTTAAAAATATTCCTTATCCTACAGAAGTCAATTCAAAACACAATATTGTAGCTCAGTTGTATTCTTACTGATATGAATGAGATTGGTGTATTAGACTCACCTGTGAAGTTTAATTTTGTTCTCCAAAATTACACGTCCAAATAATGTGCATATGTCCGTGGATGCACACATGCATATACGTGTGTTAAGGGCATCAAATACAAAGGACGACTTGGAAACTGTTCCAGAGAGAAGTTATCTGAAGTAACTCTTATAACCTAATATGTTTTCTTGAGTGGTAAACAGACAGTGAAACAGCTAGTCCTTCAGGGATTACAAATAATTAGGCATGCTTTCAGGAGTGAATGTCTTATCTTGTCTCATCACCACAGAAATACCTTTGAGATCAATTGTTCTAGAATCTCTTGCTCCCATACTCCTGGCCTCAAGTGATCCACCCACCTTGGCTTCCCAAAGTGCTGGGATTATAGGCATGAGCCATCTCGCCCAGCCCCCTTGTGCTATATCTAGAGGGCCAAGTACAATGGCTAAATCTTTCGAACACTAAGACTTCCCTCTTAGAAATTCTTTTTTTTTTTTTTTTGATATGGAGTTTCACGGTTGTTGCCCAGGCTAGAGTGCAATGGCGCGATCCCGACTCACTGCAATCTCCGCCTCCTGGGTTCAAGCGATTCTCCTGCCTCAGCTTCCTGAGTAGCTGGGATTACAGGCATGCACCAACATGTCCGGCTAATTTTTTTGTATTTTTAGTAGAGATGGGGTTTCTCCATGTAGGTCAGGCTGATCTCGAACTTCTGACGACCTCAGGTGATCTGCCCACCTGGCCTCCCGAAGTGCTGGGATTACAGGCGTGAGCCACCACACCCAGCACCCTCTTGAAAATTCTAAGAATTGCTGGAAAAGTCAGAAAACTAGGCTGACTAGTTCACCTACAGATCTCCAGATTATACTACCTAAACTCTAAACTCAGGCTTGATTCATTTCCAGTTGATTCCTTCCCACTTATCCGTATCTCAAACCTCTTCTGTCCTTTCAGTTGAATCTTATCCTTCATTTTCTTTCTGACCTTATACTTACTTATATCAAAATACCTACCCAATTTTTTTTTTTTTTTTTTAGATGAAGTCTTGCTGTGTCGCCAGGCTGGAGTACAGTGGCACAATCTCGGCTCACAGCAACCTCTGCCTCCTGGATTCAAGCAATTCTGCTTCAGCCTCCTGCGTAGCTGGGATTACAGGTGCACACCACCACACCCAGCTAATTTTTTGTATTTTTAAACAAGGTTTTGTCATGTTGGCCAGGCTGGTCTCAAACTCCTAACCTCAGGTGATCCACCTGCCTCGGCCGCCCAAAGTGCTGGGATTACAAGTGTGAGCCACTGTGCCCCTCCCCTACCCCAAATTAATTTCAACCTCTTTCCCCTCTCCATCAACATTTTCTTACACGTCCTCGCATGTTCTCCCCATCTCCAGGTTCAGAGGATATGTCTCATTTGGTTAAAATTCTTATCCTAGACAAGCAATTATATTCAATAAAAGGCTACTTTCAAAAGTATTTCAGCTGGGCGCAGTGTAATCCTAGCACTTTGGGAGCTGAGACGGGTGGATCACTTGAGGTCAGGAGTTAGAGACAAGTCTGGCCAACATGGTGAAACCCTGTCTCTAGTAAAAATACAAAAATTAGCCAAAAATCTCTTGAACCCGGGAGGCAGAGGTTGCAGCAAGCCGAGATTATGCCACTGCACTCCAGAATGGGCAACAGAGCGAGACTCTATCACAAAAAAAAAAAAAAAAAAAAAAAAAGTATTTCAAGCATAGGATGCGCCATGAACCAAGGGATATAAACAGGAAACTGGAGTATTAGTCCAAGAATTAGAGCTCCAACTATCCCATAAGGAACTGTCATTATTTGAGAATTTTAATTGCACAAATGGTTCAGAATAGAATAATGTTGAGCTATGAGGTGTAATGAGTGAGACGGTTATGGGAGCACAGCATTAGTGATTTAGTGGTATAAGTGTGAACCTTAGTTGGAATCTGATTCTGTTAAGCAGTCTGACCTTGAACAAATCACATACTTTCTCCACCTTACCTCCAATTTCATTTTATTAGAAATTGGCAGTGGAAGAAGTCATCATTAAAAATCAATGCTTATAAACCGAAAAATTTACAAGCATTTGTAAAATGCAAAATTTACAAGCTTTTGCATACTTTGGCAATATATAGATGATGACCCATGGACCAATTTCTCAGTGCAAGGCAGTATTTGATCAGCAATTATAAAAAATTGAGTTAGAACTAGAAATAAATGAATTTAAGAAGTAAAAATCTGACTTTTTCTTTTATCTTAAGTTAATAACTTAATAAAAATGTTCAAAAAACTGTAAAAGTGTTAATTTGAAATAGTTTCATTTCATTAAAAAAAAAAAACCACCACCAACCCAGAGTGTTTCTTTCTGCTTTTGTAATAATTTACATTTCCTGACTTGCAGGGTGTGATTTCTTCCAATTTTTGCATTAACTCACAGATTGCTACTAAAATAAAATTTTCTCTACTCATAGAAGTGGACTTTTTAAAAATTATCACCTTAACTTGAATTATTTGGATAATTTGCCCCATTTAGACTAGGAGAAAGCATCCAAGTTTTTAATATCACAGGCCTCTTGACCATAATGTAATGAAAAAGTGAGTTAACTAGAATACAACTCCAATAAACATCAGATAAAATGTCTATATTTGTATTGTGCTGAAAGTAGACACAAAGGCTCTGGAGCAGGAACAGACTTAATTATTACTTAAATTCTCTTTGGGAAGGATCTTACCCTTTGGAATATAAGTGTATATCTCTAAAGAGAAGACTAGTGTCTCCATAATTACAGCAACCAGAGATGTCTTCACGGTCCCAGGTCTCATCGCCCCTTGAAATGAGCGTACTGGAGAAATAAATATCTCTGTGTAATGGAATGAACTGTGCTCCTCAAAATTTATATGTTAAAGCCCTAAACACCCAATTACTGTATTTGGAATTAGGATCTTTCAGGGGATAATCAAGGCTAAGTGAGCTCATAAGGGTAGGCCCCTAAGCCCACAGGACTGGAGGAAATATCAAAGATGAATGCACACAGTGGAAGGGTTATGTGAGGACACAGCGAGAAAGTGGCTGTTTCCAAATGAAGAAGAGAGGCTTCAGGCTGGGTGCAGTGGCTCATGCCTGTAATCCTAGCACTTTGGGAGGCCAAGACAGGAGGATCATTTGAAGTCAGGAGTTCAAGCCCAGCCTGGCCAACATGGTGAAACTCTGTCTCTACTAAAAATACAAAATTAGCTGGGTGTGGTGGCCGGCACCTATAATCCCAGCTACTTGGGAGGCTGAGGAAGGAGAATTGCTTGAACTTGGGAGGCAGAGGTTACAGTGAGCCGAGATCAAGCCATTGCACTCCAGCTTGGGCAACAGAGTGAGACTGTGTCTCAAAAAAAAAAAAAAAAAAAGAAATTCTTCAAAATTGTTAACAGCAAAGAAGCCCATACCCAAACACAACTGCTTTAAAACTAACAGATTTTGTAATAAAAGTTCCCAGTAAAATTCCTTTTTTTTTTTTTTTTGAGATGGAGTTTCACTTTTGATGCCCAGGCTGGAGTGCAGCGGCGTAATCTCAGCTCACTGCAACCTCCACCTCCCAGATTCAAACGATTCTCCTGCCTCAGCCTCCCAAGTAGCAGGGATTACAGGTGCCTGCCAAAACTCCTAGCTAATTTTTATATTTTTAGTAGAGACAGGGTTTCACCATGTTGACTAGGCTCATCTCAAACTCCTGACCTCAGGTGATCCACCCGCGTTGACCTCCCACAGTACTGGGATTACAGGTGTGAGCCACTGCACCTGGCCGAAATTCTTAATAATTCCAAATAAAGAAACAGCGCCATGCTTCTACCTGCTCTCCTCTTTGTCCAGACATTTTTTTTTTTTTTTTTTTGAGAAGAGGTTTCACCATGTTGGTCAGGTTGGTCTCAAACTCCTGACCTCGTGATCCACCCACCTTGGCCTCCCAAAGTGCTGGGATTACAGGCATGAGCCACCTCGCCTGGCCCTTTATCTTTTATTAATAGTCTGGGTGGTGGCTCATGCCTGTAATCCCCTGAACTTTGGGAGGCTGAGGCAGGTGGATCACCTGAAGTCAGGAGTTGGAGACCAGCCTGGCCAACATGATGAAACCCCATCTCTACTAAAAGTACAAAAAATTAGCTGGGCGTGGTGGCGCGCACCTGCAATCCCAGCTACTCCGGAGGCTGGGGCAGGAGAATCACTTGAACACGGGAGCCGGAGGTTGCAGTGAGCCGAGATCGTGCCATTGCACTCCAGCCTGAGTGACAGAGTGACTGTCTCAAAAAAAAAAGAAAAAAAAAAAGAAAAAAAATTAACTAAAAAAATAATTGAGGATGGCTTCATAAATAAAGAAAACAAAAGATTTGTTAGTAAGTGTAAGTTACTTGAAATTACTGCAGTTGGTTCTAATTGTGCCAATCTACTGTAATTTTAACAAGACTAATTTGAAAGTAAATTTAGCTACTACTTAATAAAAATGAAAACAAGATATTTCATTAATGTTTTATTTTTTAGAGAATCACTTTAAGCAATTAAATAACCATTTATCTAAAACACTGGATAATTTATTTCAAATATATTCCAAATACTTAAACACTGCATAAATATTAAGGTTTAACACACATCTTTTAATAAATTAACCAAATATAACTAACAGTTCAGATATACTCAAAACACACCACACAAAACTATCAAGGCTAATGCTAGATATTCCAAAAGTGGTAACAGAAATGATTGTGTGCTGTGTATCTCTAATTCAAACTTGGACATGGGCACAATAATTTCATAAAGATCTCAACAATGACAGCTTTCAACATTGAGTATTTTTTCCAATTTTACACTAATTCTTGCAAAGGCAACATCTGGGGACAACAATAGATATAGACTCACCAATATAATTTGACAGTGGTAATTTATCAATTTACCAAATATGCCACTTCCTTTTTTTTTTTGAGACAGAGTTTCGCTCTTGCACCCAGGCTGGAGTGCGATGGTGCGATCTCGGCTCACCGCAACCCCTGCCTCCCGGGTTCAAGCGATTCTCCTGCCTCAGCCTCCCGAGTAGATGGGATTACAGACCTGGGCCACCACACCCGGCTAATTTTGTATTTTTAGTAGAGATGGGGTTTCTCCATGTGGGTCAGGCCGGTCTTCAACTCCTGACCTCAAGTGATCTGCCTGCCTTGGCCTCCCAAAGTGCTGGGATTACAGACGTGAGCCACTGGACCCGGCCGCATTTTTTTTTTTTTTTTTTAATTGAGACTGAGTCTCACTCTATTGCCCAGGCTGGAGAATAGTAGCACAATCTCGGCTCACTGCAACATCCCTCTCTCAGGTTCAACCGATTCTCCTGCCTCAGCCTCCCAAGTAGCTGGGATTACAGGTGCCCACCACCATGCCCGGCTAATTTCTGTATTTGCAGTAGAGACAGGGTTTCACCATGTTGGCCAGGCTGGTCTCAAACTCCTGACCTCAAGTGATTCTCCTGCCTAAGCCTCCCAAACTAATGGGACTACAGGTGTAAGCCAACACACCTGGTTCAAATATGCCACTTTCTTAAATATCAAATTTTTTTCCAATCTTATATTTCTCTAATTTTATAGGGGCAGGTGATAAAAAAATTTCAATTTCACTAACTCTGACTACAAAATTAAACTTTTCCAACATTTAAGATCATTTCAAGGAAAATAAGAATAGGCTTTAATATTTACATTAGTGATTGATTAATTGTAGCTGACTGGGGTATTCAATTTTAGAAATTTAAGATAATTCCCGCCAGGTGCAGTGGCTCACACCTGCAATCCCAGCACTTTGGGAGGCCGAGGCAGGCAGATCACGAGGTCAGGAGTTTGAGACCAGCCTGACCAACATGGTGAAACCCCGTCTATACTATACAAAAAAATTAGCCAGGTGTGGTGGAAGGCACCTGTAATCCCAGCTAATGGAGAGGCTGAGGAAGGAGAATCACTTGAACCCAGCAGGCAGAGGGTGCAGGGAGTCATGCCACTGCACTCCAGCCTGGGCGACAGAGCAAGACTCCATCTCAAAAAAAAAAAAAAAAAGAAATTTAAGATAACTCCCTAAGGATTGTACCTGTACCTTGTGCATTTCAGTCATGCCATTTAATCATTATTCTTCACATAAAATTGTTATAAAGTTATATTGTCTATATTGACAATAAAAAACTATTAAACTGTAGCAACCTTTTTCTAAATGAGTCAAGACTTCTTATGAGCTATGCAAATTAATATTGCTGATATTTAAATATGATCTCTTTCATTACACATTTGGGCAAAATTTTTTTAGAGTAAAGGTGATTAGTCATAGAACTTTCTTTCTTTTTCTTTCCTTTTTAATTAAAAATAGAGATGCAGTCTCCCTGGTCTCGATCTCCTGAGCTCAAGCAATACTCCTACCTTGGCATCCCAAAGTGTTGGGATTAAAGGTATGAGCCACTACACCCAGCCCATAGACTTTTCATTTACTATATAAAGTCTTTTTCTCCTACAAAATATCCATTCTCCTTCCCCAAAATAAACAAGGCTCCTTAAAGGCAATCTTTATAATCCATAGTCAAATAAAAGTTTTTATTCACTTAAGCAGGAGGGAATGAGTTCAGCACATTAATTAGTCTGCCCTGCTATAAGACCTGCCTCTTCCAAAACAGAATTCCAATAAGGAAAATAAGCTATCCATGCTGATTCTACCTTGCTAGCAAATTGGGGAAGTAACATGAAGACTCTAATAGTGGTTTGACTGGTAGAAAATGAAAGAGCTCTCAGTCCCAAACCAAATGGTGATTACATAAAAAATTTGGCATTGTCAAATCAGGCAGATACAATCTAAAGTAAAAAGAGCCAGCAGCGGTGGCTCACGCCTGTAATCCCAGCACTTTAGGAGGCCAAGGCGGGAAGATCACCTAAGGTCAGGAGTTTGAGATCAGCCTGGCCAACATGGCAAAACCCCATCTCGACCAAAAATACAAAAATAAGCTGGGCGTAGTAGTGCACATCTGTAGTCCCAGCTACTTGGAAGGCTGAGGCAGGAGAATCGCTTGAACCCGGGAGGCGGAGGTTGCAGTGAGCAGCTTGGGCAACAGAGCCAGACTCCATCTCAAAAAAATAATAAAATAAAATAAAGTAAAAAGAACATGGTCTGCAGTAGGTGTTTTTGTTTTGTTTTTGTTTGTTTGTTTTTGAAACGGAGTCTCGCTCTGTCGCCCAGGCTGAAGTGTAGTGGCGCAATCTCAACTCACTGCAAGCTCCGCCTCCCGGGCTCAAGCAATTCTCCTGCCTCAGCCTCCCTAGTAGCTGGGATTACAGTCGTGTGCCACCCTATGCCTGGCTAATTTTTGTATTTTTAGTAGAGACGGCGTTTCACCATGTTGGCCAGGCTGGTCTCAAACTCCTGACCTCAAGTGATCCACCCACCTCGGCCTCCCAAAGGGTTGGGATTACAGGCGTGAGCCACCATGCCCAGCCTGCAATAGGTATTCAAAATCCTCCCTAAGAGAAAATAATTGTGCCTCGCTATCTACCAAAGACATTGGTTAAAAAAAAGTCTCAGCAGTTACAATGTACAGTATCACCTTCCCTTCTGTAACCAAAATACTTATTAAATATATGAATGCTAGTTATCAGATTATTTTAAAAGTTTATTTTCTTTCTCTAATAATAAGGTAAAATACATTTTGGAAATCTGCATGGAATGTTCCCAACAAGTTATTTCATTTTAGCAGGGTCTATGACATACAGCTTTAGTCATTCTTTCAATTACTTGGAACCACAGAATTCTCCAAAATACAAAAATTAAATTTTCAGCTTTTATATCAAATAATGGTCTCAACCATTTAATACAAAGCAACATACTTTCTCAGGTTTCTGTTAATAAGGCAAAATAAAAGTCACTCAGAAAAAAAAGGTTAAATCATGAAGATTTCTCTTTTGTAGGATATAATTCACCCCTGTGGTTTCTCTTCTACCATTAATGTCTTATCTACTCTAATTCCTTCAAAGTTTCAAGTTCAATACAGTATAACATATGCAGAGATTTTATAGTTTTTATCATAGATTTTTTTTTTCAACATTGTTTTCAGGATGTTTTAAACACTTTCACAACTATTACCTCAGATTTGTGATTATGGCTTATAGTACGGTCTACTTTCAAAACCATGATTTTTGGATCATGGCCCATCCAAGATTTTACTCTGTTCAGAAAAAGAAAAAAAATTACATATCCAGAGTTTCACAAGCAATTCAGGGGTTTTTCCCACAGACATCAAAAACCTTGCAATAAAGGGGTGAAATCCAAAAATTACTTTCGATTTCAAAGGTTTAATATTTTTAAAAAATTGAGAAATCTATTTAAGGTGTTGAATAAACTTTTTATGACTTATCAGGCAAAATTAAAATATTTATCATGGGCAGGGCACGGTGGCTTACACCTGTAATCCCAGCATTTTGAGAGGTCAAGGCTGGACGACTGCTTGAAGCTATGAGATTGGGACTAGCCTGGAAAATATAGCGGACCCCACCTCTATAAAAAATTATTATTTTTTATTAGCTGGGCATAGTGCTGTGTGCCTGTAGTCCTAGCTACCAGAGAGGCTGAGGTGGAAAGATCCTTTTTTGTTGTTGAGACAGGGTCTCACTCTGTCACCCAGACAGGAATGTAGTACCACAATCACTGCTTACTGAAGCCTTGACCTCCTGGGTTCAAGTAACCCTCCCGCCTAAGCTTCCCAAGTAGCTGGGACTACTGGTGTGTACCACCATGCCTGGATAATTAAAAAAAAAAAAGAAGTCATAAAGACAGGTTCTTATTATATTGACCAGGTTGGTCTTGAACTCTTGACCTCAAGTGATCCTCCTGCCTTGGCCTCCTAAAGTGTTGTGATTACAGGTGTGAGCCACAGCATCCAGCCTAAGGAAGATCCCTTGAGCCTAGGAATTTGAGGCTGCAGTGAGCTATGATTGCATCACTGTACTCCAGCTTGGGCAAAAGTGAGACCATGTCTCTAAAAAATAATAATAAAATAAAATAAAGTATTTACAATGGAAGGAATCTGTGGTGTTACTTTTAGGTAATCTCAGAAGAACTTTTCAAACTCAGATGTATATATGCGGCAACCAATGTGCATATGGAGATACTGACATAGAGAGAAAAATGTTCAATCTAATATTAGCCAGTAAACATATGATGCATTAACTGGAGGAGTTAAAAGTCCATACTTGAAGGTACTGTTTAATTTATCAGGATCAATCAATCAAGAAAAACACCCACAACATAAAAACAGGGTGGTATATTTTAGTACTACTGATTTATAATAAACAGATCCTCAGATTTAGGCAGATCATTTTTAAATGCCATTAGTGATCAATGTATGCAACACAGTTGCACATAGCTATTAACAAGTTATTTTGACATGCATTACATACATGTATTCAAATTAACTATAATTTTTTGTGCTTATTTCTAGAGCAAATTAATTAAATGGCTTTCACCTTAAAGGCTTAAAATGTTTTAAAACTTCAAGTCATTAAAGATGTACTGACATTAAAACTATGTTTGAAGGCTGGGCGCAGTGGCTCATGCCTGTAATCCCAGCACTTTGGGAGGCCGAGGCGGGTGGATCACTTGAGGTCAGGAGTTCAAGACCAGCCTGGCCAACATGGTGAAACCCCATCTCTACTAAAAATACAAAAATTAGCCGGGTGTGGTGGTGTGCGCCTGTAGTCCCAGCTACTCAGAGGACTGGGGCAGGAGAATCACTTGAACCCAGGAGGCAGAGGTTGCAGTGAGCCGAGATTGCACCACTGTACTCCAGCCTGGGTGACAAAGTGAGACTCTGTCTCAATTAAAAAAAAAAAAAACTATGTTTGAAAGTATATATAATTTGTAATAATATACACGGGAAGAAATAAAAGGTTATTATGGCAATCTGAGTTTCTTAATCCAAAAATTAAAAATCAAAACACATTTCATATGTAAGAGTTAAGTGGTTTTTTTTCTTTATTCAAGTAATCATTTAGACTCTAATACATGATAATGGACAACCATGTGACAAAGTACTGTAGTGTATGGTTTGGTGTAGCCTCCTTGCCTCTAGGATGGGATTTTTTCCAGGTGATTCTTCAGGATCTGACATCGATGCCCAACACAGGCTTTCCAATGGCAATGCATGAGTTCTAGAGGTCACTGCCCCATCTTTCTTCAGGTGCTGTGTGCCATTTTCTCCCACCCATTTTATCCTCC